>NC_000001.11:117129592-117432622 GCF_000001405.40 Homo sapiens | reverse complement strand
TTTTATTACCAATTCAATTAATACTACAAATGGCATACTTCTTGCTTTACCTTGACTCAGTTTCAATAAGATTGTTTTAGAAAATTTGTTTTGTCTATGTTATTAAATTTTGCAAAAAAACTGCTTATAATATTCCATTATTATGCCTTTAATGTATGTGGAATCTGCAATGATAGCCTAATATTGGCAATACCATTTGCTCCTGCTATTGGTAATCTGTCTTCTGTTATTTCTTGATCAATTTAGCTAAAAAGATTTATCAATTCTGTGGATACTTTAAAAGAATCGACTTTGTAATATTTTCCTTGTTTTGTCTACATTATTAAATTTTGCAAAAAAACTGCTTATAATATTCCATTATTATGCATTTAATGTATGTGGAATCTGCAATGATAGCCTCATATTGGCAATACCATTTACTCCTGCTATTGGTAATCTGTCTTCTGTTATTTCTTGATCAATTTAGCTAAAAAGGTTTATCAATTCTGTTGATTCTTTCAAAGAATCAACTTTGTAATATTTTCAATTTCCTTTGTAATTGCTTACTTGATGTCTATTTATTTAGAAACATATTGCTTAATTTTCAAATATTTGAAGTTTTTCCTGATGTCTATTATTGATTTCTAATTTAATTCCATCATGGTCAAAGATCGTGCTTGTTTTTTGTTTTTGAGAGACAGGGTTTTGCTCTGTTGCCCCAGCTGAAGTGCAGCAGTGTGATCACAGCTCACTGCAGACTCAACCTCCTAGGCTCAAGCAATCCTCTCACCTCAGCATCCTGAGTAGCTGGGACTACAGGTACATGCTACCACACTCGGCTAATTTTTGTATTTGTTGTAGAGATGAGGATTTGCCATGTTTGCCGAGGCTGGTCTTAAACTCCTGAGCTCAAGCAATCCACCCACCTCAGCCTCCCAAAGTGCTGGGATTACAGGCATAAGCCATTGCACCTAGCCATACTCTGTACTATTTCTAACTTTTTAAATTGACTGAATGTGTTTTATGATCCAGCATACAATTTATTTTTGGTAAACATACCATGTGCACTTGAAAAGAAAGTGTACTCAGCAGCTGTTGAGTAAAGTGCTGTATAAATAAATATCAATTCATTTAAAATAGCTCATACTGTCATTCGGGACTTCTACATCATCTTTGATTTTCTGTCTGCTTATTCTATCAGTTGAAGAGAAGAATGTTGAAGGATCCAACAATCTTTGTGGAATTACCTTTTTAATAAAAAATTAAAAAGGAATCTCCTTTTAATTCTTCCATTTGTGATTCATACATTTCAAAGCTCTGTTATTTGATGCCTACACATTTGCTTATGTTTTAATGTTGTGATTATGTCTTTCTAATGAATGGATCCTTTTTTTCATTATGAAAGGCCTCCCCCCTCCCCCTCCCCCTCCCCCTCCCCCTCCCCCTCCCTCTCCCCACGGTCTCCCTCTCATGCGGAGCCGAAGCTGGACTGTACTGCTGCCATCTCGGCTCACTGCAACCTCCCTGCCTGATTCTCCTGCCTCAGTCTGCCGAATGCCTGCGATTGCAGGCACGCGCTGCCACGCCTGACTGGTTTTGGTGGAGACGGGGTTTCACTGTGTTGGCCGGGCCGGTCTCCAGCCCCTAACCGCGAGTGATCCGCCAACCTCAGCCTCCCGAGGTGCCGGGATTGCAGACGGAGTCTCGTTCACTCAGTGCTCAATGGTGCCCAGGCTGGAGTGCAGTGGCGTGATCTCGGCTCGCTACAACCTACACCTCCCAGCCGCCTGCCTTGGCCTCCCAAAGTGCCGAGATTGCAGCCTCTGCCCGGCCGCCACCCCGTCTGGGAAGTGAGGAGTGTCTCTGCCTGGCCGCCCATCGTCTGGGATGTGAGGAGCCCCTCTGCCTGGCTGCCCAGTCTGGAAAGTGAGGAGCATCTCCGCCCGGCCGCCATCCCATCTAGGAAGTGAGGAGCGCCTCTTCCCAGCCGCCATCACATCTAGGAAGTGAGGAGCGTCTCTGCCCGGCCGCCCATCGTCTGAGATGTGGGGAGCGCCTCTGCCCCGCCGCCCCATCTGGGATGTGAGGAGCGCCTCTGCCCGGCCGAGACCCCGTCTGGGAGGTGAGGAGCGTCTCTGCCCGGCCGCCCCGTCTGAGAAGTGAGGAGACCCTCTGCCTGGCAACCACCCCGTCTGAGAAGTGAGGAGCCCCTCCGCCCGGCAGCTGCCCCGTCTGAGAAGTGAGGAGCCTCTCCGCCCGGCAGCCACCCCATCTGGGAAGTGAGGAGCGTCTCCGCCCGGCAGCCACCCCGTCCGGGAGGGAGGTGGGGGGGGTCAGCCCCCCGCCCGACCAGCCGCCCCATCCGGGAGGGAGGTGGGGGGTTCAGCCCCCCGCCTGGCCAGCCGTGCCGTCCGGGAGGGAGGTGGGGGGGTCAGCCCCCCGCCCGGCCAGCCGCCCCGTCCGGGAGGTGAGGGGCGCCTCTGCCCGGCCACCCCTACTGGGAAGTGAGGAGCCCCTCAGCCCGGCCAGCTACCCCGTCCGGGAGGGAGATGGGGGGGTCAGCACCCCCACCCAGCCAGCCGCCCCGTCCGGGAGGGAGGTGGGGGGGTCAGCCCCCCACCCGGCCAGCCGCCCTGTCCGGGAGGGAGGTGGGGGGGTCAGCCCTCCGCCCGGCCAGCCGCCCCGTCTGGAGGTGAGGGGCGCCTCTGCCCGGCCGCCCCTACTGGGAAGTGAGGAGCCCCTCTGCCCGGCCAGCCGCCCCATCTGGGAGGGAGGTGGGGGGGTCGGCCCCCCGCCCGGCCAGCCGCCCCCTCCGGGAGGGAGGTGGGGGTGTCGGCCCCCCGCCCGGCCAGCCGCCCCGTCCGGGAGGGAGGTGGGGGGGTCAGCCCCCCGCCCGGCCAGCCGCCCCGTCCGGGAGGGAGGTGGGGGGGGTCAGCCCCCCTGCCCGGCCAGCCACCCCGTCCAGGAGGTGAGGGGCGCCTCTGCCCGGCCGCCCCTACTGGGAAGTGAGGAGCCCCTCTGCCCGGCCAGCCGCCCCATCCGGGAGGGAGGTGGGGGGGTCAGCCCCCCGCCCGGCCAGCCGCCCCGTCCGGGAGGGAGGTGGGGGGGTCGGCCCCCCGCCCGGCCAGCCGCCCCGTCCGGGAGGGAGGTGGGGGTGTCGGCCCCCCGCCCGGCCAGCCGCCCCCTCCGGGAGGGAGGTGGGGGGGGTCAGCCCCCCTGCCCGGCCAGCCGCCCCGTCCGGGAGGTGAGGGGCGCCTCTGCCCGGCCGCCCCTACTGGGAAGTGAGGAGCCCCTCTGCCCGGCCACCACCCCGTCTGGGAGGTGTGCCCAACAGCTCACTGAGAACGGGCCAGGATGACAATGGCGGCTTTGTGGAATAGAAAGGCGGGAAAGGTGGGGAAAAGATTGAGAAATCGGATGGTTGCCGTGTCTGTGTAGAAAGAAGTAGACATGAGAGACTTTTCATTTTGTTCTGCACTAAGAAAAATTCCTCTGCCTTGGGATCCTGTTGATCTGTGACCTTACCCCCAACCCTGTGCTCCCTGAAACATGTGCTGTGTCCACTCAGGGTTAAATGGATTAAGGGCGGTGCAAGATATGCTTTGTTAAACAGATGCTTGAAGGCAGCATGCTCGTTAAGAGTCATCACCAATCCCTAATCTCAAGTAATCAGGGACACAAACACTGCGGAAGGCCGCAGGGTCCTCTGCCTAGGAAAACCAGAGACCTTTGTTCACTTGTTTATCTGCTGACCTTCCCTCCACTATTGTCCCATGACCCTGCCAAATCCCCCTCTGTGAGAAACACCCAAGAATTATCAATAAAAAAATAAATTTAAAAAAAAAAAAAAAAAAAAAAAGAAAGGTCTCCTCTTGTCTCTGACAATACTTTTCATCTTGAAGTATACTCTGATATTGATGTAGTCATTTAAACCTTTCTACACTTGCTGTTCATATACTATGTATCTTTTTTCCCATTCATTTACTTTCAACCTCTCTATTAAGTGTGTCTTTTTTAGACTGTGAATAGTTTGGTCTTGCTTTTATGTCGTTTTAACTATTTTTGCCTTTGACTTAGAATATTTCATTCACTAAAACTTAATGGCATTATTGATATTACTGGATATAGGTGTATGATATTATTTTTGGTTTTCTGTTCGCCATTTCCATTGCTTTTTGTTGTTGTCCTCTATTCCTTCCTTTCTGTTTTTTTTATTTAAATATTTTCTAGGCAGGGCACAGTGGCTTTCATTTGTAATCCCAGCACTTTGGGAGGCCAAGGCAGGAAGATCTCTTGAGCCCAGGAGTTCAAGACCAGCCTGGGCAACATGGAGAGACCCCACCTCTACAAAAAATAAAATAATTAGCCAAGCATGGTGGCGTGCACCTGTGGTCCCAGCTACTCAGGAAGCTGAGGTGCAAGGATCACTTAAGCCCAGGAGGTTGAGGTTCCAGTGAGCCGTGATCACACCACTGCACTCCAGTCTGGGTGACAAGAGTGAGACTCGGTCCCCCCCCAAAAAAAAAAAAATAGAGAGAGAGAGAGAGAGAGATTTACAGTTTATTTATTGGTGGTTAAGCTATACGTGTCTGCAATATTTTTCTTTAATGTTTGTCCCAGGGATTAATTATGTCCTTAACTTTTCACAGACTATTAAGAGTAATATGGTGTAACTTCATATAAAATGGAGAAACCTTACAATCTTGTAGTTCCATTTCCTCCCTCCCTCTTTTATTCCACAGCTGCATGTATTACATCTATGTATGTTATAACCCAATATAAAATGCTATGGTTTTTGCCTAAGCATTCACATAATTTTAAAGAAATTTTGAAAAAGTAATCTCTGTGGTTTCTGATGAGTGTTCAGTCATCAGTCAAATTAAAGTACCTCCACATATAACATGTGTCATTTCTCTATGAATACTTTCAAACTTTTCTCTTTGTATTTGGCTTTCAGCTGTTTGACCATGATATGCCTACATTTGGTTGGTATTTATCATGTTTAGGATCTACTTAGCTTCTTGAAATTCAGGTCCATCACCAAATATAGAAAAAATATAGTCATTATTTCTTCAACTATTTTTTACAGCTATCTGCTCTCTTCATACAGGATTCCAATTATATGTATGTTGGAATACTGTCCTATAAGTTTCTGAAGCTCCATTCATTTTTAATAAATATTTAATTCTCTTTCTTCACACTGGATAATTTACATTGATCTATCTACAAGTTCACTGACTCTCACCCTTCCAATGACAACAGTCAACATGATGACTTTGTTTTAAACACTGAAGTTTTCATTCTAGAATTTCCATGTTATTTCATTTCTGATGAGATTTTCATCTATTTGGTCATTTCAGAAATATTTTCCTTTATGTCACTGGGCATAGTTATAACAGCTGCTTTAACATCCTTGTCAACTAATGCCAGTATCTGGGTTACCTTAGAACAGGTCACCATTGATTGACTTTTGGAAAAAAAAAAATGGATCATTTTCCCTATTTTTTTCATACATTGAGTAATTTTAAACTGTATCCTGATCACTGTGATTGATAGGCTTTACAGGAAGCTGATTCTGTTATATCTTCTGAGAAGTGCACATTTTTTGTTTTAAAAAGCACTTAAATTTGGCTAAACTCAAAATCTAACAATGAGTCCAAGAGCTATGACAGCCTAGTATATGTATATAATTGGAATCCCAGAAGTGGGGCAGGGGGCTCTTGCAATATATAAAAAGACATTACATATAAAGGAACAAAGAATTAAAGAAGATTTCTCATCACAAACTATGCAAGCTATAAGATAATGTAGTGACATTTTTAAAGTATTGATAAGAAAAAATACAGATGGTCACTAACTTATGACAGTTTGACTTAGGATGGTTCAACTCATGATTTTTTCAACTTTACAATGGTATGAAAGCAATAAGTATTCAGTAGTAACTATACTTCAAGTGCTCGTATGGCCATTCTGTTATTCGTTTTCAGTATTCAATAAATTACACGAGCTATTCAACACTTTACTATAAACTGGGCTTTGTTATATCAATTGGCCCAACTGTAAGCTAATGTAAGTGTTCTGAGGATGTTTAAGGTAGGCTAAGCTATGATATTTGGTAGGTTAGGTGTACTAAATGCATTTTCAACTTAGGATGTTTTCAATTTGCAATGGGTTTATCAGGACATAATCCTATCATAAGTCGATGGATGTCTATATTTTAAAAAACAATAACTGAGAATTTTTTAGAAAATAATTAAAGATATCAACCCACAGACCCCAGCAGCTTAAAGAACCTCAGGCAAAATAAACAGTCCTACTCATACCCCTGCAGCCCAACACATACACACACAAAGTAAAAACCACTCAGACTCTTCATACAAAACAAAATATAAACAGAAAATTTTAAAGGCAACCAAATGAAAAAAAAAAGACCTATTACATACAGAGGAATAAAGAATTAAAGGAGATTTCTCATCACAAACTATGCAAGCTATAAGATAATGCAGTGACATTTCTAAAGTGTTGACAGGAAAAACTGTAAACCTATATTTTATACCCAAAGAAAATTTTTCAAAAATATAGTGGAAATAGATTTTCAGACTAACAAAAACTAAAAGAACTCACTACCAATAGACCTATACTATAAAAAATGTTAAAGGAAGCTGTTTCCACAGAAGGAATAAAATACCTGAAAAACCTGAAAAATCAGAAACCTGAACCTGCAAAAAGAAAAGACCAACAAAAATGACTGAAATGAAGACAAAAAGGCATTTCTTTTATTTTTAATAGTTCTAAACGATAACTGATCACCTAAGGTAAAAGTGGTAGCAATGTACTATGGATTTGCAGCATAAAACTGAAATCTATAATAATAACAACATACACAAAAAGATAAAAAGAATATTGTTAGCTATAGGTTTTTTGTAGATGCCCTTTATCACCTTGAGAAAGGTCCCTTCTACTTCTAGTTTGCTGCAAGTTGTTATCATGAATAGACGTTACATGTTGTCAGATGTTTCTGTGGTTATGTAATAAGATTATATGATGTTTTTCTTTAGTCTGTTGACATAGTGAATTATATTGGTTGATTTTTGAACATCAAACCAGCCTTGCATTCTTGGGAAGAAACCCCACTTGGTCATGATGTATTACCCTTTTTATATATTGCTAGATTTGATTTTGTGATACATTGTTGAGAATTTTTTGCATCTACAATATTCACATGAGATACTGATCTATAGTTTTACTTTAATACCTCTGTGTGTGTGTCACATAGGATTAATGCTGGCCTCATAGAATGAGCTGAAAAATTACTCTTCTTTTTTTTCTGGAGAAATTTACATATAATCGATATTAAATATTTGGTAGAATTTGCCAGTGAAGCAACTTGGGTTGGGAGTTTTGTTTTTTCCTTTCCAAGTTTTAAAACTTTGCATCTTTTTATAGATAGAGTTCTGATCCTTCCCCCTTCCCTCCCCCCTTTGCCCTCCTTTTCTTCCTTCCTTTCCCCTTCCTTCCCCCTTTCCCTTCTCCTCCCTTCCCCCTCCTTTTCTTCCCTTCCCCCTCTCCTGTTTTGTCTCCTTCTTTTGGAAAAAGAAATCGGTTTTATTTCTCTTGGCACAGAGCAATATATGAAGGTGGCTATCTCCTGACTCCATATATCACTTACATAAAGATGTCCTTCAAATATGTCCAGTTACCTACCACATTTCAGTGTTAGAGAACTGGCAGTTAGCAGATGAAGCAGCTCAGAAGATTCTTAAAGACATTTCTGTGGGGAAGAAGTTTTGGGTCAAGGGGAAAAGATGAGACCCAAGAATGAACATTCCATCCTTCCCGGGGAAATCTAAATCCCAAAGATTTTATGAAGAAAGGCACCTCTCTGAGTGACCTTTGAGAGGAAGAGCCCAGACCTACTGTTTGTATGTAAGGCTGAGGCAGATGGAGGATGGGGTATGCAGCAGACTGCAGACTCAAGGCAGAGGAGTGAAACGCATATAGGAGAGCTGAGGGGACTGAAAGAGACTAGAGGTCCAAATCATAAATCCCACTCCTTCCCAAGTCATGAGCAAAAGCACTCCTTCCCAAGTCATGAGCAAAAGCTCTCCCTCTGGGACTAGTTTTTCCAGGAACTATCTTCGTTCCAGGGCACAGAAAGGACAAACCAGGCAAAAATCTTATGGGTACGAAAGGTGGAGAGTTAAAGGAGCAGACCAACAGAAATAATAAACATTCTTGGATTACAGTACTTTTGAAGCCATATGCCATGATCGTGGAAGAGAATAAAGCTATCACTGCAATTCCTAGGATCAGGAACCAGGCAAGGATGCCTACTCTGCCCATTACTATTCAACTTTGTAGTAGATGTCCTAGGCAATGCAGTAAGGCAAGAAAAAGAAAAGGACCACACAAATAAAACCATTCTCTGCCTCAGGAGAAGGAGCAGGAAAAGAACAAAAATAAATAAATAACCATTCTCTATACAGAAAAATAAAACTCATCTCTATTTACTAATGACATGATTGTTTATAAGGTAAATCCTGAAGAATCTATTAAAGTATATTTTAAAGCTACTAGAATTAATTAATGAAGTTAGAAAAATCACAGGGTAAAAAGTCAATATAAAAATCAATTATGGAAGGCTGAGGCAGGAGAATCGCTTGAACCCGGGAGGCAGAGGTTGCAGTGAGCTGTGATCGCGCCATTGCACTCCAGCCTGGGCAATAAGAGCAAAACTCCGTCTCAAAAAAAAAAAAAAGAAAGAAAGAAAGAAAAAAAGAAAAATCAATTGCACATTGCACAACAATGCAAATGTTGTTTTTAATGCCACTGAACTGCACACTTAAAATGGTTAAAATGGTAAATTTTATGTTGTGTACCTTTAGCACTTTTTTAAAATGATAGTATCACAAAGTTTTCTAGAAGAAACAAAATGTCCTGAGACAACTGAGAATTTAAGTCTTTATTAAAGGTTTTTTAAAAATCAAATGTATTTATATATACTGACAATGAACAATGGGAAACCAAAATTTAAAATACAGAACTACCAAAAACATGAAATATGTATAAATTTATCAAAATACATACAAGATCTGTATGCTAAAAAGTAGAAACACCAATAAAAAAATAAATAAATGGAGAGATATACCATTATTCATGGACTGAAACAATACTGTGAAGATGTCAAATCACTCAAAATTTATAATCCCAGTTAAAATCTCAGTAGATTTTATAGAAACCAACAAGTTGATTCTAAAATTTATACAAAAAGGAAAAGTAACTAAAACAGCCACAACAATTTTGAAAAGGAATAAAGTTGGAGGACTCACACAACCTGATTTCAAGACTTTCTATAAAGCCATAATAATGAATACAATGTGGTAGTACCAAAGACAGACACATAAATCAAGAGAACAAAACAGAATGTCTAGAGTAGACCCACACATACCTAATCAACTGATTTTCAACAAAGGTACAAAGTCAATTAATGAAAAAGTAGTCTTTTCAACATCCATATGGAAAAAAGTAGACTTCAACTTATACCTCACAGCATATATAGGATTTAACTCAAAATCAATTACAGACTTAAAAGTACAAATAAAGTAAAGCTATAATAGTTTTGGAAGAAAACTTAAGAGAAAATCTTTGTGATGTTGGATTAGGCAAACATTTCTTAAACAAAATACCAAATGCATGAACCATAAAAGACAAAATTAGTAAATTGTACTTCCAGATTAACAACATCAATTCTTCAAAAGATACTGTTAAATCACTGGAAAGACAAGCCACAGATAGAGAAAATAATTGCAAATGTATAGATTATAAAAGACCTATGTCCAAAATATGTAAAGAACTATCACAATTTAATAATTCAAAAAAAACAAAAATTTTTAAATGGGCAAGGGATTTGAGCAGCTAATTCAAAAAATACATATGACAAATAAACATAGGAAAAGATGCTCAACATCACTTGTCATCAGGGAATGCAAAATAGAACCACCACAATGAGATACTACTATGTATCTATTAGAATGGCTAACAATAATAAAGAGACTCACAATACAAAGTACTCACAACAATGAGAGGCAATTTTTGGAAAAGAATCTGACAGTTTCTTCCAAAGTTAAATATACACTTAACCTTTGACTCAGTAAATCCCATTCCTATGTATTTATCCAAGATAAATAAAAATTTATTTTCCCACAGAAATCTATAGGCAAATGCTTATAGCAGGTTTATTCACAATCTCCAAAACTGTAAATAATTCCACTGATAAATATATAAAATGCATAATGGAGTACTGTAATACAGTAAAAAGGAATAAACTACTAATACATGGATAAATCTCAAATGCATTATGCTAAGTAAAAGAAGCCAGCATTCTTAACTGTAGAGACAGAAAAGAGATCAGTAATTATCAGGGGCTGGCAATGGGATAGGGTAATTATAAAATGGTAAATGGAAATTTTCTAGGATAATAAAATTCTGTATCTTGATCATGCTGGTGATTACAATACTATGCACTGTAAAAACTCATAAAACTATATACTGAATTTTACTGTACGTAAATAATACCTCAATAAACCTTACTAAAAATAACAATTAATTCACAATGATTTTATTCCTATAAGCCAGGTCAGAGTTTCTCAAAATATAGAACCAATGTTTCCAAAATCACCTTTAACAAGGAGTATTTGGCATGAACAACGTAGGATAATGGTCTCCACGCTAAACCCACTGAATCGGTCCTTTGGGCAGGGCTTGGAATCCTCATTTTTATAAAACACCTTATGTGATTCTAATACATACTAAAGTTTGATAACCTCTTGGCCAGAGTATATATCATTTTTTTCTATTTTATTAAATGTGAATTTAAATGTTCTGACTATAGAAATATATGTTAGAGGTATAAACAAATCACACAATATAATTTGACAATAAAATTACACATTAAGATAAATGTAATCTAATATATTAAATACCAGCATCTTTAAACATATTTCTTCTAAAAAAAAAAGGTAGTACATAAATAGCTCACTCTTTACACACAAAGGAACAACAATAAATGAAATATATAGATAAAAGTATATAAAGTCATAAAAATCCATACGAAAATGGGAATTTTTGTTTTGTAATAACACAGACATAGGAAAGGCTTTCTAAGGACCAAAATCTAGAAGCCAAAACACTGGGGGGAAAAAAAAATCCTTTAAATGATTACTTCAACATTAACAACAAAAAAAAATTAAACAAAATACAGCTAACATAGATATGTATCTTTATAATACATATAACAAAAGGTAAATTTTCTTAAATCTACAAAGAGCTCTTACAAATTGTCTAGATCAACAAACCAAAATATGGGTGAAACAGTTGCTCAAAAAACAAATAAATGACTTATAACCTCTTCCTTTAGTTTCTCTTTCTCCCACTCTTCAACCTCATTCTTTAACCTATTTCAATAGTAAAAGGGAATTTCCTACACCCACTTCTCCATCACCTTAGGTCTCAAGTGTCTCCATGTGTTCTGTACCAAGATTTCCAGAGAGGAGAATTCAGAGTTGTTATTATTTATAGCCAAAAACTGGATTCAATTTCTAAACAGTAAGTTTGAATTACTAATTTTTGGTCTTAGGAGGATCCATATTAATTCTTTCTGATTTGTTATTTAATTTTGTCCTTATTAGTTTATTTTCCCCCTTTACTTGGGCCATGGAATTAATTGCAATGGCAAAATCCTGGAGAAGGATCACTCTTGCAAAGGAGACATGGTGTATATAAAGCTAGGATCTGTGATGAATTCATGTTTTATTGAGAGCCTCAAAATGGAAAAATTATTATTCCCAAGGAATAGTTCTGCCTGAAGCAACCAGTTCTAGACTGGTTCAATATTACCAATTTAGAAAACTAATATGCTTCTAGGGAAATTGTTCATTTTATTAAATTCCAACCCTCCCCTCCAAAACAAACAATGCATTGCTTGATTTTGCTCACCTCCTCTCCTGATAGGTAATATGCTGCAAGTAGGCCTCCAATAAATCGAATGTTGACTTCAAACACAGACACCTCTGAATTCTGTGAAAAACATATTGAAAACATTCACAAATACGTAATGCTTTATAGTTTTCAAAATATTATCAATACTTCATTTGTTTTTCACAAACACCCTGTGGAAAATATTTTTCTACTTTCTGCATCTTCATTTCTCATGCAACTGCAATCTCTCCTCTCGTTTGTTAATGTTACTGAAACTTCTCTACTGCTGTCACCACAGCTCCCTAATTCCTGAAACCAACAAGCCATTTTTTATGTACCTTACACAGTACTGTGAACTTATCAGGATATTTAACACTGTTAACTATTACCCTTCCTCATGAAAGCCTTCATTTCTAGAATTCTGGGTCATGATTCTAGAATAGCACTCTTTACTGGTGGTCCTTTTTCTTCTGTTCTAATCACTACAGCATAATTTTTACTTCCTCTCTCCTCCTGGATTTTAAGTATTTTTCCTAGAATATATAATAAGTGTTAAAGGAGGCACCAAAAAAATGGCAGAATGATGGATTATTCAATAATAATGTTGAGAAAATTGCCTCCTGGGTAAGAAATTAACATAAATACTAATTTCACAAATATCAAAATGAAATCTAAATTATTTGGAAATAAATGTTTAAAAAAATTTTTAAAGTAGAAGTGTGGCAATATATAAATTTCCCTGAGAAAGCAGGTACTTAAGCATAAAACCAATAGTTTTGATAAATTGATGACAGACATGAAATTTTTCTAAAATGCAAATTACCTATAAGAAAAAGAATCATAAACAAAACTAAATGGCAAACAGATGGAAACAGCACAAATATAGTAATATTAATAACCTTACTAAATAGAGTCTCTATGTTTGTATTTACATATTGATATAGATATTGCTAGAAATATTCTAACACATGGAAAGAAAAGCAGAAGTGGCAGAGAACATAATCAAAGAATCTACAGAAGATATACAACTAACATAAAAACATTCATAGTTAATTTTAATAAAAATTAAAAGGAAACTGTATTACTCTAAAGTCTTTCCAACATTCATAGGCAGGCACATCATCTGCTAACATATTTCTTCAGTATAGAATTTTTACAATATAATGTAATTTTTTGATAACACGATCATCATTCCATCCCACCATGAAAGCAAAGTGCTTAATATTACTTCATATATTCCCAACATCTAACATACTACAGGGCACATAGCAGACATTGACTAAATATGAGGAGGAAGGAAAAAAGGGTGGGAGGGCCTCCATCTCTTACCAGAATTGCAACAATAACCTTCCAACCAGTCCCTGCTTTAATACTTACCCTCCTCCTTACCCTCTATTCAGCACACTATAGTTAAAATGAGCCTTTTAAATCTTACATCAGTTTAGATCACTACTCTGTGCAAACCCCTACGATGCCTTCACATAACACTCAAGAGTAAAATGACCAATAAGATCCAACATGCTCAGATCCCCTACAACCTCTTTGACATCCCTTGTATTAATATCCCTTTGATTCATTTAATTATATGGGCCTACTTGCTGTACCCAGAATTGTCAAACTTGAGACTCCTATGTCAGCTTTACAATTGTTACCCTATTATCTGGATGCTTTCCTTTCACATAACTGAACAAATCACTCTCACTTCCTATAGGTCTCTGAATAAATGTCACCTTATCAGAAATTTTTTCTGACCATCTAATATAAAATATTAATACCAATTACCTTGCATTATTTCCCTAATTAACACATCATCATCTAACTATATATAATCACACGGTAATCAAATAGTTTCATTTGTAAAACAATCTTCCTTCACTACAGAAACAAAAGGTATCAGAAATTCTAGAGGGACAGAACGGAAAAATAGGATAGAGACATTTTTGAAAGAAGTAATAACTGAGAACCTACTAAACTTGATGAAAATGTAAGTCTTCAGATTGATGAAACATTATGAGTCCTTTAAAGAATAACCCACACATAGACATATAGTAATAGAATTACAGAACAACAAAGCAAAAAATAAAATATTAAAACAAGGGAAAAAACAGATTGCCTTTTTAAAATTAAACTGAAAACACACTTTGCAATAGTATAACAGAAGCAGGAAAGACAAGGGAACTGTACCTCTATTCTCAGTTTTAATATCTATTAAGACAGAGTTGTATATCCACATGGCTCCCCTTGGGTCTCTTCTCAGAAGTGTCACTTTAACAAAGAGTTCTTCCATGACCACCCCATGTAAAATACTAATAGCAGTACCCC
This sequence comes from Homo sapiens, assembly GCF_000001405.40. Classification (NCBI taxonomy): domain Eukaryota; kingdom Metazoa; phylum Chordata; class Mammalia; order Primates; family Hominidae; genus Homo; species Homo sapiens. The sequence continues at coordinate 117,418,345 of NC_000001.11, read as the reverse complement.
ACCATTACTCTCCATAGCACTTATCATCACCCTCTGATGTACTATATATAACTTGTTTACTGTTTTGCTCCTGACACTAGAACACAAACACAAAAAAGAGATAAAACTCTGTTTTGTTGATTACTATATCCACAGAATCTAGAACAGTGCCTGTTGCATTTGATAAATGTGTGCATTTATTTATCTATTACTTAATTTGGAAGTTTAAAATATAACTTGGGATCAACTAGACAACAATGACACATAAAACAAAAGGGGGATGAGTTAAGTTAAAGCATTCTAAAATCCTTATATTCTTCAGAAGGAGGATCTTACTCTGTTGCCCAGGCTAGAGTACAGTAGCATGATCATGGCTCCCTGTAGCCTCAACCTCCTGGGCTCAAGCAATCCTCCCTCCTCAGCCTCCCAAGTAGCTGGGATTTATTTTCTGTAGAGTTCAGGTCTCACTATGTTGCCCAAGCTGGGCTCAAGCGATCCTCCTGCCTCAACCTCCCAAAGTGCTGGGATTACAGACACGAGCCATGACTCCTTGTCTGAAATTGATTAATTTCAAACTGCCTACTTAGGGTTATCCTTAAAGTTTATATATATTTATATATACTATACTTTGATGAGAGAGAGAGAGAGAGAGAGAGAGAGTGTGTGTGTGTGTGTGCACGCCTACTTTGGAGTTACCCTTAAAGTTTAAACATACATTGTTTATTGTTTTGCTCCTGACACCAGAGCACAAACACAAAAAAGAGATAAAACTCAGTTTTAATGTATTTTTATAAAACATATATATCACATATATATATATATATATATATATTTAAACTCAAGGATATCTCCAAAGTCAATAGAAATGGAAGGTATAATGTTAAACTAGTAGAGGGAAAAAGAGAGATGATGTAATTTAATCCAAAATAAGGAAAACAAACTAAAAACAAATGAAAAGTATGATCATAATATAGGTAGCAAAACAAAGATGAAAGACCTAACTCCAAATATGTTATCATAGTAAATGTAAATATATCAAACTTAATAGTTAAAAAGACTCTAAGGTTGGATAAAAATAACAAAACCCAAATACATACTATATATGCAAAATAAGCAGCTAAAACATAATGACATTTAAAGGTTGAAAGAAAGGAACAAAAAATGACTGTGCTGATGATTACACTACTTCTCTCAGGTTCAAATCCATTCTTCTATACTCTACTTTGGTATATGGGAGTTGGAACTACACAAATGCATTTAATTTACCAACTGGCTCCCTTTTAGGCACTAACATTAGGAGGTTCTAAAAAGACAATACAAGACTGGAGGAAGAAGAGTCTTATTCCCTCCTGCTTACTTCTAGTTTCTGATAGTGTCTCACCAGCCAGGGTTCACCCTGGCAGTGGCAACTGCTTCCAGAGTACTGTTCCCTTATCACACATACAGACACACAATCCCCAAATCAGCCTCATGGTTTCCTTTACAGATATCAAGCACTTGGCTAGGTGTCTCCTCCTCAGAGTTCTGAGTCTCAGCTCTGACACAGTCTTCCTGAGGTACCAGTAACACCTGGGCAGCACAGGTACCAGTTCCATAGAGCCCAAGCTACTGCATTTTAATGATCCCAACCTCTTCCCATTGTTCTTATAGTCCCCACAGGTGGCAGCTGTTTCCTGTTTCCTAGAGTTAATACTTCTGGTGATATCACAATGCTCTCTTTTTGCCTTTTTGGTTCCCCATTAGTTGGATAACAATTCTAAACATTAAATCCTCTAGTTAAAATAAATGGCATAGTCTGGTTCCTGATTGAACCCTGACTGATAATAATGATATACAAGGGAATTATTAGCCATTATAAAGCTGTCCTGTCAATGAATGGGAGTATTGCACAGATGCTAATTCTCCCCAAATTAATCTGCAAATTAAATGCAATCCTCCTCAAAATTTCCACACAGTTTTCCAGAACTTGAAAGAACAAAAAGCTGAGAACTAAGACAATTTCCGCAGAGAACAAGATCAGATACCAACAGAGAACAGATTCAGATACAGACATCAAGCTTCTTATAAAAAAAATTGTAGTTAAGATAGTTTAGTATTGACATATGGATAAAGAAAAAAGCCAATGTTAAAGAATAAACTGTAATATGACTAATATATGACTAATGTGGCATATAAAAGTAGCAGGAAAAGAAATGGTACTAGGATCAACTAATAGTGGCCTACTTCATCCTACATTAAAAAAAATTCAATTCCATTTGGATTAAAGACTAAATACAAAAGCAAAACTTTAAAACCTTCAGAATAAAATATAAGAAAATATATTCATGATCTAGGAGTAGGGCTTTCTTAAACAAGATACAAAAAGCACAATCTGTTGTATAAAGGCTACATAGCTACACAGAAAAAAAGACTACATTTCTCAGCTTTCCTTTGGAGTTAGTTGAGGCTGTGTTAGTAAACTCTAAAAGCAAAAATGGGGAGACTACCTCCTGAGAAGTCTTCTTAGAGAACAGTCACATTCTTTCTGTCAACTGGATAAAATGTCTGGATCTTTAGGAACCATTTCATATCATGAGGTCTAAGATATACACTGAAGCCAACAGAACAACAAGACAAATGATCCTAGATCCTTGATGATCAAGGAGCCACCCAAACCAGCCCTGAACTGCTTAACTCTGTACTTGATTTACATGAAAAAAAAATAAATATCTATCTTGTTTAAGCTCTTTTATATTAGGTTTTCTATCACTCACCATCAAACCTAAACTTAATTGATAATAAAAATTGTTCTCTTTGAGATACGTCCAAATTCTACAGTAATATAAAGGAAAGTAAACCATTTTTGTCTAGTTAGCTCCAAGAATGGCATCAGAGAAGAAATAATTATGGACTTATATCACAATTTAAATAACGAAGAGTCTGCCAGAGAGAAGTACATAGAGAAGTAGTGAAGGATAATACAGTCAAAAGGAAAAGCAAGCACAAATATCACAAAAGATGTGAATATGACAAAACAGTCCACACATCTTTTAGGTGAAGACTGGTGATAATGAAAATAATTGCTACCATTTACTGAGCATTTAATATGTACCACATTATCTCAAATAATCCTCACAATACTATAATGGAATATCAATTTTATGACAGGTTTAGGAAGATAAGGAACTTTCTCAAGTCGCACACCAAGAATGCAACTGTGCTGGGCGTGTGACTTAACAACTATGCCAAACCTAAGCAGTGCCACTTGACCATGCTAAAGTGCCAGAAGAATGAGTGTAGGCCTAACTATGAAAATTCATCGAAGCTGTGCTAATTACTCAACTTTAAAATATATATATATATTTTTTCCATTCATGAGAGGTCAACCCTCATGACCTAATCACCTCCCAAAGTCCCCATCTTCTAGTACCGTCACATTAGTGATTAGGTTTCAACATATGAATTTTAGGAAGGCACAAATGTTCAGACCATAGCAGTTAGACATTGTGTCTTTTCATGGTTAATCTAAGAGATTAGTTATCAATCATACACTCACCACACTGAAATCAAGGTTGTCTTCAATCCATCTTTGCCCATCTAGGAATTCATCATGAAGTCCCATGATATAAAGGGTATCCAAAGCATCTACTATGGTAGCACCCATTTGTGAACTTCCTATATTTGGGAAGAAAAAAATTATCATTAAAAAGATCCCTTTAGGTTCCTGTTCTCTTTGGGGGGAAAAAAAAGATTCCCTTCACATTCAGTGTATTTTAATTATTTATGTATAAAGGTAAACTAAAGTAAGAGTATAAGGACTAAAAATTTAGAATACCCAATATTGTTCCCTTTTACATTAGAAATTATATGTATATATTAGATAATATACATAGTTTAATATATTTTACTAAAAATAGTACTTTACTAAAAATAGGAAGATAAAAGAAAACTAAAAGCATACTTTTCCTTAATTTTCTGCCTCGTCAGAATATGAGATATCTATCTACTTAACTGAGAAAGGAAAAAAAAAGAGGATTAATTCAAGAAAAGAGGAGAGTACTTCACAATGACAAAGCTAAGTAATAAGACAACCATGTCCTTCTGGTCTGGTCCAAATTCATATAAAGGACAAAAAATATATTTAAAAATAATAATAAATGTACAACAGGGCTGGATAACCACAGTGGAAAAAAAACAATCCTTAACAATCAACAAGCAGGTAGATCAAATTGAAAAAAGGAAACCATCAAACAAAATATGAGTAGAGAAAATCAAAATAATAAAATGTATCCACTTTTAAGAAAGAGATAATCCTTATCATTAAAAAAATGTTCTGAGGGGAAGAAAGCAAGAGAGAAAGGGAGGAAGAGAGGGAAGAATTAATTCAAAACCAGCCTAACTGATACCAAAACTAGATAATGAAAACTTAAGAGAAGAAAACAGGCCAATCTTACTAATGAATATAACTCTACAAATCCTAAATAAACTAGGTTTGTTTTGCTACTAGTAGAGTAAAAAATCTAGTAGTACAGCAAAAAAATAAATATCAGGGAGCAGATGGGTTCACCCCAATCCCATTAATGCAATTATTATTTGTGTCCTATGAAAATGCAAATGATCCACACAGCTTACTGCCTGCATTAACATGGCTTTACTATATTACATTGTCTTCAACAACATGAATTTACTGTTCCAGGAGCTCTTGCTCAGAAAGATAAAAGTTGCAAAAAAAATTTATTGTTCATTCCAGGAACTTCTTTAAAGACCCATCAACTCTACAACAGAAAGTATCAAATGATGATTTATACCCCAAAACTCTGAAAGGTTACGACTCCAGCGAGGTAGTGATCTCCTTACCAAAGTAATAATTAACAGCTTTGTCTTATCAACGGGTTTTCTTGGTGACATTTTCAGAGCCAGCATTCAACATTACTTAGTTCACATTTTCCATTTACTATTCTCCTCTTTTCTTTCTTTTTCCATTCCTCTTTCTACTGAGTAGAAATTGTTTTCTTCCAATGATTTAAAGCTACACAAATTTGTTCTTATGATGGTTGTTCTTAATTTACATGCCATTTTCTTGTTCATGTGTTCCTAATAATTTCTTCAACTTATCAATACATCTATCTTCTCTTAGCTAACAAGACAAATACTCCAACACACTCTGATAAATTCCTTGGTCTTCTACCTACTCAGTTCCCTTCATGTTGATATTATCTAGAAAGTTATGTGTTGTTACGTTCCTCAGCTTTTTATTACGATAAAAATGGTATCAAGCCATTTAATCACTCATATATCTCTATCTCTTGCATAAATTCTTGAATATGTATTCTCTTTTAATTTTAGCATTTCATCCAAAACATTTACCAAACTTATTTTAAATCCTTGAGACTACTGTTTGTGTCCTTATTTTAATTTTTGTAGATAGTTCTGCTCCTCCAGTTACCTAGTTATTTATTTAGTCCTCTAAGTACATATTTCTCTAAGGTATTGACTATTCTGGAGTGGAAAAAGGCCTGACCCACCTATTCTGTACCAGTCTTGGTTAGTTGCACTAGGTGCCATGAGCTAAAGGCTTCAAGGAAGAAAAGTGTAAAATTGAAATTACTGGCTATCATCATGATTGTTTACCTAGAGGAAGTCAAGATTTGAACAGGAAAAAATGAAAAAGCCTAACACTATTCTTGGGTCAAAGAAGCAGCAAAACATGACATTGCAAAATATATAAAACATCATAAAAATTTAGTATGAGAGCAAGTGAATCAACTAAAGCAGTTCTCACAAAAACACTTAAAATATTTATACTAGTTAATAAGAACAAATGAAAATAACTGAATATTCTAAGAAAGAAAAAACAAATTTGAGCAAAATAATAGAAGAATGAGAAAAACTAAAGGCAGAAATGGATGAATTAGAAATGAAGAAAATTATTGAAATAATAAATTCAAGAAATGGTTCCATGAAGAACCATACAATGAATCTACCATTAACCTCGTTTTTAAAAGGTAGACAAGACAAAAACACAAAATAAATAAAAATGTAACAACAGACAAGCACAGAGAAAATTTTTTAAAATTATAAAAGGCCCATTTTATTCATATATTCACAATAAATTTGATCTTTCTCGAGAAATACTATTTTTGACTTATGAAAGAAGAAACAGAAAATCTAAACAGACCGAAAAACACAGGAAATAAAAAAGTTTTCAAAGAGCTACCCGCTATCAAAATACCATATTCTAGAAGTTTCATAGAATGACTACTACTTTAATTTTAAGGATGATAACTCCTATTCTATACAAACTTTTATATAACATAGGGAAAAAGATCTTAAAATTCAATTTGTAAATTCTTTATATCATTGGCGGAAAAAAATCGAATTTACTAAGAAACATACAACTACACCTGATCTCATTTGTGAGCAACAAGGAAATATTTAGGAGTGGAATTGCTAGGCTATACAGTAAGTTTATAAGAAACCAACAAACTGCTTTCCACAGTGTACCATTTTACATTCCCAATACAATGTATAACAGAGTTGCTCTAGCATCCTTGTCAATATTTGGTATTGTTGATCCTCAAATTTTAGACATGTTAATGGGTGTGTAGAAATATTCCATTGTGGTGTGAATTTTACTTTCCCTGCTTATTGATGTGCTTACTGGCTATTCATATACCTCCTTGGGTGGGGAAGTATTTATATATTCTGGATACATCCTTATGTAAATATTTCAAATATCTTCTCCAAGTCTTTGGTTTGTCTTTCCAATTTCCTGATGTCTTTGGGGAGCAGAAATCTTCAATTTTCATTAAGTCCAATTTACCAACATTTTTATTTTATACTTAATGCTTTTTGTGTTCTAAAAAATCCTTGCTAACCTCAAAGTCACAAAGATGTTCTCAAGTGTTTTCTACTGAAATTTTTTTACTTTTAGCTTTTATATTTAGCTCTGTGATCCATTTTTCTATACAATGTTGAAGGAAGAGGCAAAGCTCATTCTTTTCCCATACAAATATACAGTTGACCCAGCACCACTTGTTGGAAAGGCTATCCTTTTAATCACTGAACCTCAGCATCTTTGTTGAAAATCAATTAACCATGTATGTACACTTCTATTTCTATTCTTTTCCACAGATCTCTATGCCCATCCTTATGCTAAAACCATACTGTCCTGAATTGTAGCTTTACTGTAATTTATAAAATCAGGTAGTGCAAATCCTTCAACTTGGTTTTTTTTAAAAAAATTACTTGACTATTCTAAGTGCTTTGTATTTTCATAGATTTTAGAATCAACTTGCCAATTTCTACAGAAAAGCCTAGTCATTTTCATTGGACTCCTCTAAATTTAAACATAAATTTAGAAAGAATTAACATCCCAACAATATTGAATATTCAAATTCATCAACATGGCATTTCTCTCCATTAAGTCCTTTTAAATTTCTCTCAAAAACAACATAAAGTTTTCCATGTGCAGGTTCTGTACATATTTTGTCAAATTTATACACATATAGTTCTTATTTTTTGATACTACTGCAAATGACTTTATTTTTTAAACTGTGTTTATAACTGTTTGTTGCAAGTATACCAAGACACATAATTGGTTTTGCATATTAAACTTGTATCCTATAACATTACTAAATTTGTTTATTCTAGCACCTTTTTTGGGTACATTCCCTAGGATTCTCTCTGTGGGCAATTATGTTGACTAAAAATGTAAAGATAGTTTTACTTCTTCATTTCCAATCTTTATTCTTTTTTTTTTTTCTTTTTCTTTTTTCTGCCTTAGTGCACTGGCTAGGATCTCCAGTACAATGTTACATAAAAGTGAGAGGGTAGACACCTTTGCCTAGCTTGCAATCTTAGGGGAAAGCATATAGTCTTTCAATATTAAGTATGTGGGGGGTATTTTGCATTTTTTGCTTATTGTTGTTGTTTTGAAATTCTCTTTATCAGGTTAAAGAAATCCCCTTTTTAGTTTAGTGTGCTGACAGTTTTTATCATCGATGGATGTTAAATGTTATTAAATGCTTTTTCTCCAACTACTGGGATAATCCTATGATTTTTCTCTTTTATTATACTGATATCTTAAACTACACTAGCTAATTTCCAAATGTAAAACCTACCACGTATCTCTATGATAAATTCCACTTAGTCATAATGTAATATACACTCAGCCTTCAGTATTCACCAGTTACATATCCACAGGTTCAACCAACGGTAGACGGAAAATATTTGGGGAAAATAATTTTAAAAATAACACAGCAATTTAAAAAACAAAAATTTTAAGACACAGTATAACAACTATTTCTATTGTATTAGGTATTCTAAGTAATCTAGAGATAATTTTAAATATATGAGAATATGCTTAGGTTATATGCAAATATTATATACTATTTTATAAAAGAGACTTGGGCATCCATGGATTTTGGTATTCTCTGGAGTCCTGAAACCAATCCTCCATGGATACCAAAGGACAACTGTATTACTCAATAAGATTTACTAAAATTTAATTAAATATTCTTATGTCTATGTTCATAAGGGATATTGCTCTATAGTTTCCTTTTTTTATAAATATCTTTGTCTGGTTTTGATACTAGGACTTTAGTGGTGCTCCTAAGAATACATCATCCTTAATGGACAAACACCTGACAAGAGTACCTCAAATTACATTAAGCAAAAGTTGGCAGAACTGAAAGAAGTCCAAAATAAGAGTTGAGGACTTCAACATCCCTCTCTCAGTAACTGACAGAATGAGACAGAAACCCAACTAAGATAGAGACAGCCTGAACAACCCCATTAACCAATGGGATCTAACTGACATCAATAGAACATTCCACACAATAACAGCAGAATATACACATACCATTCTTTCTAAGAACAAATGGAAAATTCACCAAGACAAACCTGTGTCTAAAAGCAAACCAAAAATAATTTAAAAGAATGAAAATTATGTGAAGTACATTCTCTGATCCTAACAAAATTAAAACGAGAAATCTGTAACAGAAGGATTTTTTTAAACTCTAAATACTTAAACTTACGCAAGGAAAATTTTAAAACACTGAATTGAATGAAAATGAAAATATATCAAAACCTCAGGGATGCAGCAAAAGCAGTAGTTAGAAAGTTTACAGTAATAAACACATTAGAAAAGAGGATCTCTGGTCAATAATCTAGGCTTCTACTTCAAGACACTGGAAAAACAAGAGCAAAATCAACCCAAATCATGCAAAAGAAGAAAACAATAAAGAGTAGAAATCAAAGAAATGAAAACACAAAGAAAATATTACAAAGATCAATGAACCCAAAAGTTGTTTCTTTGAAAAGATCAATAAAATTAATAAACTTCTAGCAGGACAAGAGAGGAGACAAAACATAAATCAATAATATTAGAAATGAAAGGGGATTATTACTACAGCTGCCACAGACATTCAAATGACAAGGCAATACTCCAAACAATTCTATGCATATAAAATCAATAACTTAGATAAAACCAGACCAATTACTCAAAAACCACAAATTACCAAAACTCAACCAAAATGAAACAGATAAACTGAATGGTCCTTACTATTAGAGAAATTAAGTTTGTAGTTTAAAAACCTTCAAGAAAAAAAAAATTCCAGATGCAAGTGGTTTCTTCAGCAACATATACCAAACATTAAAGAAAAAAATAAAACCAATCCTAAACAATCTCATCCAGAAAACTGAAAAGCAGAAAACACTTCCCAAATCATTTTCTGAGTCCAGCATTACTCTGATATCAAAACAAGACAAAGATAATACAAGAAAAGTACAGAGCAGTATCTCTTATTAATATAGAAGCAACAATCTTCAACAAAACATGTACAAATCAAATCACAGTTAAGTCAGAAATAACAAAAGGAACATATTTACATATAAATACACACACACACACACCTGGAAAATAAAATGCACCCTTCAAAGAGCATTGCAAAATCAAAGAATACTTTTTACAAATTAAAATAATTTCTTCTACATGCAAAAAGACCTATCCCTAACAAAACTTTCTACTTTCCAGAATATCTAAATAGAAAGAACTCATTCTGCTTTTTTTTTTTTTTTTTTTTAAGAGAAAGGGTTTTGCTATGTTGCTATGTTGCCCAGGTTAGGGCACAGTGGCTATTCACAGGCATCATGATCATGGTGCCCCATAGCCTTGGACTCCTGGCCCCAGGCGATCCTCCCATCTCAACCTCCTGCGGAGCTGGGACTATGTGCCACTGCACCCAGCCATTCTAACTATTAATCATTGTTAGAATAATTAGTATCAGTGCTAACTTACATCCAGCAACATTTCCTCCTCCCCTCTCCTGGCTCCAGAGCCAGGCCCTAACTAAGCAAAACAAAAAGAACATGTCCCATCCTCCTAAGCACAGCATTTGGTTCAACAATGGGCACAAGACCTAATCAGAGACAATAAGAAACAGTGAGTATTTCAATTATATTTCTAAGACATCCGAGTGCTCTCTTCTCTACAATGTTCTCTTTCCCACAGCTGTGGTAGTATGAAGATATGAAGCTTCAAGTTGCTGCAGCCATCCTGCTAAGAAACCAGCTTGATTATATCAAAACACAGGAAAACAGAAAAGATAAAGTAAAAAAGCTCAGGTAAAATCAGATATACACCAGGAATTCATTCAGCTGATTAAGTTTTCTTTTTAGTTTAAGCCATTTTGCAATGGATTTTCTGTTATCTGCATGTAAAGAGGACTCTGATGCCAAGAACTAACTAGACAGAAGTCAGAGGAGCCCCTATCTCAGTTACCATATAAAAGAATTGTTTAATAATCAAGGCTAACAAAAAGAGTGTTTTAAGTTAATGTTTTCCCTAAAATCTAGAATATTGCAAGCAAAGGTTCAGTATCCACCTACATATTCCTATTCTGTAAAGGCATACTAAATTTGAGATGTCAAATGAGACACTGAGAACTACTTACCACGCTTCTCTTAGACTTTTACTGTTTTTTTAAAAAAGAAAAAGATCAAAAAATAGATTAAAAAAACTCAAATTGTACTTACTGGCAAGAATTTGAGATACACAAAAGAAACAGAGTAAGTAGGAAACAAAGTATTAAACTATAAAAAATAATCCTTTAACAAACTGACTGCATAGCTACAAACATAAGACAAAACATAATAATGGATCTATTCCTACTTAGCTTATCTGGCTGGAAAAGAAACTGTAACCACTCAAAAATTCAATAAAAAATAAGCAGCACCTAATTTTGACTACTGAAAATTCTGTAGATTTTCTTTTTCTACCATTTCACTATAATTTTCTTCGCAGAATAGATGTTTCCTAAGTGTCAAAATTAATTTTCTTCTACCTTTAAAGTTTACTAAAGCATCAATATTTATCTGATAAACAGATAGGACCAGTATCTATTTGATAAATATTAATACATTAGATGTTCTGAGAAATATCGTTTGAAAAAAGTAAAAAATTGACATCCAATTTTTATTTTCAATACATTTTTATACTCCAATCTTTTTAAAAGGCTCACAATTTACCGTTGAGTTTAACATAAAAATAGTTACTTGAAGGGAGGTTCTAAATTTAATTGACTATTAAATTTAATGTCTTTATTGCACTAACGCCTCATATTGTGACATCCACAAAGCAGTAAGAACTTTCCAGTCCAAAACTCTGTTAAGAAAATATACTTTATTTCATTACATAATGGCTGATAAATTAAATATCATATTATGAAGTCTCTAGTAGTCACTGATTACCTAGAGGAAACTTTTTTCCTTTACTCCTCTACCACAACATCTCCCAAACCCAACAGAAATTATTTTTTAAGACATTTTCTTTTTTGATCAAAAGCAAGCAACAATGAACAAATTATAAGAAAACTCACAGCATTAGAAAAATCCTTCCCTAGTGTCAAAAAGAAAATTGCTGTTATTTGAATTACTGTGATGGTTTACTACAGGTAATAAAATCAGATTGCATATAACTAGTTTGTGACTTTTTAGCCCATTAAAATTTTCTTGCCTTCATCTATCATTACTTAAAAGATAATGATCAAGTCACATCAAGAAGCATTTAAAATGGGGGAAAGGAGTGAAGACTACAAAGAGTAGCTTAACAATTCTGAAGACTTACCTTTGGGTTTAGTAAAAGTTGTTAAATTGGTTAAGTTAAACTGGGAAGTTTTACAAGTGAACTGAGCTCAGGGAAAGTAGGATGAACAAACTCAAGATGAACACAGCTCTTCCCCAAACCTCCATTCACAGAACACATTGTTAATTTTTCCTTAGGAACTGTGAATGTACAACATAACCCACTGAATTCAGTAACCCAATCATCCCAGGTATGTCACTTTTTTAAAAAATGTACACAGAACTACAAGAATTTCCTATCCCTCCCCTCTTCCTCTGTAATGTGAATATCAGAATAGGTATTGTGTTGAAGAAAAAAATGACAAGTAGGTGCCTACTTTTCCTGACACTAAAGAAAAAAATGCCAAAAAAAAGCTTTTAAATACTCAGATAAATGACTAAAGCATCCATATGTAAATAGAAAATCTACCACATATATGTGTACTCCAAAGCAACTGGAACTTAATCGTGACTGACACTTGCAAAAAATCATACCTGTTTCTTCAAATTATAGTTCCACAGAAATACTCAGATTTTAGAAAGTACTTTGAAAAGTTACATCTTGTTTTAAAAGATGGAGGTAGAAAATGGAAATAGTAATTAGAAAAAGTAAACTTACCAAATATGTTAGGGGAGTGTCCTTTCCTTGCAATAGGTCTGAGTTCATTATGTCCCCACCCATATGTCCTATAGTTATCCCAAGCATGTTTCATCATCTGAAAAGAGAAAAATTATAATCCATCAATTTAAATTTTTCACAAACTGTTTTTTTATTTCATACAATTTTGGGTTCTATTACTATATCCTTGCCCATTCTTCCAGATCTATATTAGTACATTATTCAATTAGCATTTGTATCAGTATGAAAACATACATAACTATGTTTAATCTCATCTATATGACAGGAAAAAAATGGGCATAATAGAAAAGTCTTCTTTCTTCAGGAGGTACATATTTGTTTGGCATTCTTTCCTTTTGAGAAATGTTAAGTCTTTTTGGGGACAGCTCTCCTTTCCTCACATATAACAGAGCTGTCAATCAAGAGGCTCTGCTTCTACCACCAATTAACTCACCCTAGCTAGAAAATCCCCTATCCTTAGACCAGAGATCAACAAACTAACTCTGCTGTTACAGCATAAAAGCAGTCCCAGATAATATCTAAGTAAATGGACATGGTTGTGTTCAAATTAAAATTTATTTTATTTATTTTTTTTGTTTGAGATGGAGTCTCGCTCTGTCACCCAGGCTGGAATGCAGTGACACCAGCTCAGCTCACTGCAAGCTCCACCTCCCGGGTTCACACCATTCTCCTGCCTCAGCCTCCTGGGACTAGAGGTGCCCACCACCACACCTGGCTAATTTTTTGTTATTTTTAGTAGAGACAGGGTTTCACCGTGTCAGCCAGAATGGTCTTGATCTCCTGACCTCATGATCCGCCCACTTTGGCCTCCCAAAGTGCTGGGATTACAGGTGTGAGCCACCATGCCCAGCCTAAAATTTATTTTTAAAAAACAGACAGCAAGCAGAATTTGGCCCACAGGTTGCAGCTGTCAACCCCTGCCCTAAACAAAGTGAGTGGATACATGTGATTCAGGTAGGAACAATCAAGTTCTTTTTACACATATTGTTATTGACACCATGAGATAGAGGGCTTTTTTATTCTGCAATCTGATGGTCTATGTAATATATAATCCTGGAGCTGATAATGGCTCTCTGCCAGCATGGAGAAACTAGCAAAAGGAAAGAGAGACAGATGCTTAACACTCACAATAATATCTACAGGCTTGGATTCAGCCAAACTTGAAGCCCTTGTTTAGAGCCATTAAACCAATAAATACTATTTGTATCACTTAGTTTGAGCTGAGTGTCTTACAACCCAAGGAGTTCTGAGTTATACAATAGCAGAGTATTTAATTATATATCAGACGAATTATATAATAGTAGACCAAAAATCTATTCATTTAACAGCATACTATTCATTAAACATTTCCCAACTTGCTTTATGCAGCCAGCATTAATCAGACACCAAAATCAAGCAAAGATATTACAAGAAAACTCAAGACCAATGTATCTCAAGAACACAGATGCAAAATTCCTTAAGAAAAATTAGCAACATCTAAGACAGATACCATACCACGACAAAGTGGAGTTTAACCCAGGAATATAAGACTAATTTAACATCCAAAAAACAATGTAATTTACCATGTTAACAGAATAAAGGAAAAAAAATCATACAGTCATCTAGAGAAAAATGAAGACAATGCATCTGACAAAATTCAACACTCATTCATGATAAAACTCTCAGTAAACTACAATTACAAGGAGACATCCTCAACCTAATAAACAGCATCTTTAAAAAACCTACAGTTGACACAACATAGTTAATGGCAAAAGACTGGATGCTTAACCCCTAAAGTTGGGAACAAACCTAGTATGTCCATTCTCGCCACTTACTTTGAACAATGTATTAGAACTCCTAGCCACTGCAGTACGACAAGAAAAAAAATATAAAAGGTATAAAAATCAAGAAGGAAAAAGTAAAAGTATCTCTTCACAGAAGACATGACTACGTATAAGAAAAATCACAAGCAATCTACAAAAAAGCTATAAGAATAAATAACTTCAGTAAAATAACAGGATAAAAGTTCAGCAAACTAAAACATGTTTCTATATGCTGAGTTCCGTGGGTACTTCTGGTGAGTCACTGAACCTGAGGATCATCTGGGGGTCCCCTGAACACACATGGTTATCTATCTGAATTATTACGTATTTGAAAAAAGTATTTCAGTACATTGTAATGACATCTGAAAAAAAGCAAGTCAGGCATCTGAAAAAAAATCTATCACTGTCTCTCCCAACACTGTCCGAAGGAAGTGCCTTAAGTAGTCTACATATAAAACAGACTCTAGAGGTGAGGTAAAATCAGAGCACAGCTCTATTTCTACTCCATCAAGGTCAAGGTTTTATAATAATTCATAAGGCTAAGCTTAAAGTATCTGCTATACCTTCCATATCCATTACTAGAATATATCCAAATAGATATTTGATTACTTGAACTAAATTTATCTTACTTTATAATAATTAAACCTTCTGAAATATTGTTGGTACAATTACACTCTGATAAAATATTTTTCTTCACAGGCAGTATAATCACAAACTCCACCCAGAATTTTTAGGAGTTCTAATTAACAAAGTTTAACCCAAATATTCACTAGATTTTTCCCATCTGGTATTCTCTTTACTTTTAAGTAACTACAGAATAACAAATTGAAAGACTTCTGAGGCTAAATAAATTTAAAGAATTTTGAAATCAATTCTTTCCCATTTTTCAATCCATGGAGACTTTTTGGAAGGAATGTGTTCTTAATCTACAGTATAGTTGAGGGATACCATGACATGTTCCTTAAAAAATTGGAGATATAATGCTAGCTCTTTAGAAGCATGTTTATGAGGTGATCTGCATAGTATCTAGCAGAGTCCCTTTGTAACTGAACATTTAAGAAACTGCTTAGACAATAAGTTATATACAGATATATTATTAATAAAACGCTGAATTTCAAAAGATCTCTGAACAAAGAATGAGTGGCACTAACCATCCAAAAGTTGTATCAAAAATATTTTAAGTGTCCAATAATTACATTATAATTAACATTAAAAAAAAAAACAAGAAAGAGTTCTAGTCCTTATTACCAACCTGGAAACTATACTACAACTATGACCCAAGAATAAACAGATCAAAACAGGATACCATAGATTATATATATTTGTTTGTATCCAAATACAAATCCATAAACACTCCATATCACAAAACTCAGCTTATTACCTCTTTAATTTTTTCCCTTTTCTCTCTTATGTCATTATCTTCTGGGTCTCCACCACGTATTCCTACAAGGTTGGGAATAGGGACTGGTGGCAGTGGCTTGTTCTCTTTTATCTTCATTTCTTGGACTACCTTATTTTTCTCTGTCTGAATTTCTGCTCGAATTTCCTCTCTTGACTTTCTTAATTTTTCTTTTGCTTCTTCCAAGGCCTTCTCATGATCAGCTCGAATTTTATTTCTCAGACGTTCTTCCTCTTCCCTGTGAGAAAAGAAGGAAATAAAACGTAACAGTGAGCCTACTTAAGAATGTCAACCTTTAAATATAAAACATAAAGGTTTCTCCATTAAACCCAGGAACTTGTTTTCTACTTTTGCCATTAAAAGGAAAGAATTATCAGTGAGACACATTCAGATCTGGAATGAGAAAGAAAAGGAACCCTGGATGCCTAAGATCAAACTCTGTTTATAATCTCTTTATACAATTTCCAGACTAAGAGCAAAGATAACAGTAACTTATCCATAGACACTTGCAAAAAACAGACACCAGTGAAAACTAAATGGAGGAGAGAAAACAAAAATAGAATAAGTAACAGAGAAGAGACAAAAATATAAACATAAGGCCAAAGAAAAAAATAAGAGGAAAAGATAAGAGAACAGGAAGTTTTTCATTTATATAGTACAGCATATGCTTCTAAAACCTTTAAGTTTTCAAAAGTGCATAGATACTATAATGTAACATTCCCAACAGATGTGGGCATGACTACTTAAAACTCTCTTGAACTCTTGTTAAAAACAGATTCCAATTTAGTAGGTCTATATGAAACCCATGAATCTGTATCATGAAGAGCTCCTCAGATGATTCTGGTGTACACACAGATTTGGAAACCACTACTGCAATGGACACCTACACCGTTTTCCACCCAGCCCTACTTTTGTGAAAGAGAGTTCAATATTCCCTCTATATCCACCCCAATCCACAGGAATGAATACAAGAGTGGTACTTACTGTAAAACACTCTTTTCCAAATCAGTCAACCAACGATGACTACTCTAAGGGTAAACACCTAACCCAAGAGTCAATAGGTCATCTCTCCAGAAATTTAATTCAAGCTCTGCAGATGGCTGAACTTATAACATTGCTAGTGAGAATGTAAAATGGTGTAAATTTTTCCACTTTGGAAAAGTTTGTGTTTTTTTAAAACACTAAAGATGTAACTATCATAGAATCCTGCAAATGCACTTCTCGGCATTTATCTCAGAGAAATAAAGACTTATGATCACTGAAAAAAAAAAAAAAACCTTTATACAAGCTGGTCACAAAAAGACAAATACTGTATGATTCCACTTGTAGAAGGTACTTAAAGAAGGCAAAACCCTAGAGACAAAAAGTAGAATGGTGGTAGCCAGGAACTAGAGATGGGATAATGAGAAGTTATTGTTTAATGGGTACAGACAGAGTTTCAGGTTTGCAAGATGAAAAGAGTTCTGGAAATGGATGATGGTGATGGTTGTACAACAATATGAATGTATTTAATGCTACTGAATTGTACACATTAAAATGGTTAAGATGGTAAATTTTATGTTAATTGTATTTTGCCATAATGAAAAAAAATGGAGGACAAAGGACTATACACAAATGTTTATAGCCCATAATAGGCAAAAACTGAAAACAATCAAGATATCCTCCAAAAATAAACAGTTAAACAAAACTGTGGTATATCCACACTACAGACTACTACTTAGCAATAAAAAGGAGTGAATTGTTTATACACACTTCTTGAATGGATCTCAAAGGCATTCTTATCCGAGTGAAAGAAGCCAATTTCAAAAGGTTATATACTATATGATTCCATTTATATGACATTCTCAAAAAAGACAAAAAAGAGGGATGGTGAATAGATTAGTGGTAGCCAGGAGTTATGGATGAGGGATGGGCTAACTATAAAGGAATAACACAAGGGAGTTTTTTTTTTAATGATAGAATTGTTACATATATAATTATGATGGTAGTTACATGAATAGCACGTGTTAAATCATAAACCTGTATGCCAAAAGAAAAATTCACAATCTAATATTATCTAGTATTAACAATAAAATGTTAAACACTGGAGAAAAAAAAAGAGTTATTAGCACTGAAAAGGTGCTGATAAGAGAAACAAGAGAGAGAAAGGGAGAGGGAGGTGAAGTAGGCTAGACGGTCAGTAACACAAAAGGTCATTCAGCAGGGAGGAAGAATCCACGGGCCCTACAGACAGACTGGATTGATGTGGGAGGAACAGGGCAGGGAACTAAGGTTGGTCCCTGAATGAAACCATGAGAAACTGACATGAGGGCTGATCTGTTCAGGCGACTCAGGCAGACAAGGGCATCATCAGCACATAGGTGCTGACTGAAGTCTTATATAAGATATCCAAGGCAGAAACACCCAAGAGTCTTCCAATCCCAGCCCCACATTTTACCAACAGAAAAACACGGTACTACTAACCCCAGAGAACAGATCATAATCCATCTATGTTAATCAAGTCTTTCCCAGCTGTCCTTGCAGCTAAGGGTAGCCATAAAACCCTATTTCAACCAGAGAGAAAAAAGGGAACTACCAGGAATTTTCCTTTACGGATTAACAAATGGACAGAGCCAGTTGAGAAAAGGACATTTACCTGCTAAGTCTAAACCCACCCAACCACCTATTCCTGTCTTCAAATGTATTTGTGAAGCCTAAAGCTAAGAGAGCCATCTTGCAATCAAGAGACTATAAGCCTGAGGTCAAGTGGCCAACATGGTTCAGGACAGAAGAGAAAGAGGGAAAGTGCTTGCTATCATGAGTTACCACCACGGCCCTCAATTGTCCCCAGATTTCAGATTCTATGGAGTAACTATCAATGGGTATTCTGACATTTCCAGCTGAGAATTTCCCCAACTCACCCACTCACTGTGCAAGCAGGCACACAGATTCAGAAAAACAGAGGACCTGGAAATGGGCCCCAAAGAAGAGCAACATCAAATGGGGAAGACTGGCTCTTTCAAGGGTAATTTTCTGTCCTGATGACAAATGGGGAGATTGCCCCAGGAAAACAAGCTTTCCATTTCTATCTCCACGTACCACATTATCCCCAAGTTATTGCTAAATGGCATGTGGAATCCCCGACCATGTTTGCAATAGCTCATATGTTATCACTCAGAAAGCATCTTCACCTACCAGTGAGCTTCCACGAACAGGTATTACACACCATTTTCTAGAGTCCACCCTGTGGGGGGCAAGACATATATGCCACAAAACATCCCATATCCCCTCACAGAGCTTCACCACGCACATGGGCATTTTAAAAGCCCTGAGAAGTTCTGCAATAGAGTTGCCTAACACAACACTTCTTGAACTTACTTAGTCATAGTCCTCCTTTTCTGCATACTCTTTTTAGCATGCGATGGAACCACAATAAGGAGGCTACCATCATGCCTCACCTAAACTACTGTAATACGCTTCCAATAGTCTTCACACATTCACTCTCCAACCACTCTCCAACCCACCCACAAGCTATTCTCCATCCATACTATAGACCCAATGTGCTTTCTGAAATTATTCAGACTATGCCTCACTCTCACTTAAAACACTTCATGGCTTCCCTTATCCTAAGGAATTCTATTATATTATGGCCTATTAAGAAATTCTGTATAATGTAGCTTCTATCTATCTCTCAAGCTTCATCTCATACATACTCCTCTAGCTCTCTGTTCTACAGCCACACACCTTCTTTCAGTTCTTTTTTTTTTTTTTGAAATAGAGTCTCCCTCTGTCACCCAGGCTGTAGTGCAGTGGCACGATCTCGGCTCACTGCAACCTCTGCCTCCCAGATTCAACAGAGTCTCCTGCTTCAGCCTCCCAACAAGCTGGGACTACAGGCACACGCCACCACGCCTGGCTAATTTTTTGTATTTTAGTAGAAACGGGGTTTCACCATGTTGCCCAGGCTGGTCATGAACTCCTGAGCTCAGGCAATCCACCCACCTCAGGCTCCCAAAGTGCTGGGATTACAGGCATGAGCCACCGTGCCCAGCCACCTTCTTTCAGTTCTTTTACACACCATTTTCTTTCCCATCAATAGCCCCATATGCATGAGGTTTCCTCGCTTAAAACACTCTTACAATTTCTTCTTTACCTTCAAGTCACTGATCAATCATAACTTCTCCTAGATTAGACAAATCTCCCTAATATACAGTCTGATGGCACCATGTATCTTTCCTTCATAGTACTTAACCACATGTGATTCTTTGAGTAATGCCTGTCTCTCCTGATGACTATTAACTCCATTAAGTTCAGAGACCCTATCTGATTTTTGTTCCAACATATCCCTCAATGCCTAGGACACTACCTGGCATATAATAGGTGTTTAAAAATACTAAAATGCAAATACAGATTCTAAGACCCCATCTGAAGTAAATATGATATACAAAGTCTATATACCATCATGAGGCTACAAACAGTCAAAAGAGTTGTAAGGCCGGGTGTGGTGGCTCACACCTGTAATCCCAGCACTTTGGGAGGCTAAGGCGGGTGGATCACGTGAGGTCAGGAGTTCGAGACCAGCCTGGCCAACATGGTGAAACCCCGTCTCTACTAAACATACAAAAATTAGCTGGGCATGGTGGTAGGTGCCTGTAATCCCAGCTACTCAGGAGGCTGAGGCAGGAGAATTGCTTGAACCTGGGAGGCGGAGGTTTCACTAAGCTGAGATCGTGACATTGCACTCCAGCCTGGGCCAACAAAAGCGAAACTACGTCTCCAAAAAAAAAAAAAAAAAAAAAGGGGGTTATAAACAGCGGCTCTGACTACAGGGTAGGCAATACAAATGCATATTAAATATTAAAATCCATATTAAAATTAATGACAAGGTGTTATGGTGAGACCCCTTAATAACACTGCCATGTAACAGTTTTCCATTTTCACTTACTATTGCTATTAACTTCGTGTTAGCATCAGTTGTTCCTCCACAGGTGCAAAGTACATTTGATAGCAACATGTATAATAATTTTTATAATTATTTTTAAAAATAAAAAATTGAGCCCTCTAAATGTTTGCTCTAAAGGAAAGCTCCAATCATCTTATCCCACTTGTTATTGTTACAGCAGTCAAACTTTGCTCATCAGAACCTATGTTGTTGCAATATTGTGAAGAGCCTTATTCAAACACATTTTGAAAATCTAAATAATCTATAGATTTATTTTTATTTGTTCCTCAACAAGCACTATTTGCTTAAGAGTTTAGTGAGTAAACTATTTCAGAAGAACCAATATCAACTAGAGGGCAAGAAAAGACTAACCAGACTGGTCCTAAGAGAAACTCCAGAGTTCCAGGAAATTCAGTCAGACCTCCTATTAACTGGGTTCCAAGAGGAATCATTTTGCAGTTAGAAAAAAAGTATACTTAACCCAAAAGTCAGGAGACAAAGATTTTAGTTCCATCTCTGCCCATGCCTCACACTACAACCTGGAACAATCACTAAAAAAAAAAAAAACCTCTATGATTAGTACCTTCATTAACAGAGATAGGAAAACATACACTACCCTGACTATACCACTTTAAAAGCACTATAACCCTTTTTTGCTAAGTACTTCCTTGTACTTACCTTGGAATCAAGTAAAAAGTAATGTTCTATACACATGTAAGTCAATAATTTCAATCCTTCTAACCTCTCTGTTCCAAATTACAAGTTAATGCAGCAATCTTTACAACTGCCAAAGCAAATAATGTGCTTTATTTCTTTTCCTTGAGTTTTCACAATAATTATTTAGTAGCACTATGAACTTTCTTGCTAGTTTTCTTCTCTATATGACTCAAAATTTTATTTTCATTTTGATCTCCATGCAAATGGTTCCTCAAATTTTGCTTTGGCAGCCAAATTTCTAGATTTTTAAATTACTCCAGCTGGGGGTTTTATTTTCACTTGGATGATCTTTCTCTTATATACATATTTTTAAGATTGTTTTTAACTTTGGTATTTTCAACAGATAATTATGTTAGACTTTCATTTGTAAAGATCATTCCTTTTCATCAGTGTCTTGTATCTTCCTGTGTAGTAAAGAATTTGGCCTTGTCCAAAGAGAAGTCTCACCATTGACTTCAGCTTCTGGGAGGTAATGTGTCATAGTTGATAGAAGTGTGCTTGTTTATTATGGGTGCTGGCCATACCAGATCTTCAGGTAGGGTTGGCCACAACTAATAGTTTTAAAGCAAAAGCTGGCCATGTCATAAACACCAA
Source organism: Homo sapiens (assembly GCF_000001405.40). Lineage (NCBI taxonomy): Eukaryota > Metazoa > Chordata > Mammalia > Primates > Hominidae > Homo > Homo sapiens. Next base: position 117,396,191 of record NC_000001.11, on the reverse strand, counting down.
CAATATGGCTTAGGACAAGGCTCTGGGTTACACAGTATCAGTCCATTGGGAGACTGAGTTCAACCATACAGGTAATTGAGTAATCAATCAATGATGCCTACATAATGAAGCCCCATAAAACTCTATACACTGAAGCTTGGATGAGGTTACCAGGTTGGCAATCATGCATACTGTCACACATTGGTGCTGGAAGAACATGTCCTGACTCCATGGGAAAAGGACACTGGCAGATCAACATTTGGAACTTTCCTGACTTCACCCTATGTGTTTCTTCCCTTGGCTGATTTTAATCTGGATCCCTGTAATCTGTAATCCCTTTGTGAGTCCTTGCAAATTATCAAGCCAGAGGGTGGTCTGGGGAGCCCTCTGAATTTGCAAGTGGTGCCAGATGTGAGAGTGGTCATGTGAAGAACTGTGTCCTCAAACTTTGCAGTTTGGCTGAGTACCTTCCAAGGTTTCCAAAAAAATCTAGTTTTATATCTACAAGTTCTCATGAGATTTGAAGTTACTCTTTTCAATTGTATCTTAATGTGTAATATTTAATTAACTTTTGGATATCCCATAAGTAATATAAGGTTTTGTTTGTTGTTTTTGTTATATTATTTTGTTTTTTTGTGTTTTGTCCTTCAACACATCCCTGATCCTTGAAGAGCAAGGGCAAATGACAACAAAACTAGTAATTGTGGCTTAGATGTACAAGGCAATGGCTTCATCAATTACATATATTATCTTATTTAATTATCATACCAACTTATGAGGTACTCTCTATCAAACACCATTATTCTCTACCTTGTTATGAAAAAATTAAGGCACAAAGAGAAAAATAGTTTGTTCAGGGTCAAGGAGCTAGTAAGTAGAGTCTAGATATAAACAAATGCATTTTGACTTCTTAAACACTATGCAAATACTGAGAGAGATAAATTTTATTTAAGAGTTTTCTCACACTTACTGTGCAGATACTGAAAACTGTCTCCCAAAATCTTTTCTTTCTTCCTCCTTAGTCCTAGAGCCCTCAAGTTTTGGCTAGACCCATGATCCTGCTAAATAAAAACTCTATTTCTCAGCCTCTCTTATTGAAACTGTCCTGCAGAATTCATACGTGTGAACAGAAATTAACTTCTATCTTGCTTAAGCCGCTGTGGCTCTTGAATCATGTTTGGAAGCATTCTGGATGATTCTAATTTACATAGGGATACATAAAATTACGCTGGAATTTTGGTTGGCAGAAATTTTCCTTTATATTCACTCTTTCCTTCTCTACTGGAGCTTTAACCTTTACTTACAAATATGAAGTTTCACCCGTCCTTAAAAAATAAATAAAAACTCCCCTCAAAACTGCCTCCACTTCAACCTTCATTGGTGTTCTCCTTCCTTCACTTTACTTTTTCAAACAGTACTACACTTGCTGTTTCCACTTCCTACACTTTACATCACTCTTCTATCCACCACTGTTAAAAATTGATCCTTCCTTTGAAGCTCCCTCTTCCTCAAACCTGCTTTACCAACAGGCCTCTGATCATTGGCTTTATCATCTTCAATGTACCCTCAAAAGTACAGTGTTCCAGCCTTTTGGTCACTTCTGCTCTTACACTCATTCAGTAGAAACAGAAGAAGAAAGTGAATGGAGAAAAAGAGAACTTCTTCAACCTAATAAAAGATATCTCCAAAAACTACAGCAAATCACATTCTTGATAAACTACAAAAGTAATTCTCTCTCAAAGTGAGGGAAACAAGTAAGGATGCTCACTATCACGGCTTCAATTTGATTGTACTAGAAGTCCTAGCCAGCAACATAAAAAGAGAAAATGAAGGCCAGGCGCAGTGGCTCACCCCTGTAATCCCAGCACTTTGGGAGGCCGAGGCGGGCGGATCACGAGGTCAGGAGATTGAGACCATCCTGGCTAATACGGTGAAACCCCGTCTCTACTGAAAATACAAAAAAATTAGCCAGGCATGGTGGCGGGTGCCTGTAGTCCCAGCTACTCAGGAGGCTGAGGCAGGAGAATGGCGTGAACCCGGGAGGCAGAGCTTGCAGTGAGCCAAGACTGCGCCACTGCACTCCAGCCTGGGCGACAGGGCAAGACTCCATCTCAAAAAAAAAAAAAGGAAACCCACTGTCTTTTGTCACAGGCAATAGGAGTTCTACATAGAAAACTCAAAAGAATCAACAAATAAATAAGAGCTCAGCAAGGGAAGGAAACTACGAGCAGACAGCAGGTACTCAGTAAACATAATTTCCTTCCCTCCCTATCTATTGGGTCCCATCACTAGACTCCACACATTCAAACTTCCATTGATACATTATTTCTTCTATGATAATACCACTATTTATATCAGCTTTCATTCACATCCATTACTACCTTGCTAAGATTTCTAGACCATCTTCTTCCGAATAAGGTCTAAGAATATGAGAGCCCTTTAAAGACTTTGGCAGATAACTATTGTTAACAATCATAAATGAATTTTACATTGACTCTCATCGCCAAATTCCAAGAATAACTCCCCATTGCTCCATTTAATGACTAAAAAAAAATGCTAAATGAATCAACAATGTAATGCTACCTTTTAAAAGATAAGTAACAATGGCCAATACTAAAAGTTTTTTTATGACAAAGTTAGATATTAAATAGCCTTCTCAAACATCCTATATTTTAATAATATTCAAAAGAAATTTCAGAGAATCCAGGAAAACACACACACACACAAAAAAAAAAATAGTTGAAGCAGTTATATAAATAGTTACTTGTGCACAATATAGGCCAAGAATGATTTTGGGAAATGACTATAGGATAGTCAGCAACTGATACAGAAAATAATGAAACAACAGCATTCTACACTCCTTTAGTGGCAAGTGCCTGAAGGAATTTAAGACCTTCCTAAAAGAAATGCCACACCTTCAAGGTAATAAAAAGATCTCCTTAAACCTGGAAATAACCAAGAGGTTAATTAAAATGGTGTTATTATAAGGGAGATGTTTACAAATCTGGTCTAAGATGATTTTCAACAGCAAATGAACATACTCTACCAGCACAGAATAATACTGTCTTACAAATGACCAAAAGTTTCTGAACATTATCATCTTAAGAATCACATAGTTTCCAGTGTACTGACTGTAGTTAAAGGCCAAACAAGACAAATTGTATCACATTTGGGATCACCACTCCTTAACAGTAATCCCTTTCCTAAAATAACACGTTAATGAAGAAGCCCAACTGTTTCTCAATATGAATTGGTTGGCCACATGAAAGAGGCTAAAAAAGATTTAAGGCTAAGCACTGAGAAATCCACAGAACCTCAAGCTTTTATACCAAATCCAATTACTTTGGTCATGTGGCACCTACAAAATACTAAGTGCTTTAGCACTCCCACTTTAATAATGCAGCCATGGACCATCAACACAAACTTACTGTCTCTAGTTAGGTATAGGTCACCTATCTGGCTATTAAAAGATTTTGTTTCTGTAGAAAGCAGTTATAGATTATTCTAACTAGGGTTTTCAAAGGATTTCAGTTTGCGTTTATGGTAATTTCAGATTAAATCAATGGTTATCTGTCATTCAAGTAATTTCAGCTTAACTCAGTAAAATTTACGAAATGTGAAAGGCAAGGTATACAGAGAAAAATAAGGCACATGATTTGCCCACAGGAGTTCACAATCTAATGAATACATAAACAAAGTAAGCACAAAATGTGTGAAAGAGAAAATAAATACCACGGACAGCTATAGAAAAGGTAAGATATACATAGAAAAGAATAGTTACTTGTTAACCATACAAGTATATGACTTGAAAGCAGATTTACATAGGGAAACAGAGAAAGACATACATGATCTTCAAATAAAAATTAAAAGAATAAGAGTTTGCCATGCAGATCAAGTAATAAGGGCATTCTAGACGAAGATAGCAGAGTGTACAAAGACACAGAAGAAGTAACACAATATACTATAGCAAGGAAGCTAGAGAAGACAAAAGCTCAATCATTAATTGAGCTAACAATGCAGCCTGGGGAAAAATGCAAGGCACTAAAGAACTTCAACTTGAAAATGGCATGATTGTACTTAAATCTTGGAAAGAATGCCTCCTCAGGATTGACTTGAGGCAAGGTGGGAGTAGAAAGGGAGGGGATATAAGGCTGGAAGTAGGAAAAGGAGTCAGGAAGTCACAGCAGTCCTCCCAGGCAAAAAATGACAAGGGCCTAATAAAATGTATTTAAAGTAGATACAGAGAAGAAGGACCAATATAAGAGACCTTAGAAAGCTAGAAATTTAGGCAAGTGATTAAACATGAGAAGGAAAAGGAATTAATTAACAATAATAGATTTTTCACAATACTGACTGGATAGAAACGGGTGCCATTAACTGAACCAAGAACAAAGAAAGAAAGGGTGATTTGGGATAAAGGGAAGGAGTGAGAAAGAGATGAATGTGTATGATTTTAGACCTGTTAAGTTTAAGAAGTCAACAAAGCTCGTAGGTTCAGATGTCAAAGTCTGAAAACACAGATTTGGAAATCATCATCCTATGTACAGGAGGCATAGCTCCCACCTAACTGTACAGTTAACATGGGTAAATTTTACAGTGTGTAAAGTAACTCAATAAAGTTTAAGTGAGAACAGCTATATTAAATCTAACAGTAACTTTTAGAGCAGGTATAAAAAGGGTCACTTTGTATTAATGAGGTCAATATGTCAAGAGAATGTAACAATGATAAACGTCACACACCTAATAACAAAATTTCAAAATACCTGAAGCAAAAACTGATAGAAATGAAAGAAGTAAACAAATTCACAATGTTATAGGTAATTTCAACATCCTTCACTCAATAACTGATCAAAATAGAAGGAAAATCAATAAGGACATAAAAGACTTGAACAACACCATCAACCAACTTGACCTAATTGACATTTACAGAACACTATAACAAAATATACATTCTGTTTAAATGCAAACGGAACATGTACCAATACAGACCATTTTCTAGGTCATAAAACAAGTTTCAATGAAATTAAAAGTATTCAGACCATATAAAGTATGTTTTTTGCTACAATGGGATTAGAGTAGAAACCAGGTAACATAAAGGTATCTGGATAGTCTCCAAATATTTATAAACTCAATAAAACACTTCTCAATAATCACAGGTCCAAGAAGAAATCAAAAGTAAAACTAGATGACTGGTGATCATTGCAGATAATTGTGAATATACTAAACATACCAAACTCTGAATAAACCACTGAATTGTATACTTTAAATGGGTGGATGGTATGGTATGTGAATAATACCTCAATAAAGGCGTTTTTTAAAAAGTGAAATTTGAAAGTGCCCTGAACCGAAAGAAAATGGAAACATCAAACTGTAGATAAAGCTAAAGTACTTCTTAGACTGAAATTCATAGCACTAAATGCCAATATGAAGAAAAAAAAAGAAAAGTTAAAGAGAGAATTATAGCATTAACCAATCTATATTAGGGGGAAAAAAGATCTTATATCAAGAACCTCAGCTTCTAACTTAAGAAAATGGAAAAAAGAGAAAATTAAACCCAAAGTTAGAAGAAGAAAGAAAATAATAAAGATAAAAGCAAAACAAGAAATAAAATATAAAACAAAAGAACAGAGAAAAACCAATACATCCAAAAGCTAGTTATTTGAGATCAATAAAATTGATAAATTTCTAATAATGACGAGAAGGGAAAAAAGAGAAACCACAAACTACCAATATCAGCAATGAGAGAACTGATATAATTACAATCCTACAAATACTCAAATGACAGTAAGAAACTATTATTAGCAACTTTATGTCAACAATTCAATAATTTACATTCCTTGTTTAAAAAAAAAAAACTACTCAAGTGAACTCAGGAACTAGATTACCTTAACAGCCTGTATCTATTAAAGAAACTGAATGTATAGTTAAAACCTCTCCACAAAGAAAACTCCAGTTCAGATTATTTCACTGACGAATTCTATCAAGCATTTAGGTAAAAATCAATACCAGTTCTATGGAAACTCTTTCAGGACACTGAAAATGGAAAACCAACTCATTTCATGGGGCCAACATTACTCTGATACCAGAATCAGACAAATATAATAAATAAATAAACAAACAAACTAATATCCCTCATAAACACAGAAAACTACTTTTAAGATTACAGAATAATTACCAAAGGGTGTCTAACATTCAAAACTCAACTAATGTAACAACTTGCTACATTAAAAGACTTAAAAAGAATGACCTCATGATCATCAAGAGATGCAGAAAAAGTATTTGACCAAATCCAATATCCATTCCTGATGAAAATTCTCAGCGAACTAGGAATGCAAGGGTATTTCCTAATCTGATACAGGGCACCTATTAAAAACCTAAAGCAGCCATCATACTCAAGGGTGAAAGACTGAAAGCTTCCCCATTAAGATCAAGAACAAAAAGCTACTCAAAAATCTATTACAGGTTCTAGCAGTGCAATCAGACACACACAAAAAAAAAAGAAAAAAAAGGTATAAACCTTATAAGACCTTTAAATTGCTTTGTTGTAGTTTTAAAACACATAATGAAAAAAATACTAAAAATCACTACCCCAGTATACAGGTTCTAAATAAAATAAGGCCTGGCCTTCCTGTAATGCAGTGATCCCCAACCCCCAGGCCACAGATCAGTACCAGTCCAGGGCCTGTTAGGAACTCGGCTGGCAAGCAGGAGGTGAGCTGTGCAAGCAAGCATTACCACTTGCATTCCACATAACTGTCAGATCAGCGATGGCATTAGAATCCCATAGCAGCGCAAACCCTACCTTGAACTGCTCATGTGAGGGATCTAGGTTGCACACTCCTTATGGTGATCTGAAGTGGAACAGTTTCACCCTGAAGCCATCATCCCCCACCCCACCCACTGTCCATGGAAAAATTATCTTCTATGAAACCAGTCCCTGGTCCCAAAAAGATTGGGGACTGCTGCTGTAACAAATCAGAAACTGAAGAAGGTATAAAACCCAAAGGAAAAAGAAGAAACTATCATGCACATAGTAACTCGTTCTTTCTTTTAGCTTCAATATTTTATGAGATTTTGGGGGGTTGTTTTAGATGGGATTTGGTATTTTAAGTAGTCATTCTCATTGACATTTTGAAGTATAAAGGATAAAAGTTGAAGTGGATTTCTGATCACCATAAAGATCCTTTACCAAAAATTTGTATATTTTCATCAAAAGCTACCATCAGAAAGAGGTCAGAAACAGCACTGATACACCAGGATGTTGATATCAGAAATCACCATCAGTACAAAGCAAAAAGTCATTATGGGTTATCTGTGAAGACATGAAAATAATTTATTGTAAATATTATTTTTAAAAAGGTTTTGGTACACTATTCATTCTTTTCTTGTGGAGTAAAACATCACCCATTCAGTCTTTGTGCAGACCTTGGCCCCAAGCTGTTATTAGTACTACAGGCATCTGATACAGTTTAATATATGACCCCACTAAATCTCATGTTGAATTGTAATCCCCAGTGTTGGGGAGGTGGGGCTTGTTGGCAGGTGTTTGGGTCATGAGATGGATCCCTCATGGCTTGGTGCTGTCCTCACAATAGTGAGCTCTCATGAGACCTGGTTTGTGACATCTCCCACTCACTCTCTCGCTCTTGCTCCTACTGTGTGAGATGCCTACACTCCCCCCGCCCTTCACTTTCTGCCACAATTATGAGCTTCCTGGGGCCTCTTCAGAAGCAGATGTTGGCATCATACTTCCTGTATAGCCTGCAGAACTGTGAGCCAATTAAACCTCTTTTCCTATAAATTACCCAGTCTCGGGTATTTCTTTATAGCAATGCAAGAACAGCCTAATACAGCATCTTTACCATGTCTCCCCTGCCTACATATATCTAAGGTAGTAAGAACCCCAAAACAAAATTGTTATAGCCATCACTCCTTGTTATTATAGATAATTTCTCAAATCTCTGCCATCCCATTTTCAGGCTTTGAACCTTCCCTCTCTTCAAGTGTCTCTAATTTGTCTTATTGGCTCACATCTTTCCTTTCTGTCCGGCCTCTCCAAACTGACAACTTGTTTCTGTGGTCAGCCTAGATTTACCTGGTTTGTTACTAAGATATTATCTCTCAGACTGATTCAATTATAGAGTAAATGTTTGTGTCCCCCCAAAATTCATATGTTGAACCCCTAATTCCCAAAGTGATAGTATTTGGAGATGATAGGGGGAGGGGGTATTTGGAGATGACGGCGGGGGGTGGGGGGCCTTGGGAGGTACTCAGGATTAGATTAAGTAGTGAGGGTGGGGCCCTATAAGGAAAGGAAGAGAAAGAGAGCTGCTGTCTCTTTCTTCACAAGCACACATGGAGAAAAGACCATGAGAGGACACACAGAGAAAGTGGCAGTCTACAGGCCTGGAAGAGGGCTTTCTCCAGGAACTGAATCAGCCAGCATCTTCATCACTTCTCAGCCTCCAGAACTGTGGGAAATAATGTTTGTTGCTTAAACCAGCCAGTCCATGGTACTTTGTTAAGGCAGCTCAAGCAAACTAAGTAAGACAGCTGCCAACCCTGAGTTCCAAGCCTTGAAGCCCAAAAACTAATGGTACACCTTTACCTCCATACTTTTGCATTTACTACTACCTTTTACATTGTTTTAAATGTACTTTATTTGCATTAGTGAACCTACTGATACGGAATGATCCACACCACTCATGTAAGATAGAAATGAGATAGCTTATGCGGTTTATCCTCACAGATACCAAGAACCACATACTGTCAGCACCACCCAATTGAAATCATAACAATCACTATCAGTCCCAAACCAACTGCTACTTTTATTAGAATCACAACTACTGGCTACACAAAGACTGCTGAAAGGAACACACCATACTGTTTTCTACAGCAGCTACACCATTTTACATTCCCCTCAGCAATGCACAAGGTTTCCAATTTTTCCATATCCACTCCAACACCTGTTACTTTGTTTTTTTTTTTTTTTTTTTACAACAGCCATCCTAATAGATGTGAAGGGTTATCTTATTGTGGTTTTGCTTTATATTTCCCTAATGATTAGTGGTGTTGAGCATCTTTTCATGTGTTTATTGGCTATTTATACATCTTCTTTGGAAAAATATCTTTTCAAGTCCTTTGCCCATTTTTAAACCAGGTTTTTTGTTGTTGTTGTTGAGTTGTAGGAGTTCTTTATATATTCTGGATATTAATGCCTTATCAGATACATGATTTGCAAATATTTTCTCCCATGCTACCGGGCACCTTTTCACAGTTTTTGTTTGTTTGTTTTCTTTTTAGAGATAGGGTCTCACTCTATCACTCAGGTGGGAGTACAGTGGCACAATCATAGCTCCCTACAGCCTCCTGCTTCAATGATCCTCCCGATTACGTGGAAATATAGGTGTGTGCCACCACATCTGGCTAATTTTTTTATTTTTTTCTAGAGACAGGGTCTCTAGAAACAGGGACTCTAGAGACAGGGATGAGCCACTGAGCCGAGCCAAAGCCAGAGTTTAAAAATAACATTTTTGGAGCTTGAAAGGAATCAAGTCCCTTGAACTAAGGAAAGAAAACAGCAAAGCAACGAAATGAGAAATAATCCTCAGCCAGAGGGTGCAGACAGTGAAGCAAAGGAAGCTAGTAATAACTTTTAGTCCTTCACCAAGATAGCCATATAACCTGGTTTTTCTTAAATGCACTACTGGCATTATGAGGAGGATAATTCAATTATTTATTGTGCACAACCACCAAGGCACCATGGGATGTTTAGCATACCCAGCCCACATATAATTAAATGCAATAGTGCCCTCATCCCCATCATTCTAACAACCAAAAAATGTCCCCATGTTTCCAAGCTGCCTCTCAGGTGAACAGTACCAACCCCTACTTTAAACCCCTGAACAGAAAGTGCTGAAAGGATAGAGTCTAGAAAGTCTATTTATATCTACATTTCTAAATAGCACAGCACAAATAAAAACTTCATCCCCTTATTTTATTTTAAGTCACTGTAATAAAATGTAGGATTCCTTTCGGTTTCCTTTATGTTGCTTAAGCTGCCAAAACATTCAGGAATTAATTAGTATAATGGTAACAGAATCCCTCCTCTTCCTACAGAAGTCAGAAAAATTCAAGATACTTAATCTTCCTAACATCTAGCAGCAAGGGTATTGCCTATCACCTATGTGTAAGCAATGAGATGCTATGGCTGGTACTATATACCTGTAAAGAAACAAGGACTCAATTTAAGAAATCACTCTGGAAGCAGACACATCCAGTATCCAGAGGTAGCAACGCCATAACCAATGCTCATTAATCAGCAGCACTGACAGTGGTTCTGTGTATCTGGCTTCACTTAATGCCTATTTACTAAACCTAGTTCTTCAGACTTTTATGTCAATTCTGAAGCAACCTAATAACCTTCCAATAAATACCTTTTCTGCATGTGTTACAGTCTAACATCCTTCCAATAAATACCTTTTCTGCATGTGTTACAGTTGCTGTCTACTGTCTGTATCCAGGATTCCTCTCCTGTAATTATTTGTAATACAAATGGAAAAGTATTCTGGGAATAAAATTTAAGCACATGCCTTTAACTCATCACCCCACCCCCTCAATTCTTGCTAAGGCAAGTCAAACAATACAGAACATAAAACTTTGATCCATCACAACATCCGTGAAAAATAGAGAAGGATCCTACCTATATGATTAACACTCCAAGTTACTCTGAATATGGTGTAGATGAGAATAGGGTGGAATGCAGGAAGGCAGTCAACCAGACCATAATTACTACTACACATTCAGATAGAAGGCACTGTCAGGAATCTAGGAAGAGACCTGGAACTTAGCAAGGAACTCACCTATATAGGTTCTTCTCTTGGCAAGTCTATCACATGTCTGATTTGAGAACTGGTATATCCTCCAGCACAGGTGAAGAGAGCTTGTCTCTGTTACTACTGGAAAGATGCCCTCCTGCTCATCTACCTGGGGCAAAACCTCAGACTGCACAAGTCATAAAATTCTGCAGGGATCTACTGAGAAAAGGCCCATTTCAACAGGCATCCATTTTGTCTGAGGTGAGCTGCTGGCTATTCAATTCTAATTCTACAAGGAAGAGGTCCCTCATAGGCTGTTCCACTGACTGCTTATCAAGACCTAATCAAAGTTCATACGCTAAAATTCAGACAGCCAGACAGCATCAGTAAGTAAACCAAAATTTTCAATTCCAAATCCACTCTTCTATATAATTCCAAATTCCGTCGTCTATGCTTCATGATGCTGGGGCTTAGACTCTGCAAATTACATCTTTCTTTTGTCAGCTGGTTCCCTACTAGGTACCACCAACAGGAAGCACTAAAGCAAAACTTGAAAGCATAAGGATGGTATCTTCATAACCTGATTCTAAAATACTTATGGAAGTCAATTTAGAAGATATAAAAACTATAAATATATACATTAAACAACAGAACCCCCAAAATATAGGAAGAAATCATGGCCAGAAATGAAGGGAGAAACAGACAAAGTAACAATAATAGAAACTTCAATACCCCCATTTTCAATAATGGCTAGAACATCTAGAAAGATCAATAAGGAAAGAGAAGACTAACCAACATATGCAGAGCACCTACCCAGTAACAGCAGAACAGACATTCTTCTCAAGTGCATATGAAATATTCTCCAGGACAGACCACATTTTGAGCCACAAAATAAGTCTCAATAAATTTAAAGATATTAAATCATACAAAGTATCTTCTCTGACCCCAATGAAATGAAGTTAGATATTAATAATAGAAGGAAAATGAAAAATCATAAATATGTGGATATTAAACAACACACTCTTAACCAACATGTCAAAGAAATCACATGGGAAATTAGAAAATACAGATAAATGAAGACAAAAACACATACCAAAACTTATGGGATGCAGCAAAAGCAATCCTCAGAGGAAAATTAATAGTAGTAAATACCTACATTTAAAAGATCTAAAATCAATAATCTTTACAACTTAAAGAACTAGAAAAAGAGGTGCAAACCAAGCCCATAACCTGCACAACAGACAAAAACATGAAAAATTACAGTGGTGATAAAACAGAGAATAGAAAAACAATAGAGAGAATCTAATGAAACCAAAAGTTGGTTCTTTGACAAGATCAACAAAATTGACAAACCTCTGGTTAGATGACAAAGAAGAAAAACAGAGAAGATGCAAATAACTAAAATCACAAATAAAAGTGGAGACACTGCAGCTGACCTTACAGAAATAAATAAGATTAAAAGAGAATCTTATGGCCTGGTTTGTTTGATGTGTGCATCTGTAGTCCCAGCTACTGAAGAGACTGAGGCAGGAAGATAACTTAAGGCCAGGAGTACAAGGTTGCAGTGCACCATGATCACACCTGTGAATAACCACTGCACTCCAGCCTGGGCAACACAGACCCCCAACGCTTAAAAAAAAAAAAAATTTTTAAAGAATATGATAAACAATTATTCACCAAAAAATTAGATAATCTACATGAAGTGGACAAATTCTTGAAAACAAACTATAAAAACTGACTCAAGAAGAGAATCTGAATCAGGTAAAGAGACTGAATCAAGAAGCAAAAACCACCCAAAATAGAAAAGCCCAGAACCAGATAGCTTTACTGGTGAATTCTGCCAAATCTTTAAAGAAGGATTAACAGCAATCATTCTCAAGCTCTTCTAAAAACAACAGAGGAGGAATGATTTCCTAATTCATTTTATGAGACCAGTAATTATCTTGATACCAAAGCTAGCCAAAGACATTCCAAGAAAACTACAGACTAATGTCCCTTATAAATAGTGATGCAAAAATCCTCAAAATACTAGCAAACTGAATCCAACAGCATATTAAAAGAACTACAGGCATAGGCAGGTAGACTTTATCCCAGAAATGCAAGGATGGTTCAGCATAAGAAAATCAATCAATTAATGTAACATATCACATTAATAGAGTGAAAGGACTTATGCTCATACTAAAAATAGAAGAGAATTTCCTCAACATGATAAAGGGCATTTATGAAAAAGTCACAGCTAACATCACACTCAATGGTGAAAGACTGAAAGCTTTGCCCCTAAGATAAGGAGTAAGACAAAGATGCCCACTTTCACCACTACTATTTGAAACTGTACTGGAAGTTCTAGCAAGAGCAGTTAGGCAGGAAAAAGAAATAAAAGACATCCAAATTGGAAAGGAAGAAGTAAAATCAATTCAATTCACAGATGACCATGATCCTACAGATAGTAAATCCCAATGAACTCATAAAATGATTAATAGAGCTAATAAGTCAATTTAGCAAATTGTAGTGCATAACATCAACACTAAAAATTAGTTGTGCTAATAAAAGAGGATACAAACAAATGGAAGAACATTCCATGCTCATGGGTAGGAAGAATCAATATTGTGAAAATGGCCATACTGCCCAAGGTAATTTATAGATTCAATGCCATCCCCATCAAGCTACCAATGACTTTCTTCACAGAATTGGAAAAAACTACTTTAAAGTTCATATGGAACCAAAAAAGAGCCCGCATCGCCAAGTCAATCCTAAGCCAAAAGAACAAAGCTGGCGGCATCATGCTACCTGACTTCAAACTATACTACAAGGCTACAGTAACCAAAGCAGCATGGTACTGGTACCAAAACAGAGATATAGATCAATGGAACAGAACAGAGCCCTCAGAAATAATGCCGCATATCTACAACTATCTGATCTTCGACAAACCTGAGAAAAACAAGACATGGGGAAAGGATTCCCTATTTAATAAATGGTGCTGGGTAAACTGGCTAGCCATATGTAGAAAGCTGAAACTGGATCCCTTCCTTACACCTTATACAAAAATTAATTCAAGATGGATTAAAGACTTAAATGTTAGACCTAAAACCATAAAAACCCTAGAAGAAAACCTAGGCATTACATTCAGGACATAGGCATGGGCAAGGACTTCATGTCTAAAACACAAAAAGCAATGGCAACAAAAGCCAAAATTGACAAATGGGATCTCATTAAACTAAAGAGCTTCTGCACAGCAAAAGAAACTACCGTCAGAGTGAACGAGCAACCTACAAAATGGGAGAAAATTTTCGCAACCTACTCATCTGACAAAGGGCTAATATCCAGAATCTACAATGAACTCAAACAAATTTACAAGAAAAAAACAACCCCATCAAAAAGTGGGCAAAGGATATGAACAGACACTTCTCAAAAGAAGACATTTATGCAGCCAAAAGACACATGAAAAAATGCTCATCATCACTGGCCATCAGAGAAATGCAAATCAAAACCACAATGAGATACCATCTCACACCAGTTAGAATGGCAATCATTAAAAAGTCAGGAAACAACAGGTGCTGGAAAGGATGTGGAGAAATAGGAATACTTTTACACTGTTGGTGGGACTGTAAACTAGTTCAACCATTGTGGAAATCAGTGTGGCGATTCCTCAGGGATCTAGAACTAGAAATACCATTTGACCCAGCCATCCCATTACTGGGTATATACCCAAAGGACTATAAATCATGCTGCTATAAAGACACATGCACACATATGTTTACTGCGGCACTATTCACAATAGCAAAGACTTGGAACCAACCCAAATGTCCAACAACGATAGACTGGATTAAGAAAATGTGGCACATATACACCATGGAATACTATGCAGCCATAAAAAATGATGAGTTCATGTCCTTTGTAGGGACATGGATGAAATTGGAAATCATCATTCTCAGTAAACTATCGCAAAGACAAAAAACCAAACACCGCATGTTCTCACTCATAGATGGCAATTGAACAATGAGAACACATGGACACAGGAAGGGGAACACCACACTCTGGGGACTGTTGTGGGGTTGGGGGAGGGGGAAGGATAGCATTAGGAGATATACCTAATGCTAAATGACGAGTTAATGGGTGCAGCACACCAGCATGGCACATGTATACATATGTAACTAACCTGCACATTGTGCACATGTACCCTAAAACTTAAAGTATAATAAAAAAAAATTAGTTGCGCTTCTACACACCAGAAATTTAAAAACCAAAAAAGAAAATTAAGAGAACAATTGCATTTGCGATACCATACAAAAGAGCAAAATACCTAGGAATAAATTTAATGAAGAAGGTAAAACATTTGTATGCTGAAAACCATAAACATTGCTGAAAAATTAAAGAAGACCTCAAAAATGGGAAGATATCCTGTGGTCATGGTTGGAGGACTTACTATTATTAAGATGATAATAATACCAAAACAATCTACAGATTCAATGTAATCTCTATCAAAATTCCAACAGTCATTTTTGCAGAAATTGAAAAGCCAATATTCAGATTCATAAGGAATGGTCAGTGGTCTCCAAATAGCCAAAGCAATTTTGAAAAAGAATAACAAACCTGGAACACTTCTCAATTTCAAAACTTACTACAAAGCTACATTAAGCAACACAGTGTATACTGGCATAAGGGCACACATATAGATGAATGGAATAGAACTGAATGTCCAGAAACCCACCCATACATCTATAGCCAACTGATTTTCAGTAAGAGTGCCAATATTATTCAATAGGGGAAAATTTGTCTCTTCAACAAATGGTGCTGGGACAAACAGATATCCACTAACAAAATAATTAATTTGGACCTCTATCTCACTCCATACACAAAAATTAACTCAACATGAATCAACAACCTAAATAAGAGTTAAAACCATAAACTCTTTTTTAAAAAATCTTATGGAAAAAACTGGGGTAAATCTTCATGACTCTGGATTTGGCAATTGATTCTTGGATATGACACCCAAAGCACAAGCAACAAAAGAAAACAGATAAATCGGACTTCACCAAAATTAAAAACTTTTGTGCAAAGGACATAACCACCAATTTAAAAGATGGACAAAGCCTGGATAGACGTTCCTTCAAAAATGCAAATGGTCTGCAAGCACCTGAAAATGTGTTCAACATGATTATTCATTCCTATTCATCATTACTCATTCATTCAATTCATCATTAGATACCACTTCATAGACACTAGGATGGATGTAATTTTTTTAATGAATAAATATTAGAGAGAATATAAAGAAATTAGAACCTCTATATTGCTGGTGGAAACACAAAACATTTCAGCTGCTACAGAAATGTCTGGTGGTTCCTCAAAAAGCTAAGCATAGAATTATCATACGACCCTGTAATTCCATTTCTAGGTATATAACCAAGAGAACTGAAAACAGGTACTCAAAACGAATATAGGCGCACAAATGTTCACAGCAACACTATTCACAATAGCCAAAAGGTAGAAACAACCCAAATGCCCAACAGCAGATTAATGTATAAACAAATCACATATATACAAACAATGGCATATTATTCAGCCATAAAAAAGAAATGAAGTGCTAATACCTGTTACCTGTTACAGTGTGGATCAACCTCAAAAACATTATGCTAAGTGAAAGAACCCAGACAAAAAAGGTCTTAGATTGCATGATACTATTTATGTGAAATATGGAGAGCATGTAAATCTATAGAAACAGCAGACTGATGGTTGTCAGAGGCTAGGGGGAAGCAGGGAGGAGGGAATGGAAAGTAACCATTTAATGGGTATAGAGTTTCCTTTTGGAGTAATGAAAATGCTTTTGAACTAGAGGTGGTAGTTACACAACCATGTGAATGTTGTAAATACTACTAAGTGCTCACTTTAAAATGATTAATTCTATGTTAAATGAACTTAACCTGAATAAAAAAATAAATGCTTATGAAAGAGCTTAGAATTAAGAGCAAAAAATTTTGAAGAGCAAGGTAGAAGAGCCCACACTATCTGATGTCAAGATATATCTAAAGGCTATACTTAACAAAACGGCACGTTATTCCAACAGAAATATACAAAAGAACCAAGTGAAATCATAAACAAATCTATGAATATATGAAAATTTATATTGCAGAAATGACATTACAAATCCATGAGAAAAAAACAGACTCTTCAATAAGTCACACAGGGACAACTAGATACCCATACGGAAAAATATAAATTCAGTCCCCACCTCATCATACACAAAAATCAACAAGTAGATTAAATCCCTAGGTGTGAAAAACAAAACTTTACAACTATCAGAACTGAAAATACAGGAAACTGTTACTTCAGAGTAGAGACCATAAATGAAAACATTAACAATTTTAAATATATTAAAATTTCAAACTTGTGTAAAACTAAAAACATCATAATCAAAATTAAAAAATAAGGTATTCACAGGAGGAAATGTGTAATGCATATTAACACAGAATTCATCCAGAATGTACAAATAACTTCTACAAATAAATAAGAAAAAGGCAACAACCCAAAAGAAAACTGGCAAAAAACTGAACAAGTAACTCAAAGATTAAGAAACTCAAATAGTCAATAAATATGTTGAAAATACGTGTTTCACCTCTAGTAATCAGGGAAGTACAAACAAATTGACAGCAGGTTGGAAAAGAGTTTTAAACTCTAACAATATCATGGTTTGTTAAGATGCAGGTGGAAGTATAAACTGGTATAATAACCACTTCAGGGGCTGTAAACAAAAAAATTTAGAGTCAATGATACACATACCCTACAACCCAGTAACTATAGTTCTAAGTTTTTACCTTGGAGAAAAACACATGTGCCCAAGAACATATGTACAGAATGTTTTTGCAACAACAACAAAAAAAACTAAAAACTAAAAATCTATCAACAGGGAAATACACAAATAACTTGAGGTTTAATCACTGAATAGGCAGATAATATAATTATATAATTGAACCAGAGCCCAAAAGTGAAATTGTAAAGATAACATGAAGGGGAAAACAACTTGCAGAATGATAAATAATGTTTAAAAACATGAAAAACTGTATATAATTTATATCAACAAATACACGTTATGGAAATATAAAACCATGCACTGACAATGACAATGTCCAACTCAGTATAGGAATTTACCTCAAGAAGGGTAATCCAGCCAAAATAAGAAAATGTTAGGATTTGACAAAGCTAACTAGTAGTTACACTGACATTCAGTAATATTATCCACTAAGACTTTTCATGTACACTTATAACTTTTTTATTTATTTATTTATTTATTTTGTTATTTGAGATGGAGTCTCACTCCGTCGCCCAGGCTGGAGTACGGTGGCGCGATCTCGGCTCACTGCAAGCTCTGCCTCCCAGGTTCACACTATTCTCCTACCTCAGCCTCCCGAGTAGCTGGGACTACAGGTGCCCACCACCACGCCTGGCTAATTTTTTTTGTATTTTTAGTAGAGATGGGGTTTCAGCGTGTTAGCCAGGATGGTCTCAATCACCTGACCTCGTGATCCACCCGCCTCGGCCTCCCAAAGTGCTGGGATTACAGGCATGAGCCAATAACTTTTAAAATAAGAATGATACATTAAACTTAACCTACCAGATATGAAAGCATACTATTATAAAACTATGAAATTAAAATAGTGTGGTGCTTTTGGGAGTAACCAGAAAGATTCACAGCACCAGAAACAAAACGAACACAAAAAAACAAAGAAACCCTTTGTATATATTGGGATGGGATATATCATTTATTTAACTAATACCCTGCTGACAGACATCTAGGTCACTTACAATATGTCATGTTATAGCTTCAGGGGACATTCTTGAACACTTCTTTGTGCACTGATTTGTGAAACTTCAGTTTCACACGGATTTGTGAAAGAAGTGATTTGAACACTTCTTTGTGAAAATTTCCCAAGGATAAATCCCTAGAAGGATTGCTGAATCAAAGAATATGCACTATAAGTTAGTTGATATAAATAAATTGCTCTTTATGAAAATTCTATTAATTTACATTTACACCAACGGCACTGAAGAAGAGCCAGAGGCTCAATGTTCACCTTACTCAGCGTGTTACCAATCTTTTTATGTAGAGAGAAAAAAATCTAGGTCATGAAAACATATTTATTAATGACAACACAAATTAATAGAAAATAATCCTCATTTATTATATTTAACAGATACACACCAAACACATACAAACTTTGTATCAGATGCCACCTGACTGCCAACTAATTGGAAAAAAGTCATGTATGCATGTATAACATTATAAACATACAGATATAACCATATATAGCCATATGTAAATATGTTCATGTATATATGGCTAAATATAAACACAGTTGTTCCTTGATATCCATGAGGAATTGGTTCCAGGACCTCCCTTGGAAACCAAAATCCACAAATGCTTAAGTCTCTTATATAAAATACTGTAGTATTTGCATATAACCCATGTACAACCTCTCCTGTACTTAAAATTAACTCTAGCTTACTTATAATACCTAATATAATGTAAATGCAATGTAAATAGTGATTATACTGTATTGTTCAGGAAATAATGACAAGAAAAAATAGTCTGTACATGTTCAGTACAGACACAATCATCTTTAACTTTTTCTGAATATTTTCAACCTGCAGTTGGTTGAATCCACACATGTGGAACCTATGGATACAGAGGGCCAACTGTACATACAAAGGTACCAGATCTCAACTTCACACAATGTTAGGAATTCTTTTCAGATGCCAGAGCCTGATTCCTTACCAAAACGCTTCAAAATATTTGTCTCTTTTTTCCAGATGTCAGGCTGTAACTGAGGTCTGAGGAGAGTTGGTGGGTGAGTGGCAGGTAGTTGGAAAAACACTAGAGGAATCATAGTTTCAACATGGCTTTACTCTCTGGGCGTGAGCGAGCCTTGGCGCGAGCCTTTTGTACCACGTTAGCAGGGTAATTAGACCTTTCACAGACCATAGTGGCTCCAAGCCAAGCACACACTCACATGGGTGATCACCTAATGCGCCTCACATGACATGGTTACATAATAAGCGGAGCTGTATGCCTGCACTCCAAACTCACTTGAGTCATGCTGGACCGGATGTCTGCCTCGACCTATTCTTGACCGCAGCATCCATCTTCCTTATACCAGATAACCCAGACCGTATATTAGAAATACATAAATTAGGGCCGGGCGCAGTGGGCTCACGCCTGTAATCCCAGCACTTTGGGAGGCCGAGGCGGGCGGATCACGAGGTCAGGAGATCGAGACCATCCTGGCTAACGCGGTGAAACCCCGTCTCTACAAAAAATACAAAAAATAGCCGGGCGTGGTGGCGGGCGCCTGTAGTACCAGCTACTCGGGCGGCTGAGGCAGGAGAATGGCGTGAACCCAGGAGGCGGAGCTTGCAGTGAGCCGAGATCGCGCCACTGCACTCCAGCCTGGGCGACAGAGCAAGACTCCGTCTCAAAAAAAAAAAAAACATAAATTAATTATCTTAAATACATCTTAGAAAAAGAAAACAAAAATGGGGAGAGATAGAATAACTTATCTGAACTCTTAAAAAATGCCAATGACCTAAATGCCTGTACCAGAACCTCCCATAGGTGGAAAGTTATCTCTAAGACCCCTGGAATCTGGCTCCAAACATAATAATATGCTTTAAGAAAAATATCAAGACGTGAGTCTAAGATCTGAATTTTTCAATAGTCAAAATTAATCTTCTGTAACATTCATTAATAATCTCCAATATTTAGCAAAATGCCTGGTACATAATAAACACTCAAAACACTTGCTGAACAAATGATTGTGACTAATATTTTTTAATGGTAATATCAACATCACTAAGGGGAGGCCAAGAGAGCTACATAACAGGTTGATTATATAAATATTTTTTTAAAAAGTCAAAAGGAAAAACAACACCTGTGTTCTTTGTAATCTCCAGATTACTTAATTTCCTCTTTTTTTAAAAAAACTATTTGTATAACTTGTCCCAAAAGTTGTTCTTAAGATATGGAGAACAGGAGAGAACACTTTCAGTGGAATCTCTCAATATTAAGGTTAGGAAATTATAGTCCTTCCCATGAGAGGTGTGTTTTGTTAAAAAATTAAAATAAATTTTTTTAAAAAAGGAAATTATAGCCTTAAATCAAAGAAAATTGTGCCACAGGAGTAGTAAGAGCCTTCAAAGGGTCTGAGGCCTCAGTCAAGGACTGTATTCCACAGAATCTATCCTAAAGTCTCAGGTAACAGGTGAAGACGTGTAATTGATAACTGGGCTCAAGAAATGACACCTGAAAACAATTTTGTAAATATACCCACTACATTCAGGCTGGCATATCAAATGCTCAATAAACTATACTTTAAAACTAACAAGAAACAAGAATGTATAAAAGTCATTTCGTTCATTTTCACATTTTAAATCGGTATAGATTTCATTATGTAAATAATAATATTATGTAAATAAATTTTAGTCATTTCCAAAGTGATTTTAAACTAATTTTTATATACAAAAAAGACACTAATTCCTTTAGAATACATTTTATCTTTGTAATATTTGAGATGTATGAACTAAATTACTGCACACTCTTCAGTTCCCTACTTCATAAAATTACTTGTATTTCATATGCATGAGCTAGAAAAAAATCTTTAAAGATTCAATCAATTCCCTCATTTCATAAATAAGAACATCGAGGCACAGAGAAGTTGAATAGCATATCTAAATATACTTCAACAACCAAGGACAATGGTGAAACTAAAGCCCCTGTCTCTTAACACTGAGTCCAATGTTCTTTCTAATATATAATGATGCCTTCCTTCTGGACTACATTAAATTCAAAAACAGATCATTGGAAAGAATGCCCTTTGAAGGAGATTTTTTTTTTAATGACAAATCCTAATACCCAATCTGAAAATAAAACTCCAGTGCAGACTTCATTACAACCATGTTTTAACAGGAATAAAGTTCTAGCAAAAATTCAATAGCAGTGAAAATAAACTTTTCTGACAGAATTTGCACAACTAGGGAAAATAAAAGTAGCAATATGATTTTCCTATCCAAGAAATATGTGGAGTCAGCCCAAACCAGAAGTTAATTTTTTTTAAAGAGGCAGAGCCTCTGTCTCTCAGGCTGGAATGCACGGACACAATCATAGCTAACTACACCCTCGAACTCCTGGGCTCAAGTGATCCTCCCACCTCAGCCTCCGACTACAGGCAGGCACCAACCACCATGCCCAGCTGTGTGCATGTGCGAGTATGTGCAGTGACAGGGTCTCACTATGTTGCCCAGGCTAGTCTCAAACTCCTGGCCTCAATCAATCAATCCTCCCACCTCCACCTCCCACATAAGTTAAATATTCTATAATTTTCAAACAATAGTAAACAAAACATTTGCCCAGTTAAAAATAAATTGGCTGCTCTGCCTATAATCCTTTGTTTCTTTCCTCCTCTAATAAACTTGCTTTCACTTAAAAAAAAAAATCAATTAATGTTTACCATGTACTACTGATTTCTAGAAGATACTTAGCTTCTGCATTACCAACTTTCCAATCTTAGGCATGAGCTCCAATTTGAAAGTATCCATATCGATAAAAATAAGATTCGGTTGGGTGCAGTGGCTAACACCTGTAATCCGAACACTTTGGGAGGCCAAGGTAAAAGGATTACTTGAACACAGGAGTTTGAGACCAGCCTGGGCAACAAGTAAGACCCTATCTCTACAAAAATTAAAACTTAACCTAGCATGGTTGTTCACACCTGTAGTCCCAACTCATGCCCATAGTTTCAGCTACTCAGAAGGCTAAGACAGGAGGATCACTTCAGCATAGGAGTTTGAGACTATAGTGAACTGTAATTGTGCCACTGCACTCCAGCCTGGACCACAGAATGTACCCAAAAAAAAAAAAAAAAAACAAATGCAGCAAAGGCATCTACACCAGTCTGTTGTTGACAAACGTCAAATACAAACAAACCTCACAATAATTCATGTCTGAGTAAAGGGAAGTGGGAAAAATAACCATGAGCAATTTATAAGGGAAATGGAACATCCAGCAGACTTTAATATTAGTGCATAAAACAATGTGACGTCGCCCAAACAGGAGCAGAAAGCCCCAAATAAAAAACAGGATAGAAAAAAAAGGTCCAGAAGAGGGATGAGACAAAGAAAGATGACAAGAAAATTAAAATTGCAATAGTGAGATTTGAAATCTCTACTCTTGTAACAAAACTGAATCAAGCAAAAAAAAAACACGAATCATAACATGAAGAACTTGAGAAACTCACTAAAGCACACTGCAGCCTGGACTAGCCACATTTTAAGTGCAATAGTCATATATAACTAGTGGCTATGGTACTGGACAGCGCACAGGTTTGAGTGATTACGTCTAGCACAATGCCACACAGCTAGTTAGTAGAACTAAGATGCAGCCTTATTTATAACTCCAATGCCTTTGAGGAAAGTATCAAAGGTAAACATATACCTGACCCTCAAGTATTCAATTCAGACTAACAAAGTTCTGACTGGAGGGTGAAACTTATTAGCTATTCAGATAAACAGCTCATAAGCTGGGTTTTTTTTTTTTTAACTCACAAAGCCCATCTATAAATGCCATTATATAAAACAAATGTCAGTTTTAAAAAAAAAAGTTTTTAATTATTGAGATCTATTATGTACACAAAGTATACTTACGTATATTACTTTATGTATATTAGCGTATAACAACATGTATATTATAACAACTTCTGGTTTTGGGTACTGCAAAATCATAGATACTATAAATAACCATAATCAACACCAAACTACACATTTGATATATCCTTATCATCTATAAAGTGTATCTACAGTGTTTGAAAATTCTGGATTATTTATGAACTACTTAATAGAAGGGAACATATTGGTTTCCTCATGAAAATATACTAAATTCATGTAATACCACTATTATCTATAAATTAGGGCATTAATTAAATATAGTATGTATTTCTTACTAATCCATGGCCATGTCACCCAGAAACCTAGACATTATCTTGGACTCACTTTTCTTTCTATTTTGGCCCCATATTTAACCAACCACCATTTTCTGTGAAACTTAATAGTTTAACACCTCTTGACTCAACCACTTTTCTCCACTAATTTATCTCATTCTCCACTATCACCACTGCGATCTAAGCCAATATATCCTCTGTGACCCAGCCCCTCTTAACTTGTTATCCTCCTGCTTCTTACCATCCAGTAAGTAATCATTGCAACCAAAGTGATTATTTAATTTTTTTAATTTAAAATGATCATGTCATTCCCTTGCTTTTATTACAATCCTTCAATAACTTCTCTTAGTATTTATGATAAAAACCAAAATATTTAACTACAAACTCTCTAGAATCCTGACTAGAATTTGCAAACTCAACAACAACCAGGTTAAATATTGATTGATTTGTATTTACTTATTTCGCACTCTGAGTGGCACATGCCCGCCCCCGTCCCCCTCCCAAGGGAGCAGCTGCTACTGGGTTGTGGCTTGAATATTACCATCTGAAAATACACTGGATGTTGCCATAACCTCTAATTTTTCAAGAAAGATCAGAAATCCAGACTTTAACATGAAATCTCCTGATCTGTGAATGCTGACAACTAATTCAAACTTTTGTAACAACAATAAGGAGGCCAAAAAACTTGTAAGCAGGCCAAACCTGACCTCTCATCTAGTCTCATCACCCAGACCCACACCCTCTGCAACAGCCATACTTAACATTTCTCAGATTCTTAGTGATGCCAAGCTTTTTTTCCTTAGGGCTCTCACACATGTTGTGTCTTCTGCTTTGACCCTCAACCTCCCCTCAACCTCCAATTCCACTTCATTAAGCAATCTCCTACTCATTCTACGTTTCTGAGGCACACTTTCTCAATGAAGTCTTCCTTATTCCCACTGCCCCTCCACCCCCAACTCTATAGACTAGGTCACACATTCCTTGCTCTGAAAGCACTGAGTACAACTTCGTAACATTCATCACACCTCAAAAACAAAATTATTTATTTAATGCCCATCATCTCTCCCTAGATTGAAAGTTTCATGAAAGCGGGGCCTGCCACAGTAGGCATACATTTGTTGCCAACCAGTTTGGTTATAAAATGTTCCTTTAGACAATAAGATCCTAGTATACTTCTAAATATTAATCAAACTGTACCCTACTTTTCAGAAAATATACAGTATTTAAAGGAAAGTAGATTCCGAATAAAAATATTCCATTACAATTATAATCACTGATGATAATAATAGTTAACATTTATTGATCATTTACTAAATGCCAGGAACTATGTTGAGTGCTTTGCATGTACTATCTCTTTCAATAAAACAATCTGTAAAGTAGATACATGCCACTGTGATACAAAGGAAACAATATAGAGTTTTAAAATTTCTCAGTATCATAAATCTAATCAGTGGCAAGCTAGGGTATGAATCTATACAGTCTGACTCCAGAACTTAAACACCAAATTATTATACTAATCTATTAATAAAGAAATACTAACTAAACAAGTATCTCTTAAGTACTGCAAATAAGAAATGGTGACCATGACTTATTTTCCATTACTTATTAGTTAAAGTAACATTCCTCAGCCCTCTATCCTGTACCCTTACACACACACACACACACACACACACACACTAAATGAAGATAAACTGTCAATTTGTTTCTTCTAAATTAGGTAAGTTCTGACCCATACCCAAAATACATATGATCTTAGTACCAACTGTAAAAGTGCTATTTTTCTGAATTATTTTTAAATAAGTTAATGTTTATACATTTGATGTTTTCTGTTTCCACATTTTAAACATACACTTAATTTAAAAAGTATTTCCTTGCTCAAAGTAAAAGAAAGTTTATTACTACAGACTCTTTTCTGATATAGTAAACAACAGCAAATAATACGCTAAAGCAAATGTCAACTGATATAACCACAGAAATACAAAGAGATAACACAAGGATCCTTTGCCACCTGAACTCTATTTGAATTCTCGTTTTCCAAAACTCAGGAACCGAATAGATTCCAAAAACTGCATTGGAATCTATCCAGACTCACATGTATCACTTGCTATCCAGACTCTTACTAGCCAAAACTCAGGGCATGGCTCACAAACCACCCCTGCTATCAGAACAATAACCAATCTCTCATTCCAAACTCAGGAACCCAATAGTTTTAGATAGCTAAATACATATGCATATATATCCAAGGGCTTCATAAATTTAAGAATTCTTGTTTAAACTATTTATACAGACTGTTAAAAATGTGAATAAAAGGCACATATCTGTATTTTCATTCAAATTTCATATTTTAACTCCATTTACTGAGAATTTTTGTGTAAATGTTTTTAAACTAAAATGTGGTCATATTATTTTAAACTTTTAGACCATTCAAAATGTATTTTTTAAACTGCTTAGTACATGACAGATACTATTAATAATAGAGCTAAGTAATGTTAATGTGTGGCTGTTGTGAAACAGCTCTAAAAACAGCCTTAACACATTTTTTCAATATATTTCATATGTTATACAAATACCATGCGAAATAAGATTTTCAAGGAAAACTACTTTCACCGTTAATTTTTCAGTAACATATTTCACAGATCATATTAGTGTTTTCTTAAAGTCACAACAAGCAAAGTGCAAAATTAAAGAAACAAATACAGGAGTACAGTAGTCGAAAATGGCAAAAATTCCAAATTAACTTAGTTACAAAAGAATGGCATGAAACAATATTAGAAGTAACTACTCCATAAAATTCATCCAAAAGTCAAAGAACCATCACACAAGTAATGAATTAACTAGGTTGAGAAAAAAAGAAAAACCAGTTCTCATAAAACAGTGCATTTTCCCAAATATTTAATGTAGGCTTACACGTGAACCTAAGCTTTTTCGGTGCTTGACAAAAAGTTAAAACTATCATCAGATGGGAAATGAATTCAAGCACATGATTTTTTTTCCCACATACTCAAGAATTATTTTAAGAAACAAGGAAAAGATGGCAGGTTTAAGAAAAGTCAACTACTTTCCCAAACTCTTGAGTACAAATATAAAAATTATAAAAATTGTAACTAGAGCTCCCATTTTATCCTAGTTTGGCTATGCTCTCCCCAGAGCTCACTTTAGATTTAGTGATCTGAAAGAATGTGAACCCCTTAATCAACCAAATTCCAATAGTTGCTTGACACAGTCCATCTATTACATTAAAAGAGAGAGCAAAATTAAGTTTCACAAAAATAAATCTTGTCTACAAGCCTCACAAAGTGCAATAACTTAGGATTCAATACCTTTTAACTTAACTGATTTCATATACAGCACCAACACACATCCCCAAAAAAAGAACAAAAATCAGGATATTTTCACGTTAAGAAATGACAGGTATATTCTGCCCACGTTTGTCATCCTAAAAAGCTGACTCACTACTAAGCTTCAACTACAAGCCAGAAAACGAGAGCCCTCTGGGAGAGCACACCCAAAAGAGCTGTCAAGGTTCGATGCTTTGATTTCACATGGTGGCACAATGACTGACTCCAACACGTTATTAATAAATGCAGGCACAGCTTATGTCACCATTTCTTTAGGTTAAGTTTTCATACCTCCCTTCCCAGATGTCCACATTAGACACAACTCTGAACGCAAATGTTTTTCTTATATAAAACCGAAGAGAAGAACGACTTAGGTAGGACTCCAGTCCTACCAGTCTATGGACTCTACCATAGACTGGAGGTAGAGTCCCTCCAGTCTATGGTTTTATTCAGCCAGTCTTGAAGTAACAATACAATATTTATGACTCGAAAAATTACATTTTACTGCAAGAAAAAAAAAAGACAGATTCGATCCAATCACCGTACCTTGCTCTGCCAAATGTTAGTACCAGAACTTCTGAAATAAACAAACCTGTGTCTATGTTCATCGGGTCCATGGATCAGGAAGACTCCGGGGTTTTTAGCCCCTTTACCGGCATCTACATGTGGAAT
Source organism: Homo sapiens (assembly GCF_000001405.40). Lineage (NCBI taxonomy): Eukaryota > Metazoa > Chordata > Mammalia > Primates > Hominidae > Homo > Homo sapiens. Next base: position 117,368,405 of record NC_000001.11, on the reverse strand, counting down.
TAACACATCTTCTAAACCCAAATCAAAGCGTTTGTGTTTTGAAGAGTCTGGAAGGAAAAAGAATGCCCCAAAACACAGAGTGATGAAGGCACTAAGAATAAGGAGAAGAATAAACTTCTCAGAAAGTCTCAAGGTAGCCCTGTGATGTGGGAAGGAAGGCGGCCCCAGGTTCAGAGGTGGTATCCTACGTCCAGAGAGGGGCAGCAGGGCTGGGGTAGTCATCGTTTACGCTCTTGGAGAGAATACTTTAGAAAGTTCTCATCTTATGTCAAATGTAGAATACATTGAACTGTCTTCAAAATCTTGGCCAAAATGGGAAAACTCAATTTTGCTCCTCTTAAAGGACTGTTGTGCTTTTTAAGAGGGCACGTCATTCACGCCCATCCATTCCCACTCAGAAACGTGTGTGACCTCCCCCAAACGATCACAAGTTTAGGTCCTGCGATATCCTCTTCAACATCTGTACTTCATCGGATTATTACAAGCCTCCTCTTCATTCCTAGGGGTAGATCAGGCAAGCCACACTGCAGAAAAGCTGCAAGGTGGGTTCTTCCATTCCTGCACCTCAGTGAGATGCTCAAACGTAGTCTTCCGCCCCGAAAGGGAGACTGGCGACATCCGAGGAGTTGTAGAAGGTTCACTTGATCTCCTTCGACGCTTCTATTCCAGAATCTCTTAACCTTAGCGGTGGAAAAAATAAGGGTCTCCCACGGACGTCTGCAAACAGGGAGGAAGGTCTCCCACTTCGCTGGGAAGCCGAAGCAGCGGCGCTGGGCGAAGTAGCAGGAAGGAGTTCTCGGCCGCCCGCGCTTCCCGGCGCTGCCTGGCAGGAACCTGGCGCCCGGCTGAGTCCCGCTGCTGCCCACTCGACGGCTGGCGCGAAGGGCAATAGCGTCCGAAACACCTGAGTCCGGCCAGCCGCCGCGGCCGCCGCCGCTGTTGCTACCGCACGGGTCTGTCAGGGAGCGGAACTTCCTCCTCCGGCGGCCACTGAGAAGCCCCGGCGTGTCCTGGGGGAGGGGAGGCGCGGCGGCCGCCCCCGCCGAGCTCCTCCTCCTCCTCCTCCTCCTCTTCCTCCTCCTCCTCCTCCTCTCCGCGGCCGGTTCAGTGAACCCCGGCGCCTGCTCCCCGAGCTAGGCCGCCGGCCGCAGTGGCCGAGCCCTCGCGCCTAAGAAGCCGAGCCGGGGCCCACGCTCCGAGAGCCCGGGGTAGGCGCCGGCTCATTCCTCACTCAGCCCTGGAGCGGCGGGAGGGCCTGGGCGCGCGGGAGCAGCCGCGCCTCGGGCGGGCAGAGGTCGGCCGCGTCTCCTTCCTGCCCGGCCGCGGGGGCCTCCTCCGCGCCGCCTCCGGTGGCTCGCAGCTGCTGGCTCTGGCGGCGGCTGCCAGAGAGGCAGCGCGCCCACGCCGCTCGGGGCTGCGGCCCGGTCCCCGTACCCTGCCTCCCCAGGCCTGGTGAGCGCAGCAGCTGCTGGGCCGACACCCGTTGGGCTCACGCCGGAGAGGAACCGGAGGGCGGGGGCGATGGGACCCGGGCCGGCCTACCGGCCCCGGCTCGCGAGTGGGCGTCCCCGGGCGGCGGAGTGTGAGGTGCGCGCGCACGCTCCCGGCTCCGCTGCCGCCGCCCCTCCCCCACCCAGCCTGGCTGCCCGGGCTCCGGCCTCGCGCCGCTGCCGGCTCCAGCAGCCCGAAAGCGTACTGCTGCCGCCGCCGTCTGAGCGCGAAAGAAGAGAAGGTCGCCGATCTGCGCTGCCACGAGAACTTCACCGGTGCCCAGGGCCTTGCCACCGCCAGTTCGTGGGGTTGACCCAGCGTTTGGGCGAGAGGGAGCGAGGGGTTGGGTCGCGAAGGTTTCGCTGAAATGTAGTGTCACCGGAGTTAATGGCTTCTGATGGCTTAGGTTAACGTTTACTGTGATTCTTTGGAAGTCTTGTCTTCAGCGATAGACCGTCAGGCCCGAGGATTCAGCAACAGGGTCTCAAACTTCCACGCAGCAGCCCATGCTCACGTTATTGGGCCCCCGAGGCTCGATTAATAGAGCACCAACATGTGCCATGTTACGTTTTTAAAATAAAGTGGTGACCCTGCTCCTTCAGCTGGGCTTCCTTTCAGAGGAATCTAGGTACCCCCGATATGACAGGCGTCTCTTCATTGTTCAGTTTCTGGGGCACGTTCTATCATCTTCACACACCTCATCAACCCCCTTCCCATAAAAGAGAAAATGGATGAATAAGGAGGTGCTGAAACCCAAAAAGGCGACAATATTGTTTACGTTCAGGCTTAAAAACAATCTGAATCAATTCTGTTCTCCGTAGTATTGAGGAGAGCCATGTTGTGATTAAGTGCAAAAGATTTCCTTGCAAGATACATAGACTCTTGCATCCGATTTACTTGCAGGTTGTTTTTGTTCTAATATTGTCATTCCCTGTACACATCCTTTACTGATGACTGGGAATTGGAGAGGAGGCCCTTAAATGTCAGGAGAGTAAGTCAGCCTTAGCTTAAAAATCAAGCAGAAAAGTCTCATGTTCATTGGCACACTTGTAACTACATTCCAGTCTCCCAGTCTGCATTATTTCTAGAAGCTCTGCATATCTAACTGCCTACCACATGACAAAAGTCATTGTCATTGATCCTGCTTCACCAAATAAAAAGTAAAAATATTGAGGGCCACCTCTCACCAGTTCACCCAGGGAGACTGGTAAGCAAGGAGTGCCCGGTCCCTAGTGAGATTTATGTTGAACATTTGTGAAGAGTAGATATAAGAAACTTTTAGCCTTCCCAATATGTCTTTATAAAATGTGCCAAATTTAAGAATAAGTCTCTAATGTTGAGACTCCGTAAGCCAAAGTGGGGGGGGCGGTGGGGAGGCGGGGAAGAACACACTGTTTTCCTACTGTTGAGATCATTAGTTTCCATGAAAAGTTCAGGGGAAATAAATACTGAACTCTGAATGAAATAGCAAGTTATATAAATCTTGAAAAATAAATATTACCTAGGTTAACACTAGACTTAACCACAAGAGATTTCAATCATGAAACCTGACATAACCTAGTTGACAAGTATAGCTTAAGCAAGTAAGACCTCATTGCTGATGGAGAAGACCCCTTTTCCTTTGCTTGTCTGTTTTGCAAAATTCATTTTTCCTTCATGAGAGTAAAAACAATTTAGGGGTTATTGCAGATGTCCAAATGCAGCCAGCAATTTTAAAGTCATTGATGATACCGTCAGTTATCACACTCCTACACCAGCAATGAAAATACTGTATACATAGTATTACATATATCCACTCTTCTAAAGGCAAGTCTGAGTTTTTAAAGAATCATGTTGTTTAAAAAAAAAAAAGTTGCAAATGTATCCATTAATTATAATTATATGCACTTAAAAACATAGAAAAAGAATATTTGAAAAAGATTGCAACTATTCTGTTAAGATACTGGTTTTACGTATGATTTTCTCCATTGTATTCTGTTGCATTATATTTACAATTAAATAAAAATTATAAAGGAACTGGTGCCTGAAAAAGTTAAGGTCAAATTTCAAATAGGTAGACTCGGTAGTATCAAGATGAACACACAGACCGGCCCATCTGAAGGCAATCGGCAGAAACAGTATGCAGCCTGTTCTATGTATGTGTGTATGTGTGTGTACACGTACAACAGGGAAGGATTTCATTCCAGAGAGTCTAAAAAGAATATTTCATTTTCAAAGAGTAGTTACCCTTTGATCAGAGATTCCAAAGTGATGATTTCCCTTTTACAAATCCATATAAATTAATATTTTAGAAATTAGAATTAATAAATTACTAACAAAATTTACTCCTGCAGATTTACAGGACCACTCCTAAGATCCACTCGTATTGCAATGTGGAAGTTACTTGTATTTGTTCAACCATGTGTTGACTTTTCTATTATTGAAACCATTTCACACCTGTTATACACACACGCATGCACACACACACACACACACACACACATACACCCCTAGCTCTGTTTTAAGTGAAACTGAAGTGCTACAGGAAAAAAATAAAAGCTGGTATGCAAAAAGAGGCTTTTGATTTACTTATGTAACCTGTTCCAACTGGTGCCCAAAATGTACAAGGAAGATATTGGAGGAGAAATTACTCGACGTGACCACTGAATGTGTAGGGAAATAACAGGCTTCAGCCTTGCTCCTTCCAATCTTGCTTTCCTCTATGAGGCATTTTCCTCAGAGGTCAGGGATAAACTGAAGTTCAGTGCTGTGAAGCCCTCAAGTAAGATCCGTGAAAGTCGGCAAAGCCAAAAAATCTTGGCTGCTTCTCTGAGCCAAAGTACGTGAGGCTCATTTGCTTATAAAAGACTCATTTGTTGGAGGACTACTATTTGACAAATCCTGTACTAGGTGCTGGAGATTTGGAGAAATAAGTCAGAATCCTTATGCTCAGTGAGCTTGCAGTCTAGTGTGGAGGAGTAGATGAACACTGACGATTACAAGACAGTGGGAAGAATGCTGTTGGAGCAAAGTGTCACGGGCTTTATGGGAACACTGAAGGTGCCACAGAGTGAGAGGAGGTGGATTGGGAAAGTTAGGGAAAGTTCCCCAATCCAGTGTCACCTGAGCTGAGCCTTGAACCATAAGAGAAGGGTCGTGCTCCAGCCTAGGGAGCAGAGCATGCGCAGGCACCCATAGCTGGTTTTTCCTGCCATTTACGCAGAACACTTCCTGCTCTACTCGTCCAGTAAATAGCTTGCCTGGCCCTAATCTCACAACACTCTTGAGCTGGGAAAGTGAAAATGGTGGGGCAGTGCTATTGCATTGCAAATAAAATGGGTTCAGAATGACTAATGGGTATTGCCAACATGTTTCTGTAATGAAAAGACATAGATGGTATTCGTGCTTTCACAGGCAGTACCCTCTTGTTTCAGGCAATGTTTCACCTCTTTAAATCCATTAATAAAGTGAAGCCCTTTAAATGTATATGAGGTACTGAACTAGGAGTCAAAAGACATGGATTTCAAACCTAGCTCTACTCCTTACTGAGTTTCCTTATTTATAAAACATAATAGTCCTTACCTATTTTATAGGACTGTTTAAGGATCAAATGAGCTATTGTTTCTAAAATGCTCTAAAGACTTGTTTGTTCTATTCAGAATAATAGGTTGCTGATGGTTGTGTTTGTGTGACTTGGAAACATGAAATTCCAGTTTGTCTAGCATTCCTTTAGAAAACTATCTTTTCCCCGGTCTTAGTCTATTGGTCTAGATTGGGATGACCTCTCAACCACCCACTATAGCACTTGCTCCCACCATTAACTAGATCCAGGAATGTTACCCAGATTTGACTAACCTGTGTTCCACATTTCCCTGGCCATAATGATTGGTTTGGAAAAGGGCAAGTGACACAAACCAAGCTAATCCAAACCCTCCTTAGGTCATTTCCTGATGTCATCAGCAAAAGTGGTATCTCTTTACCTTAGAATTCCCAGCCCTGAGCGTGCTATAACCTTAGAGCTGCCAGTGGCCTTCTTGCCACCATGTGAGGAAGTTTGCTACTAATGAAGCAAACAGAGAAGAAAAGAGCTGAAACAGTGAGAGAGAAAGTATCTACATGGTATCACTTGAGCCCTTGGTAAGGGTGGATCTGGGTCTTGTGGGGCTGGAAGCATACCTAATTTGAGGAGTCCTCTTTAAGAAAAATAATACAAAATGAATTATTAAAGTGGATTTTAGGGCGGGTGTGGTGGCTCACACCTGTAATCCCAACACTTTGGGAGGCCGAGGCAGGTGGATCATGAGGTCAGGAGATTAAGACCATCATGGCCAGCCTGGTGAAAACCCGTCTCTACTAAAAATACAAAAATTAGCTGGGTGTGGTGGCGAGCGCCTGTAATCCCAGCTACTCAGGAGGCTGAGGCAGAAGAATCGCTTGAACCCGGGAGGCAAAGATTGCAGTGAGCCAAGATCGCGCCACTGCACTCCAGCCTGGTGACACAGTGAGACTCCATTTCAGGAAAAAAAAAAAAGGATTTTGCTAAACTGAATTCCATTACAAGTGAGTATGTCTTAGTAATGCTGAGACCACACCACCACCACCCGACCCACGCGACCAATGGAGCAGTGTGACGGATAGGAAATCAGAGTAGAAAAGAAACCACAATCTTAACCAATCGTGATTGAAATATTTTATTTTTACAAGATTTAGAAAAACATGATTATGTATACATGTTGCTAGGACCTCTCCCAGAGCCTAAGACAGGACCGAGCAATTAGTAACCCAGAAATTTAAACTTCATTGGGCTCATTGTAAATCTACTTCTCTGAATCCAGGTATATCTAAGGCTATTTCATCTTTTGAATTTCTCGGTTGTATAAGTCTATAAATTTCTTTTTCAGTCAGAATTAGTTTCTGTGGCTTACATTCAAGAGTCTTGACTAATACACAGTGTGTCTTTACATGGAGGTATTGTGGCTGGTAGTAGTATGTGAAGCTTCAGTAGTTTTACAAGTATAAGTGATCAGGGACTAGAAGGAACCTACTCTTTCAGGTAGGCAACAAGCTTGGGCAGGGACAAAAGCAGAATGAAACCAGCAGAGATGTCTCTGTGGTCGGCCAGGGAAAGAAAACCTAAAACTGGGAGGGCTGGACAGATGTGACTGCAGAGGTATATCAAAGCTAGCAACCCCTACAGAAACCTTCCAAGTTGGATCCTCATATCCACCTTTATGAAAAGGAATTTGACTCCAAAAGAGGTTAGGAATTCTTTATAAATCCTTATATTAAAATTGTTTTAAATCCATTCTAGGCAGCTAATTTGAGAATATGTTTCATTGATTTATATATTCATTCATTCATTATTATTGAGCACTCACTCTCTGTTGGTGTTATGCAGTGTTCTAGGCATCCAGAGATGAATAAAACATGAGAAGCAGCTGTATATGATGAAAAGAACATGGGCTCTGGAGCTGGAGAAACCTGGGCCTAATCTTGCCTCTGACATTTACTTGCATAATATTGGAAACAAAGGAAATCTTACTTGTTCTTAATTTATTCATCCATAAAATCAGGATAAAAATACACACCTCATAGGGTTGTTATGAGGATTAAACTCAATAATGTATGTGATAGTGCTTCCCCCCATAGTTGGGATTCAATAAGTATTAACTATTGTTTTTATTATAGGCATTAGAAAAAGTAAGAGTTGGTAGATAAAGAGAGGAAGGAAGAGCCTTTGAAAATACTTACAGGGACCAGGTGTGGTGGCTCACACCCGTAATCCCAGCTTTGGAAGCCTGGGAAATGTGGTGAGACCGTGTCTCTACAAAAAAATTTAAAAATTAGCTGGGCACGGTGGTGTGCGCCTGTAGTCCTAGCTGCTTAGGAAGCTGAGGTGGAGGATAGCTTGAGCCCAGGAGTTCAAGGTGTAATAGAGCAAGTCCTTGTCTCAAAAGATAAAAGAGAGGGAAGAGAAAGGAAGGGTAGGGGAGGAGGGAAGGGAAGGAAAGGAGGGAAAGGAAGAGAAGGAGGGAAGGGAAGGGAAGAAGGGAGGGGGGACAAGGAATAGAGGAAGGAGAAAGGGCATGGCATGTGTTAAGGGAAACTCGTCTCCCATAGCTTGAGCCCAGGAGTTCAAGGCTGCCATGAGCTATGATGGTACCACTGGACTCCAAACTGGCAAGAGCTTGTCTCCAAAGAAAGAGACAAAAGGGCCAGGTGCGGTGGCTCACACCTGTAATTCCGGCACTTTGAGAGGCCAAGGTGGGCAGATCACCTGAGGTCGGGAGTTCGAGACCAGCCTGACCAACATGGAGAAAACTCGTCTCTACTAAAAATACAAAATTAGCCGGGCGTGGTGGCACACGTCTGTAATCCCAGCTACTCAGGAGGCTGAGGCAGTAGAATCTCTTGAACCCGGGAGGCGGAGATTACAGTGAGCCAAGATTGCACCATTGCACTCCAGCCTGGGCAACAAGAGCAAAACTCTGTCTCAAAAAATAAAAATAAAAGAGACAGAGAGGGAAGGAAGAAAGGAGGGAGGGAGGAAGGAAGGAAGGAAAGAAAAAGACAAGACTTAGAGGAATGAGAAGGAGCATGTCCTGTGTGTTAAGGTGTTAAGGGAACCTCCTCTCCCTTGGCACCATGTTTCCATGGGAGGAGAGGGGAATTTCTACTGGAGTGCTAGTTCTGCTTTCTTATACCACTATTCTTCACACTCAGGAGTGCGTTACTTGATTGGTGAGTACTGTTACATTCATTAGCTCATAGTTCTTGACTGGATGGAACTAATCTAATAAATTCATTCTTTTTTTTCCCTTTCTGCCCTAGATCAGTGCAGACAATGATCTTAGATAAACATGTTTGGCAGCAGACCTAAACTTCCCCTTTAGTGGGCTGTTCCAAGGCTAGATTCTGTGGGGGTCGAGAGTCAGCAGAGAATGTTGGCAAGCCCTTTTGGGTTACAGATCTATAACCTAGTTTTATTAGCTTATCTGTAATGAAGCATAAGGGTAGATAGATATAATATAGATATCAATTTTTTTAAGTCTCTATATGACTTTCGTCTGTTGTCTTATTTCATCCAAAGTTGGGGGTTGGGAGACAGGCATGCAATTTATTGACCCTCTGGAAACTGAAAGTAGTTCATTATGGCTAGAACATAAATTGTAAGGTAGCGATGGTGAGAGGTGAAAATGGAGAAGTACACACAGAAATATGTCTACTCAACTTGGTGCAGTAACACCATGCTTTCATCTACTCCTTTTCCTCCACACACAGAGAAATGATGGCTAAAAAATAGAGAAAACCAAAAAGACATAACCAGGCTCAAGAACAAAATGATCATTTTCATGGATCTAAAGTGGAACCAAACAGAAAGCATTCAGCAAGCCTGGAGCTACAAGCTCACTGTGGTCTCAGGCTCAAAAGCCAAGATTATTGTCTCCTGCAAGGTGAAAGGAATTACAGATGGTTCAGTTGAGGGCAGGAGCCAGACTTAGTGCTTGAAGCCAGGAACTCCTGAAAGGAGGCTGCATATAAACCGCTGCCAACCCACTACCTGGTAAAGTAGAAGAACAAAGGCACAGCCTTGGAGTCAGGAACCAAGCCAAGCAGCTGGCCATGTGATTTGGCCTGTGGCATCACTAGGAATAGGAGCATCAAGATGCCAGCTTTAGATCTAATTCTAGAATAGAGGTCTGGGGAGACACATGGAGGCAAAATCACTAAGCATGGAGGTAAAATCACTAAGCATGGAGGTGAGCCCAGAAGGAGTGAGAAAAAGAAAATAAACTAAAACAAAACAGGAAAAAGCAAATAAAAACGTTCCCTCAAAATGAGCCTGACCACCAAGTTTCAATCACATAAAAATATCTAATACTATGAAAGCTAGCCAACAAAACGGACACTCAGAGCATGTATTTACTCCAGATAAAAATAATTCTATGGAACTATCTGGCAAATATTTTTAAATTAAATATTTTTGAATTTGATATGCAATAAATGGATGCATAGCACCCATTTTGAAAGGACAAGAAATTAAGGAACAGATACAGGCTGAATTAAAAAACAGGTAAATATGAGAAAGAACTAACAAAAATTTGAAAAATAAAAATATGGTCATTGAAATCAAAAGATATATGGAGCTAATCAAAGTCAAAGAGAAAAAGTAGTGAATTAAAGGGATGTACTAAAGAATTCAGCCAGAGCGGGAGGAGCCAAGATGGCCGAATAGGAACAGCTCCGGTCTACAGCTCCCAGCGTGAGTGACGCAGAAGACGGGTGATTTCTGCATTTCCATGTGACGTACCGGGTTCATCTCACTAGGGAGTGCCAGACAGTGGGTGCAGGACAGTGGGTGCCGCACACCGTGCGCCAGCCGAAGCAGGAGAGGCATTGCCTCACTCGGGAAGCTCAAGGGATCAGGGAGGTCCCTTTCCTGGTCAAGGAAAGGGGTGACAAACGGCACCTGGAAAATCGGGCCACTCCCACCCGAATACTGCGCTTTTCCAACGAGCTTAGGAAATGGCGCACCAGGAGAATATATTCCGCACCTGGCTCGGAGGGTCCTACGCCCACGGAGTCTCACTGATTGCTAGCACAGCAGTCTGAGATCAAACTGCAAGGCGGCAGCAAGGCTGGAGGAGGGGCGCCCGCCATTGCCCAGGCTTGCTTAGGTAAACACAGCAGCCAGGAAGCTTGAACTGGGTGGAGCCCACCACAGCTCAAGGAGGCCTGCCTGCCTCTGTAGGCTCCACCTCTGGGGGCAGGGCACAGACAAACAAAAAGACAGCAGTAACCTCTGCAGACTTAAATGTCCCTGTCTGACAGCTTTGAGGAGAGCAATGGTTCTCCCAGCACGCAGCTGGAGATCTGAGAACAGGCAGACTGCCTCCTCAAGTGGGTCCCTGACCCCTGACCCCTGACCCCCAAGCAGCCTAACTGGGAGGCACCCCCCAGTAGGGGCAGACTGACACCTCACAGGGCCAGGTACTCCTCTGAGACAAAACTTCCAGAGGAACGATTAGACAGCAGCATTCGCGGATCACGAAAATCCCCGATTCTGCAGACTCTGCTGCTGATACCCAAGCAAACAGGGTCTGGAGTGGACCTCTAGCAAACTCCAACAGACCTGCAGCTGAGGGTTCTGTCTGTTAGAAGGAAAACTAACAAACAGAACGGACATCCACACCAAAAACCCATCTGTACATCACCATCATCAAAGACCAAAAGTAGATAAAACCACAAAGATGGGGAAAAAACAGAGCAGAAAAACTGGAAACTCTAAAAAGCAGAGCGCCTCTCCTCCTCCAAAGGAACGCAGTTCCTCACCAGCAACAGAACAAAGCTGGATGGAGAATGACTTTGACGAGTTGAGAGAAGAAGGCTTCAGACGATCAAACTACTCCCAGCTACAGGAGGAAATTCAAACCAAAGGCAAAGAAGTTGAAAACTTTGAAAAAAATTTAGACGAATGGCTAACTGGAATAACCAATACAGAGAAGTGCTTAAAGGAGCTGATGGAGCTGAAAGCCAAGGCTCGAGAACTACGTGAAGAATGCAGAAGCCTCAGGAGCCAATGCAATCAACTGGAAGAAAGCGTATCAGTGATGGAAGATGAAATGAATGAAATGAAGTGAGAAGGGAAGTTTAGAGAAAAAAGAATAAAAAGAAACGAACAAAGCCTCCAAGAAATATGGGACTATGTGAAAAGACCAAATCTGCATCTGATTGGTGTACCTGAAAGTGACGGGGAGAATGGAACCAAGTTGGAAAACATTCTGCAGGATATTATCCAGGAGAACTTCCCCAATCTAGCAAGGCAGGCCAACATTCAGATTCAGGAAATACAGAGAATACCACAAAGATACTCCTCGAGAAGAGCAACTCCAAGACACATAATTGTCAGATTCACCAAAGCTGAAATGAAGGACAAAATGTTAAGGGCAGCCAGAGAGAAAGGTTGGGTTACCCACAAAGGGAAGCCCATCAGACTAACAGCGGATCTCTCAGCAGAAACTCTACAAGCCAGATGAGAGTGGGGGCCAATATTCAACATTCTTAAAGAAAAGAATTTTCAACCCAGAATTTCATATCCAGCCAAACTAAGCTTCATAAGTGAAGGAGAAATAAAATACTTTACAGACAAGCAAATGCTGAGAGATTTTATCACCACCAGGCCTGCCCTACAAGAGCTCCTGAAGGAAGCACTAAACATGGAAAGGCACAACCGGTACCAGCCGCTGCAAAATCATGCCAAAATGTAAAGACCATCAAGACTAGGAAGAAACTGCATCAACTAACAAGCAAAATAACCAGCTAACATCATAATGACAGGAGCAAATTCACACATAACAATATTAACTTTAAATGTAAATGGACTAAATGCTCCAATTAAAAGACACAGACTGGCAAATTGGATAAAGAGTCAAGACCCATCACTGTGCTGTATTCAGGAAACCCATCTCACATGCAGAGACACACATAGGCTCAAAATAAAAGGATGGAGGAAGATCTACCAAGCAAATGGAAAACAAAAAAAGGCAGGGGTTGCAATCCTAGTCTCTGATAAAACAGACTTTAAACCAACAAAGATCAAAAGAGACAAAGAAGGCCATTACATAGTAAAGGGATGAATTCAACAAGAAGAGCTAACTATCCTAAATATATATGCACCCAATACAGGAGCACCCAGATTCATAAAGCAAGTCCTGAGTGACCTACAAAGAGACTTAGACTCCCACACAATAATAATGGGAGACTTTAACACCCCACTGTCAACATTAGACAGATCAACAAGACAGAAAGTTAACAAGGATACCCAGGAATTGAACTCAGCTCTGCACCAAGCGGACCTAATAGATATCTACAGAACTCTCCACCCCAAATCAACAGAATATACATTTTTTTCAGTACCACACCACACCTATTCCAAAATTGACCACATAGTTGGAAGTAAAGCTCTCCTCAGCAAATGTAAAAGAACAGAAATTATAACAAACTGTCTCTCAGACCACAGTGCAATCAAACTAGAATTCAGGACTAAGAAACTCACTCAAAACCGCTCAACTACATGGAAACTAAACAACCTGCTCCTGAATGACTACTGGGTACATAATGAAATGAAGGCAGAAATAAACATGTTCTTTGAAACCAAGGAGAACAGAGACACAACATACCAGAATCTCTGGGATGCATTCAAAGCAGTGTATAGAGGGAAATTTATAGCACTAAATGCCCACAAGAGAAAGCAGGAAAGATCCAAAATTGACACCCTAACATCACAATTAAAAGAACTAGAAAAGCAAGAGCAAACACATTCAAAAGCTAGCAGAAGGCAAGAAATAACTAAGATCAGAGCAGAACTGAAGGAAATAGAGACACAAAAAATCCTTCAAAAAATTAATGAATCCAGGAGCTGGTTTTTTGAAAGGATCAACAAAATTGATAGACCGCTAGCAAGACTAATGAAGAAAAAAAGAGAGAAGAATCAAATAGACGCAATAAAAAATGATAAAGGGGATATCACCACCAATCCCACAGAAATACAAACTACCATCAGAGAATACTACAAACCCCTCTATGCAAATAAACTAGAAAATCTAGAAGAAATGGATAAATTCCTCGACACATACACTCTCCCAAGACTAAACCAGGAAGAAGTTGAATCTCTGAATAGACCAATAACAGGATCTGAAATTGTGGCAATAATCAATAGCTTACCAACAAAAAAGAGTCCAGGACCAGATGGATTCACAGCCGAATTCTACCAGAGGTACAAGGAGGAACTGGTACCATTCCTTCTGAAACTATTCCAATCAATAGAAAAAGAAGGAATCCTCCCTAACTCATTTTATGAGGCCAGCATTATCCTTATACCAAAGCCGGGCAGAGACACAACCAAAAAAGAGAATTTTAGACCAACATCCTTGATGAACACTGATGCAAAAATCCTCAATAAAATACTGGCAAACCAAATCCAGCAGCACATCAAAAAGCTTATCCACCATGATCAAGTGGGCTTCATCCCTGGGATGCAAGGCTGGTTCAATATACGCAAAGCAATAAATGTAATCCAGCATGTAAAGAGAACCAAAGACAAAAACCACATGATTATCTCAATAGATGCAGAAAAGGCCTTTGACAAAATTCAACAACCTTCATGCTAAAAACTCTCAATGAATTAGGTATTGATGGGATGTATCTCAAAATAATAAGAGCTATCTATGACAAACCCACAGCCAATATCATACTGAATGCGCAAAAACTGGAAGCATTCCCTTTGAAAACTGGCACAAGACAGGGATGCCCTCTTTCACCATTCCAATTCAACATAGTGTTGGAAGTTCTGGCCAGGGCAATCAGGCAGGAGAAGGAAATAAAGGGTATTCAATTAGGAAAAGAGGAAGTCAAATTGTCCCTGTTTGCAGACGACATGATTGTATATTTAGAAAACCCCATTGTCTCAGCCCAAAATCTCCTTAAGCTGATAAGCAACTTCAGCAAAGTCTCAGCATACAAAATCAATGTACAAAAATCACAAGCATTCTTATACACCAATAACAGACAAACAGAGAGCCAAATCATGAGTGAACTCCCATTCACAATTGCTTCAAAGAGAATAAAATACTTAGGAATCCAACTTAAAAGGGACGTGAAGGACCTCTTCAAGGAGAACTACAAACCACTGCTCAATGAAATAAAAGAGGATACAAACAAATGGAAGAACATTCCATGCTCATGGGTAGGAAGAATCCATATTGTGAAAATGGCCATACTGCCCAAGGTAATTTATACATTCAATGCCATCCCCATCAAGCTACCAGGGACTTTCTTCACAGAATTGGAAAAAACTACTTTAAAGTTCACATGGAACCAAAAAAGAGCCCGCATCGCCAAGTCAATCCTAAGCCAAAAGAACAAAGCTGGAGGCATCACGCTACCTGACTTCAAACTATACTACAAGGCTACAGTAACCAAAACAACATGGTACTGGTACCAAAACAGAGATATAGATCAATGGAACAGAACAGAGCCCTCAGAAATAACGCCGCATATCTACAACTATCTGATCTTCGACAAACCTGAGAAAAACAAGACATGGGGAAAAGATTCCCTATTTAATAAATGGTGCTGGGTAAACTGGCTAGCCATATGTAGAAAGCTGAAACTGGATCCCTTCCTTACACCTTATACAAAAATTAATTCAAGATGGATTAAAGACTTAAATGTTAGACCTAAAACCATAAAGACCCTAGAAGAAAACCTAGGCATTACCATTCAGGACATAGGCATGGGCAAGGACTTCATGTCTAAAACACAAAAAGCAATGGCAACAAAAGCCAAAATTGACAAATGGGATCTCATTAAACTAAAGAGCTTCTGCACAGCAAAAGAAACTACCGTCAGAGTGAATGAGCAACCTACAAAATGGGAGAAAATTTTCGCAACCTACTCATCTGACAAAGGGCTAATATCCAGAATCTACAATGAACTCAAACAAATTTACAAGAAAAAAACAAACAACCCCATCAAAAAGTGGGCGAAGGATATGAACAGACACTTCTCAAAAGAAGACATTTATGCAGCCAAAAGACACATGAAAAAATGCTCATCATCATTGGCCATCAGAGAAATGCAAATCAAAACCACAATGAGATACCATCTCACACCAGTTAGAATGGCAATCATTAAAAAGTCAGGAAACAACAGGTGCTGGAGAGGATGTGGAGAAATAGGAACATTTTTACACTGTTGGTGGGACTGTAAACTAGTTCAACCATTGTGGAAGTCAGTGTGGCAATTCCTCAGGGATCTAGAACTAGAAATACCATTTGACCCAGCCATCCCATTACTGGGTATATACCCAAAGGACTGTAAATCATGCTGCTATAAAGACACATGCACACGTATGTTTATTGTGGCACTATTCACAATAGCAAAGACCTGGAACCAACCCAAATGTCCAACAATGATAGACTGGATTAAGAAAATGTGTCACATATACACCATGGAATACTATGCAGCCATAAAAAATGATGAGTTCATGTCCTTTGTAGGGACATGGATGAAATTGGAAATCATCATTCTCAGTAAACTATCGCAAGGACAAAAAAACAAACACCGCATGTTCTCACTCATAGATGGCAATTGAACAATGAGAACACATGGACACAAGAAGGGGAACATCACACTCTGGGGACTGTTGTGGGGTGGGGGGAGGGGGAAGGGATAGCATTAGGAGATATACCTAATGCTAAATGATGAGTTAATGGGTGCAGCACAGCAGCATGGCACATGTATACATATGCAACTAACCTGCACATTGTGCACATGTACCCTAAAAGTTATAGTATAATAATAATAATAAAAAAAAGAAAAGAAACAATAGTGAAATAAAAAAAATAAAAAAAAAAAGAATTCACCCAGAACAGAGTTTAGAAAAATAAAGGGATTTTTAAATGTGAAAGAAAAGTTCAGATTCCTGGGGTTAGATTGAGTGGCTCCAACATATGTGTAATAGAAGTTCTGGAAGGAAACACTGAAAGGAAGAGTAGAGAAGAAAAAGAAATGGCTGGCCAGGTGCGGTGGCTCAGGCCTATAATCCCAGCACTTTGGGAGGCTGAGGCGGGTGGATCACCAGTTTGAAACCAGCCTGACCAACATGGTAAAAAACCCTCTCTACTAAAAATACACAGAATTAGCTGGGCATGGTGGCTTGAACCCAGGAGACGGAGGTTGCATTGAGCCGAGATCATGCCATTGCACTCCAGCCTGGGCGACAAAAGTGAAATTCCGTCTTAAAAAAAAAACAAAGGAAGAGAGAATTGGCTGAGGTTTTCTAATGAAAACATCAGAACATCACGTGTACTGAGCACACAGATAAAGATAAACTAACACTTTTGTCACATTATAGTGAAAGTACAGAACAAAAAAGATAAAGATAAAATCACAAGTTACCAAAGGGAAAAAATACTGATTATCTACGAAGGAACTATAACTAGATTCCTCAAAAGCAACAATAGAAACAAGAAGACAACTAAATGATAGAAGTGCTGAATGAAACACTATCAACCAAGAAATTGATTTCCAGATAAACTACCATTTAAGGGAGAGGACAAAACAGATATTTTCAATCATGAAAGACTAAGGGAGCTTACTGCCAACAGACTGATGCCCAAAGAACTGCTAAAGAAAAATAAGCCCAGAGGGAAAACATATAAGAGATACTTGTGAGGGAAGAAATTAAAATATGTGGTAGAATTAAAAATAATAACCACTTTTTGTTTAAAAAAATAACAAGAGGGAAGGAAGTGTAAAATGGGTAAAGTAAGCTAAGGACTTTGTCATATTTGTTTGGAAGAGGGCTAGAAATAATTACTTTGTCTGAATACTTTGGTTTTTGTTTTGTTTTGTTTTTTTTGTTTTGTTTTGTTTTGTTTTTTAGAGACAAGATCTCACTATGTTGCCCACACTGGCTCGGAACTCCTGGGCTCAAGGGGTCCTCTGCCTCAGCCTCCAAAGTAGCTGGGATTACAGGAACATGCCACACTGTGCGTAGCTTCTCTGAATACTTTGTACTTAAGATAGTTTATATTAATAAAATATCATCTAGAGCTTCTAAATAAGCAGAGAGGAAAGAGTGGCCAAGTGTTGGGGAGATCCGATATAGAAAACTGATAACTTAACGGAAAGCAGAAAAAGTTTTAAAAAATTAAGTTATAGGCCAGGCGCAGTGGCTCACGCCTGTAATCCCAGCACTTTGGGAGGCGGAGGCGGGTGAATCACGAGGTCAGGAGATCAAGATCACCCTGGCTAACATGGTGAAACCCTGTCTCTACTAAAAATACAAAAAAAAAGTTAGCCGGGCGTGGTGGCAGGTGCCTGTAGTCCCAGCTACTTGAGAGGCTGAGGCAGGAGAATGGTGTGAACCCGGGAGGCGGAGCCTGCAGTGAGCTGAGATTGTGCCACTGCACTCCAGCCTGGGCAACAGAGCAAGACTCCATCTCAAAAAATAAAAAATAAAAGTTATAGCAAAGAAAACAAATATACGAACAAAGTAGAATTAATTTCAAATCTGTATTAATAAGCACAATAACTAAACAGACTTGAATTACTTTTAAAAGACAGAGATTATCAGCTTGGCTTAAAGCACCACAAAATTAGGCCAGGTGTGGTGGCTCACACCTGGAATCCCAGCACTTTGGGAGGCTGAGACAGGTAGATCACTTGAGCCCAGGAATTCAAGAGCAGCCTGGGCAACATGGCAAAAACCCATCTCCACAAACAATACGAAAGTTAGCCTGGTGTGGTGGCACACACCTGTAGTTCCAGCTACTTGGGAGGCTGAATGAGAGAATCACTTGAGCCCAGGAGGTTGAGGCTGCCACTGTACTCCAGCCTGGGAGACAGAGCAAGACCCTGTCTCAAAAAAAAAAAACCCCACAAAACTAAACAAAAAGACTTAATATGAGAGAATAAAAAGAGATGAGTTATCGAAATACACACAAAAAGAAAGCTGATGAAACATTACTAATATCAGACAAAAAATAGTCTTTTAAATCAAATGTATTAATAGAAATAGAGGGTCACTACCAAGAAGTTTAAGGTACCTAACAATACAGCTTTCCATTATAGAAAACAAAACCTCTAGAATTACCAAGATAAATTGACAAGCCCACCATATGAATGAGAGATTTTAACAATCAGAAACAGCTAGATCAAGCAGACAAAAAGCACGTAATAGTGAATTGAATCATATAGGGCCTGAAAGAGGCCACATTAAGTAGTTGGGTTTTATTTTGAGAGCAGTAGGAAGCCATTAAAGGGTTTTTAAGCAGAGGAATGATTAGATCAGATATGCATTTTTAGAAGAGTCACTCTGGCTGTAAAATGGAAAAGGACTTCAGGGTGGTCAGACTACATAAAGGCAGAGAAACCCGTTAGAAAACTTCCTGTCATCTAGCATGGAAATATTAATGGCCTGAACTATAGCAGTATTATTGGCAAAGAAAGAGCAGGCATTTAAAGAAGCATTCAGATAATGTAGTTGATTGGATGGCAGCAGAGGGGATCAAAGATAACATACGTAGTTCTCCCCTAGACAACTTGATACATGGCATTGTGGAGGAAAAGCACATGTGGTGGGTAGGGGAGAGAAGAAGATATTGCTTCCCTTGTTTTTGATTAGAGCACTTAACTGCTAGTCCCTCAATTCTGACATTCAAACTTGTTCATTAAAAAGTTAAATTATATTCAGTACACAAGGAGTATGTAAATCAATTTTTAAAAATATCTATCTAAAAGCATTCTATTTTAAACTACTGATGCTTAGGGGATTTTTCAGTAATCTAGAGGAAATCACACCTTAAGAATGTCAGAAGCATGTACGTTCTAAATACTTTTTCAAGTAACAATGATAGTTCTTTATGATTAGATTTTTATTGCAGTTTTTTTTTTTTTAATGGAGTCTCACTTTGTCACCTAGGCTGGACAGTGGTACCATCTCAGCTCATTGCAACCTCTGCCTCCTGGGTTCAAGCGATTCTCCTGCCTCAGCCTCCTGAGTAGCTGGGATTAAAGGTGCCCACCACCCCGCCTGGCTAATTTTTGTATTTTTAGTAGAGACAGGGTTTCACCGTGTTGGCCAGGCTGGTCTCAAACTCCTGACCTCAGGTGATCCACCTACCTCGCCCTCCCAAAGTGCTGGGATTAACAGGCATGAGCCTCCGCACCTGGCCAGCTTTTCTTACTTTCCTATACATAATGGATTTTCAAACACTCCTAAATGCTTAACTACTGAGGTAATAAACCAGCCATGACTGCTTTCCTTTGTGTACAGCTGCTGTTAGGATCAAGTAAATCCAATCTGTTGACCTGTGATTTCTTACAGTCACAGATTTCATAGCACATACATTCCCTTCTTTTTCTTAGTTGCTATTAATTACTTTAAACTAATGTTTGAGTTTACAATGTGTGTTTATCCTTCAGAAGTGATTTTGCATTGACTGGAGTTAGGGAGTTGGGTACATATTATACATCCAAACTGAGGTTACTTATAAATGCTGGAAATTAAGGAGCTATTATTCCAAAGGTACTTTACTTATTATCTTCCAGCATGAAGAAGGTTTAAAGGACTTACAGATTTCTAATTATTAATTTTAAGGTTTTGTATTTATTTTATAGCAATTCCAAAATGCAAATGAGATATAGATTTTAAAGTTCCAAATGTGTTGTGCAACTGCAGCCTATTAGGCTAAAAAGTTGAGTAAAGTTTTAGCCTGTAATGCAGAACAGGACTGCTCAAATAGCCACAAAACCTTTTGGTTTGGTTTAATTCCCATTAAAGGGAATTTGTTTGGAAGTCTGCAGACTGGAAGTTTCCTGGTAGTAATAGAGCTATAATGAGATGTTTGACTCTAGTAATGCCTCTTGAATGATGATAAAGATGTGTTTTGAAAAGACAAAATCTTTTTGTATCTGACTTTTAATGTTAACACTTAGTCGAGGACTGATATTGCATTAAATTTCACACACAGAGTCCACTATTTGTTATGAACCATTATCATATAATTTTGCTCCAGATCATATTGCTTCTTCAATTGCAGCCCTTTCCATTGAAGGGTGGTGCAAGCGAAATAGCAAGGTGGGCTCTTCTCCTTTAGTGACAATCGTTAGATTTTGTCACCCAACCCAAAACATCGTTTCATTCTCATCTGCTACATAGGCATCACTCCCTTAATGGAGACTTACTAAAAACACAGAGGTGCTGCTATCAAGATGTTGTAGTTTTCTTCTTCTCTATAATGTAAGCTGAAAGAGCAGGTGCACTATGCTTCTCTGGTATTTTTCAAAATTATAATCACTTAATGGTTTTAAACAGCACGGACAAAATTAGGCCAAGAGAATTAAATTATAGTTCTTTACCTTTCCAGTTGAGCCAGAAATGTATTACAGTTGAGTTGTTTTTGTTTTTATGTTTTTTGGTAATTTTTCCTTCTAATCTTCATGCTTCCTAGAAATGTATATGCAAGAAAGGAAGGAAGGAGGAGAGTGATGCACCAGTGGATGTGAATAATACACAAGATTTACACACACTAAGACAGATTCATCAAGATTCAAAGATAGAATCAGCATCCAACAGGAAAAAAAAATTATTGCATTTCCTCAGAAGCAATGTTAGTCATAATAACATAACATATAACACAATAACAAGTAACTTAGGAAGATCTTTTAGTGCTTTCTCTTATTTTTCAGCAAGATATTCACGAGGTCCCCACAAGATGATGACTATCTTTTTTTCTATCAATTTAGGTAAAACAAAGACTCCTCAAATGTCTGTCTTGCTATTTCATACAAAGTTGTTTTCTACATCTAAACCAAACCTCTCTTCTGCCTTAACTTCTCTATCTACTGATTTCTGTAGGCAACAGGGAAATGGGTTAGTCACAGCGGCTCCTGGGCATCAGGTTCACTTAGGGTAATGTAATAGTAGAAGAAGAAATTAATTCTACTGTATATATAAAAGCAGAGCTGGGGACTCCAAGGTAACCAATCAAACTATGCAAGGCATAAAGATAGAAAAAGGAATATTGGGGAGCAATCTAAATGCAACCTGTAGGGAAGATGAACCAAGGGGCACAGAGCTGAGAGTCAATTATGGGTGAGGGACACAGAGAGAACTAACTTAAGCCAGGTCATAACTTCCTATAAAAGATGGGTCTCTTGATGATGCTGAGGCTGGGAACTATAGACCCCCAAATATGCTTATTTCTAATTAAATTACCAAATAGGAAGCAATTAAATCCCAAGACTTCATGGAAGCATTCATTCATTCTACTAATTTAATTTGTTATCATTATCATTATTGATGTCACGCATTCTTTACCTTTCACAGGCAGGTAAAAGACCTCCATCCAATTAACCCATTCCAGGGGTTCTCAGTGCTATCTGTGTATCATAATCACCCATGGAGTTTGTTTTGTTTTGTTTTGCTTTTAAATCTGCATGCCTCAGCTTCTTCCCTAAGCTACTAAATTAGGATCTCCTGGGGTAGCACCTGGTCATATAATGAACCCTAAGGTGCTTCATTAGGAACAAAAGACTGCCACAGTGTCACTGCCATTCACCTTTGGCTGAGCCTTTATGGAGCTCTCTCTGCAGGGGAGCCAGGATTCAGGCTTGGGAGAAAAACAAACAAAACAATCCACCTACAGGCAGTGACTCCACTGCCGTGATAGATCACAAGGTTTGAGTGGGGTGCCTTTGCTTACTGCTCCATTGAAGGTAACCAGCTTTACAACATCTGGTTGTTTGGCAAAGGGATAGAGGTAATGAGTCAAAAGCACTGGGGGCGGATGTGGTAGGTTTATTTCTGAGATTGCCCATAAATGGTCTTGATTCATATGTACCAGAGAACAGAACTGTGGCTTTATCTTTCATAATTTATGTAAATGATTTCCATGAACTTTTAAAAGTTCTAAATTTTCAGCAATGATGGGAGGAGAGGTATGGTCTGGGGTAGAGGACTACGAATAAGAGCACAGACTCTAGGCCCACACTGCTCTGAGAGTAAGTGCTGACTGTAGTACCTACTTGCTGCGTGAGCATAGATATCTTAAATTCTTTGTGCTTCAATTTCCTCATCTGCAGCATTAGGAGTAATTGCTCCTACCTGATAGGATTATTATGAAGACATAATGAGTCTGGACCTCACCAGCTCAAGAAAATAGTCTGGCACAAAAGTGTTAGGTGTACAGAGCCAAATGATGTTATTAGGAGAGATATTTTAACCCCTCTGGGACACCAGGATCCCACAGTGGACCTCCATATGCATCTACACATACACATATGCTATGTCTTTTTTTTTTTTTTTTTTTTTTTGAGAAGGAGTCTTGCTCTGTCGCCCAGGCTGGAGTGCAGTGGCACAATCTCGGCTCACTGCAACCTCTGCCTCCTGGGTTCAAGCGATCCTTCTGCCTCAGCCTCCAGAGTAGCTGGGACTACAGGCACCCACCACCATGCCCGGGTATGTTTTGTGTTTTTAGTAGAGACGGAGTTTCACCATATTGGCCAGTCGGGTCTCGGCTATGTCTTACTTGATGTGTTGGGACCCAGTCAGAGCTGCCCCTCAGCTCACGTTGGGGCACAGGAACATGAAACAAACCTGGAGGAGCCTTAAGTCCCACTCCTTTTTGGAAAACTCTAATCAGAGAAATGAACATCATCATCCCCAGAGCTTATTATTACTGCTTTGCAAAATATTCGAGAGTCTGACAGCACAATTCCTCAAATAAATTCAAATTCAACCTAACACTCCCCAGACAGACATAGTGGGTTTCTGCGCTGAGAGACCACAGTATTCTGCCTGTGCCCTTATTTATCACATAACACTTAGCACTATAGCAAACTCCTTGCGCTTCCCCCAAAGTGCCTTGCTCTTTTGTACCCCTGGGCCTTTGCAGAGGCTGTTCTTTCTGCCTGGGATGACTGTGTCACCCCACACCCTCTACATTGTGACATGGAGTTGCAATTGCCTACGTGCTTCTCAGCCTTCCACTCAGCCTTGCTAGCCTCACAGGCTAGCAGCTCTGTGAGGTCCAGGATGGGGTCGGTGTCACTGACCTTTATCCCCTCAGCACCTAGTACAGTGAACAACACATAAGAGGCAATCCAAAAATATCTGAGGAGCAAATAGGTAGATAGCTCTAACTATTGATGGATTAGGACTCTGCCACTTGAAGCTGTTAACTTAAAACAGGCTACTTCTCTGATCCTCAGTAAAGTAGAGCTAAAATAACTGTCTTGTAGGTTTTTGTAACGACCAAAATAGTATGAGTAAAGCAGCTGGCAGAGTTAGCGTTAATAGTCAGTACATGTTTTATAAAGCAGCATAGCCAAGTGCAACCAAACCTTTCAATTTCCTAATTGTGTCCCTTTTCTTATTTAATAAAAATGGATGTTACAACTATAATTGTAGCTATCAAAACCCCAGAAAACAGGGGAGACAGGATGAAAGGTCAGTGGTTACTGCTCTGCAATGCTCTCAGGTAGACATTTATTAATACTGATTGATATTCATTAGACAACTTATAGAGACCAGGCAGAGCATAAAGGGAAAATCCCCAACTGATAGCTCAGCCTGCCTTCATGCCAGCTCCTCCACACAGAAATTAACCCAACACAAAAATCAACATTTGCAGGACCAAAGTAAAAGATATAATTTAAAGTCCAGCTGCACGTGCCTATCTACTTGCTGAAGGAAGAACTTAGGCACAAGGACAAAATAACTGTCAGTCTCATCCCAGATGCCATTTAAAAAACCCATATCTATTTGCTTTTTTTTTATTTTTTTATTTTTTTATTTAAGACAGGGTCTTGCTCTGCTGCCCATACTGGAGTGCAGTGGCATGATCACGGCTCACTGCAGCCTCAACCTCCACAGCTCAAGCGATCCTCCCACCTCACACCCCCAAGTACCTGGGACTACAGGCTCATGCCACCACATCTGGCTAATTAAAAAAAAATTTTTTTTTGGTTGGCATGGGGTCTCACTATATTATCCAGGTCTCAAACTCCTGGGCTCAAGCAATCCTCCTGCCTTGGCCTCCCAGAGTCCTAGAATTACAGGTGTGAGCAACTGTACCTGGCTTCTACTTGCTTGTGATGATAATATTTAACATTATTTTATGCCAGGCAATTTATATACATTGTCTCTTTGGATTTTCAGAACATAGTTATTTCCATTCTAGAGAGAAGGAAACTTGGGGCTGTCACAGAAACTGTAGAGTTCTAGAAATATGCCCACAATCAATTGGTCAGTAGGAAACCAGCTTGCCTAGCCATACAGCCTGAACTCATAACCACTGCACTGAACTCACCTCCCAAGATGCCAGCCTTCTCTCCCACTGGCAAGGCAGGTCTGCCCCCTCTCTGCCCTCCAGCTTCCCATCATTCTGACTCTCATTCTGAAGTCTGGTTTCCTGAGGTTGAGCTCCTCTAGTCCCTGAGTTAAGCAGCATCTCTCTCAGTCTGATTAATCCGGGTGATATTTACTGCTGGCTCACAAGACATCTGGACTGTAGGGAACCAGGCCCTTGCCCTTCTCGCAGTGAAGACAATGCAGTGATTACATGGCAGGATCACACAGGGTGTCCCCATCTCTGCTTATTTAGGCACCCAGGCCCCAGCGAGCCCCCTCACTAAGGAAGCACAGCCACTCAGGAGATGCAAGAGACTACTAACTGGCAATATGAGCTTACGGTGGGAAAGAGAGCCAGGAATAAGGCAGGTTATTAGGGGCATGTGTTCACTGCATTGGGGCTAAATGATGTGGATTCTGTTAGGTAGCAAGCTGCCACTTCCATTCCAGTTGCGCTTGTATCTTTCTCACTTTGAAGTGCGGCCTCTCTCCATCTCCCACCTGTGAGGAAAGGTGCTCTGGGCTTTAAATTGCAAATAATGGATATCTTGTACTGCAGAAAATACCAGTAGTCCTAATTAAGAGACCTTAGAACATCACAACAATCTTATTTCCTCATACCACATCCAAAACATGTTTAAAAGGATACTACTCTCTGGAATGACAAAATTATAAAGTTTACACCCATTTGAATGCTATTTTTTAAAAAATGAGCATAATGAGGTCTATTCTCTAAGTGTTGACCATTTATTCTCCACACACTCCCTCCACCACTGCCCTAGTCCCTCACAGATAAGAGGATGAAGAATGGCCATATAGTGTTGTTTAGAATACTCTCAAACCCGCATTTGGTACTGATTCGGCAGGTGGAATGTTTATTTACTAAGAAAACCCTGTTTCACTCCAATACATTCCCTTGGTTCTATTTCCTAGAATGAGCAGGAGAAAATGAAAAATAAAATATCACTGCATTTCCCATTTTCATTTTTCTGCATGAGGTTAGCAGAGAAGAGAATCTGCTTTTCAAAGCAATTGCATCTGTGGCAACTGGTTGGAGTCTGAGACTGTCGGTCCCCAGCTGGTCTCAAGGTAGTCACTGAAGCAGTGAGCTGTGCCTAAGACCTTTGCCTGATTTAGCTGTTATTCTAGAGAGAAAACCCACACAAGAAAAGATCACGGAAGAGGCACTGGCAGCAGATTTTTTCAGGGAAGAGGATGGTGATGGGAATGGGGTTGCAGAGATTGAGGATTTTAATCACAGATTTTTTTCCTAAAGAATTTTGCGGTGGCAAAATGAGCTAGAAGATAGGTTGGTATTGATATTGCTAGATCCAAGAGGTAATAGAAACATGTCCCTCACCCTCTCCTACACACATACCCACCTCCCTCCAACACCCAGCTATTTCTGCCCTAGGTTTTGCTTTCGCTTTGGAGGAATATTTTTCTTATGTCAGGTGTATAAATATAACTATGAAACACTGCCTGTTTCTCTCATCCCACAGTGAAGCTACCTTCATGCTGAAACAAAAGAAAACTTGATTATTGTGTTTATTACTCCCAAAGGTATATTAAGATTAGTTGCTGAATTTAGTATTTTTTTTTGAGTCTTCATAAAAATAAGCCCCATTTAGCCAGGATACAGCTCTTAATTGAAGTAAATCCTATCTTGCCTAAAGTAATGAAAGACAAGTGAGTCCATAAGTTTGACTTCCCCTATTTAAAATTCTTCTGTATCCACAAAGTGTACATAAATCTTTATGGAATGACCTATTAACTGCCTGCTGCTGGGACCAAGCTTTGGACTTTGTTTCAGTTATAAAATAAGGTCACTCTGCTTTTGGTAAAAATTGATGTAGCTGCTTTGATAATTAAAACCTACGGAGTCGTGAAGAGCTGATATATTTAAACCTCTAAAAAATAATGTAGAAGCTATAAAATTGCAAAAGGAGAAGGCATAAAGGTCCCCTATGGCTGCTCATCAGATTAAATATTAGTAATAGGGTATTTATGTCACTCTTTAATAAAAAATTTCCAGGAAATTTTTGAAAACTTTAAATTCAAGTCCTGAACCACCTCTCAGCTGGCTCCATTATATAAGATCACCTACAGAGGGGGCTACATTTCTGAGGGTATCATTTAAATAAATACATAACATAAATTCACTGATGCTGCCAGTTGAGGAGCCAAGACTCAAAGTGAATCATCCTGGCCCTTAATGTGGGTTTTTACCCATAGATGTATCTACACCTTGCAAGCTCGTATGCCCCAACCCACTATGTGGGTTCTATCTTTTTTTCTGCTGTAATTAGAGCAAGTAGCTTCTGGCTTAAGTGTGAGAAATCCACCTCAGGAAGCGCTACCTAAAAATGAAATCCAACAAATGCTTGGGCAAGTTAATTAATCTTTTTGTGTCTCAATTTCTTCCTTTCTAGAATGGGACAGATGAAGATAATAAGTACAGGTAATAATGAAATTGATCATGATAATGATAGGCATCTTGTATCAATACATGTCACTTTTTTCCTTGCCCGCTCCTCAACATTTGTCTCCTAGTCTCCCTCCATGCCTATCATTTAATCTCGTGATTGTAGTGCGTCATCCCATGTAATTCTGCCTACAGGAAGAGAGTATACTGGTGGTACCAGCAACTGCATTCTTTCCGGTTCACATGGCAGTAATGCTTCTGACAACAAACAAACCAGCTTACTGGTTTAGAATTCAGTCTCCTATGGGTTTGATCAGAGTACTTCGGTTGACTTGGATTGCAACATTCTGGGACATTGACAAGCTAGGGACAGATCATATAACCTGGGGACTTCATGAAGTAAGGTCACCTGTGAGGTTTCTGAGGCCATAGTCAGCCTCTTCTCCCCTGACAACACACACTAGCTTCAACACATGCTCATTTTAAATGTCAGCCTCACTTACTGGCTGTGTGGGCTTGAGCAAGTCATTTAATCTTGCTGAGCCTGTTAACTCCTCTGTAAAGTCTACTTGCCTTACGGAGTCATGGTGAAGGTCAGTGGGGATGTGAGAATACTCTATAGACTGTAACATACTATATAAATGTAAAATATTATTCTAAAATTATTTTACATTAAAATCTAGCAAGTCTTATCATCAGTATGGTTCCCACTTCATTCTGTCAATGTGAGAACAAAAGAAAATTGAAAGGATTCAAAATTCAGAAAACCACATTTGTAACAGTACTTGAGAAACACTGTCTTGAAGCTTAAAAATACATTTATAAAGTTTATATTAGATACATTAATTATGTTATTACATGTTGATGTTTTTTATGCCCATGCGACTGTTAACAATCCAGACAGTGGAATGTTTACACCAATGAAACAGTTTTATGTTAATTAGCGTATGTGTAGCTTCTGGTGTGATCTGAACACAGCTTTCACCTTGAGCTTTATTGGTCTTCTATTTATTTACCTTGCCCCAATCATTAACAATTATTTTCTGAGGCATAAATGGCAACTATAGGAGCCCCAAGTGACCCATCTTTACTTTGCCGTAAACTAGATTATATAGAGGAATAGCTAAAAGCACTGAATACCAATGCCTTGGGTTTAGAATTTTATCACTCTCTCTGGCCACCGAACCTACCAGTTATAAATTACCTTTTATTGCCTTCTAGAAAAACAAATTAAGTACTGGGCAATTTAAATTCTACATGCAAAACAGCTATCTGAGAAGTAAAACTCAGCTGGACAAATGCGCATTTTTTAAATCATGGGCAAATGAAGAATATGTTTGTTTGAAAGTAGCTGAAATGCCTGACTCTCAGTCGGTCCTGTTCCTGCCACCAGCAGGTTCAGTTGTGTAATGATCTCATGATGCACACACGGAAGTGTCAGCCATTTCTCTCACACCTCCCCCATTTTCCCTCAAGAACAGAGGGCAGGGAGTAAACAGCTGATGTGGCCTACAGACTTAGCCCATGTGCTTATTTGGATAGCTTTCTGCATTTCTGTTCATGCTTATCTTGATTGGATGTGATGTCACTTCATATCCACTTTCAGTCTTTAATTAGCTTTGCTTCTTCCTTTTGTGAGCTGTCTTTGCTTACTTTCAAACATTGAGTTTATCCTCTCACCTTCTTTTATGTTTTGCCTTATGTTTGTGTATCTTTTGCTCCTGCCGTGTTGCTGCTTCTTAATTTTCCTAATCTGCTTTTTAGAGTTTTTAAATACCTTTTTTTCTCTGAGTTCCCATCTTATTTTCACTCCATTCCAGGTGGATGAGGTTTACATCACTCTAAGAGGGTCAAGAACTGTGTTTCCCACCGTATACAGAACACAAATCATGATTTGAGCCTAACTGACACTGGAGACGATTATCAGTGATACCCAGACAACAACATTAAATGGCATTGAATCACATAGTGAGAGAGTTATTCCCTTTCCACTTCTATCACACTCCTGCTCATTATTCCAAGGAGAAAGTTTCCATTTGGTCCTTGTATGGTCTATCACTTGCTAATCTCCCTTTTTAAAAGAGAGAAAAGGCCTCAGGCTGAGAGCCTTTGGCTTGTAATGGTATCTAGCTAGGGTTTTACAACACTGTTTTGGTTTTTATTATGTAAGTACTTGTTTTTATTGTTACCTCCTATTTATGGCAAATGATATTGGTTTTCTTTTACAGTCATGATATGAAGTTTCTTCCTTAAAAAAGTATATGTAAGTTTAAAATACTCACCAATTTAAGGAAAAACATTAAATACAAGGATGTGGCCAAAATCTTGAAGGTGGTAGTACTAGAACGTCAGAAGTTTGGGAAGTACCAGCCTGGAATCACTCCATCAACTTTGTTTTCGGTTTGTTTGTTTTTGAGACAATGTTTCATTCTCTCACCCAGGCTGGAGTGCAATGTTAAACTCACTGCAACCTCCGCCTCCTGGGTTCAAGCCATTCTCATGCCTCAGCCTCCCAAGTAGCTGGGATTACAGGTGTGCACCACCACGCCTGAGTAATGTTTGCATTTTTAGTAGAGATGGGGTTTTGCCATGTTGGCTGGGCTTATCTTGAACTCCTGACTTCAAGCAATCCACCCACCTCAGCCTCCCAAAGTGCTGGAACTACAGGTGTGAGACACCATGCCCCACCCCCTCCAACAGCTTTTGTTATCTTCCTATTGCTTTATAGCATTATATGTTATTTTAAAGCATACTTGCTAATAACATCTAGGCCTAGAGACAACTCATTCCACTTCCAAATTTTTCCAGTTGAAATTATACACAGATTATTTCATGGTCTTTTTTTATTCCCTTCAGTCATCATAAGGTTTTCACAGTCTCCTCAAAGAGACACTGATAATCAGTGATTGTCCATCAGGTTAATATTCTGGGGCAGGTATCGTGTACACTGATCTGGTTTAATTCATCTATTTAGAGTGCTAAAATGTACACCACTTTTTTCACCCATTTTTCCCCCCACTGCCATGAAGAGAAGGCATACAGGCCGTGAGACTTCAAAACTTTGTCATTTATCAATTAGGAATTAGTTCAGGTGATCTCATTTACCCAAGCAATACAATCTTTGCAAACTTTTCCCCTAGAGGGAAAAGGATCATGCAGCTCTGTTTTATGTTGTTTCCCTGAAGACCACTTAGTCTCATTGACAGAAAGGGAACATTTGTTTTTAGGGAATTATATTCCCCTTAATCTCTTTTTTCACCTAGCAGTGGAATGCTCTAATACTTCTAAGTTTACTCTTGGGGACCCAGTAGATGCCTTTGGGTCCTTCACAAGCCTATCTCCTGTAGGCTTTGGGCTGTAGGGGTGGGTGAAGAGAATGTCCAGATCTCTGTGATACCAACATGCTGCCCATAGTGTGGAGGAAGTACTTGTAATAAACTGGAGTAGGTTCTTATTCATGCAGCTCCTCCTTGTGTGTCCGGAATTTATTCCTTCCGGTGGGGTTTTGGTCTCGCTGACTTCAAGAATGAAGCTGCGGACCCTTGTGGTGAGTGTTACAGCTCTTAAAGATGGTGTGTCCGGAGTTTGTTCCTTCAGATGTTCAGATGTGTCCAGAGTTTCTTCCTTCTGGTGGGTTTGTGGTCTTGCTGACTTCAGGAATGAAGCCGCAAACCCTTGCGGTGAGTGTTACAGCTCATAAAGGTAGTGTAGACCCAAAGAGTGAGCAGCAGCAATATTTATTGTGAAGAGTGAAAGAACAAAGCTTCCACAGCGTGGAAGGGGACCTGAGCAGGTTGCTGCTGCTGGCCGGGGTGGCCAGCTTTTATTCCCTTATTTGGCCCTGCCCACATCCTGCTGATTGGTCCATTTTACAGAGCACTGATTGGTCCATTTACAATCCTTTAGCTAGACACAGAGCACTGATTGGTGCATTTACAATCCTCTAGCTAGACAGAAAAATTCTCCAAGTCCCCACTTGACCCAGGAAGTCCAGCTGGCTTCACCTCTCACTTGGTCCTATCTTTCCATTTCAAGCACACAGCCACTGACATCCACATCCACTTCTTCCCTTCCTTCTGGAAATTCAAGCCTTTGGAACCCTACCCACAGCTCCAAAGTGCATAAGGATGCTGCTTGTGATGGCTCATGCCTGTAATCCTAGCACCTTGGGAGGTTGAGGCAGGAGGATTGCTTAAGGCCGGGAGTTTGAGACCAGCCTGAGCAACAAAATAAGTTAAAAAAAAATTAGTGGCCAGGCACAGTGGCTCATGTCTGTAATTCCAGCACTTTGGGAGGCCGAGGTGGGTGAGGCAGGTGGATCACGAGGTCAGGAGATGGAGACCATTCTGGCTAACACGGTGAAACACCAACTCTACTAAAAAAATACAAAAAAAATTACTGGGGCGTGGTGGTGGGCACCTGTACTCCCAGCTACTCGGGAGGCTGAGACAAGAGAATGGCGTGAACCCGGGAGGCGGAGCTTGCCGTGAGCCGAGATCATGCCACTGCACTCCAGCCTGGGTGACAGAATGAGACTCTGTCTCAAAAAAAAAAACAAAACAAACAAAACAAAACAAAACAAAAAATTAGCTGGGCATGGTGGCACACACCTGTAGTCCCAGCTAATTGGGAGGCTGAGGCAGGAGGATTGCTTAAGCCCAGGAGATTGAGGCTGCAGTGAGCTGTGATTGTGCTGCTGCATTCCAGGCTGGGCAACAGAGCAAGACCCTGTCCTCCCACAAAAAATGCAGGTTGGGGTAACCTTTATGCTAAAACCACAAACCCTAATCCATCAGATTCTTGCAAAGGGAGGTAGGTCAGGTATGGGTCATGGGGAGACTGAGAAGAAATCATTGCTTGGGATCCACTCTCCTGCACTGCTTGAACACCAAATCTCTCCATGTTCTTTTTCAACTCTACTCTGATATCCTTAAATCTCTGCATGCCTAAGGACTGCTATTGTGATACGACCAGTTCATATCCTGGCCCACATTGCCATGTCTGACTCACTGTAATGCTAGTTTATATTGGGAATAGTAAAGATGGGTTTTCATCCTGATCATTTTCTGTTTGCATACAGCCTTGTTCTCTGCACCATCCATGAAAGCACAGTTTTGTTTAGCTGTTTTATGGGCACCCTCTTTCGCATTTTTTTTCTTGGCTAACTGACCCTTGAAGCTGGCAGAAGGCCACTTAACCAGACTTCTCAGAAGCCCTAGGGTGAAGTAAGGCCTTTGCCTTTCTAGCAGTTAAGTGACTGTCCCAATTGGTCTGGGTGACTCCCCCCTGATTTGGACTGGCATTTCATGCTGCTTGTCTCTAGTCTTGGCAGCTGGAGGGAATTAGGAGCCTGTCCTGGGACTGGCAGCTGGGGCTTTGATTGAAGTGTTCTGTTCCAGGCAGCCTCAATGATTGCTTGTTCACAGAGACTCTAATCCATGCTTTCTTCTTGACCATCTTCCACCATAGGATTTCCAGTTTTAAAAAGTAAGCTTTTAAAAAATTTGTTCACTGATAATTTAGCAATTTTACATGTGTAGCTCTACAGTTTATAGGACTTCCACATACCTCCTGAAGAGTTCTTGAACATTTTACCACTCTTATTGAAGTACAATATCCCTTAGGATATATATGACCTCAAATGTCAAGCCTCTAAAGTTCTCCATCAACCCCCTTCAATTTCCTAAATGAGATAAAGCTCGTAAAGTGCTCCACACAATGCCTGCAACCTAGTAAGCAACCAGTAAATGTAAGCTATTGTTAGGATTGTGTTTGGGGCTATTACTACTTCACTTCTGGTACATGCAGTTTTCGCAGTGTCACAGGTTTTCCCTAGCCAGAGTTTAAATGTCTCTCCTCCCAGGGCTGCTGTGGTGATACTCTTGAGAAACACACCTGGCTTTTGCCCCTCACCTCCATGGTTTCCACCATGTCTGTTCCAGAACTTGAGCTCATATGCATATGACACATGGCCTGCTTAGGTTTAAATCCACTGGGTGAACTATTACTTAAGGATTTGCGTCATGTCTGACATTCCTTGTCTATCTTGATCTAGGAATAGCTTCAGTCTGTACAGAAATTCAGTATTCAGGCTGGGCATGGTGGCTCATGCCTGCAATCCCAGCATTTGGGAGGCTGAGGCGGGTGGATCACCTGAGGTCAGGAGTTCAAGACCAGCCTGGCCAACATGGCCAAACCCCCATCTCTATTAAAAACACAAAAATTAGTCAGGCATGGTGGCATGCTCCTGTAGTCCCAGCTACTCAGGAGGCTGAGGCAGGAGAATCGTTTGAACCTGGGAGGCAGAGGTTGCAGTGAGCCAAGATCGTGCCATTGCGCTCCAGCCAGGGTGACAGAGCAAGACTCCATCTCAGAAGAAAAAAAAAAAAAAGACAGGGCTGAAAGATTAGTTTCCAGATACTTTCCCAACATCCCTCCAGGGGTGCAAAGTATTAAGCTCTAGTAAGGCTACATTTGCTTCCTCCCCCTTCCTAAAAAACTTGCCAAGCATTTTATCCCTTTCCAGGGTCTTTCAAGGAACCTGTCAGGTATTTTTCATTTCAGGCTCTTCACTATTCACTGGCAGTCACAAACAAGCTCAGATTCCACACCCATTTCCATGCATTAGGCTTCCTGCAGTATCAACATTTCCAAATACTAGTTGACCATAATTCTTAGAGGGAATAATTTGTCCTTGCAACAGAGGTGTACAGCATTAGGATTCAGGAAAATCCTGGATGAACCCTAAAATGTAACAATATTCAGACTTCTCTTGCCTGGGAGGCCTCATAGGCATTTATACCGAAATTGCAACATCTCTGAGCGCAGTCTTCCTGCCCTCACCCTGTCCCCTTGCTGATTTGCCCTAAGTCCAAACTTTTCTGGGTTCCACTGTTTAACTGTTTCCATGAAGTAATGTGAGTGTTTGTGCACATCCACTCCAGCTCGCTAATGAGGCTGGCACTGAGAAACTGCCCAGCTTGATAAGGTGTGCTTGGGAATTTCTCTCCCTTGTCTTCTTATTCAAGTTTTTAGGTGTGAAGATCCACCTGGTTTCCACTGTCTTCTCCATGTCTCATGTCTCATTCTCAGGGTTCTGTGACAGCTCATTAATCTTTTTTTTTTTTTTTTTTTCGGAGACTGAGTCTTGCTCTATTGCCCAGTGGTGCAATCTTGGCTCACTGCAACATCTGCCTCCTGGGTTCAAGTGATTCTCATGCCTCATCCTCCCGGGTAGCTGGGATTATAGGCACCCACCACCACACCTGGCTAATTTTTGTATTTTTAGTAGAAACAGGGTTTCACCTTATTGGCCAGGCTGGTCTCAAACTCCTGACCACAACTGATCTGCCCACTTTGGCCTCCCAAAGTGCTGGGATTACAGGCATGAGCCACTGCAGCAGGCTTAATCTTTTTTGAAATGCAAAGATTACCAGAGTCATATTCCTTTAAGGATGTCCCACACCAGAGCCACCTGGGCCTCAAAGTGTTAGAGCTCTTTGATTATGCTCCCCTCTTTCAACTATCCCTCTTTCTCACTCTGACACACACCCCACGAACACTGAGATTCTATCACAGGCAAAGGTGACTAGACTGGGTTGGGTCAATGACAAACACTGAGATTCCCTTACAAAGCAAAGATGACTAGGCTGGGGTTGGTCAATGGACTTCCTAAACTCCGGTCTTCCTATTGCAAAGCTTCAGCATAATGCAGAAAGTCTCATTAGAAAATAATTTAAATACTAGTGGAACTATGGAGAATAGAAGCACAGCTATACAAAATAAAATATCTATTGCTCATCCCAAATAAGCTCACGTTTGTTATGCCTAAGCAAGAGCTTAAGAGAGGATATGCACTTGGCAAATATAAATGTAACACAAATACACGGCAAGTCCCCTGTAGCCCTCTAACCCAGTCCCCAATGTTTACTATACTGAGATGTTCCATAATTTTGCTGAGAAAAGTCACATAAACTCAGTTATAGTTTCCTGTCAGGTAAGTATCCTTCAAAAATAGTAAAGCACCACTTCACACAGAAAACCTAGTTTTCCGCCAAGAATCAAATAGATTTCACCTGCCCTTTCATTCTTGCTTTTCTTCCCTCTCCTATGACCGAAACCCAGCTTCAAGAAGGAATGACAGGGAGCTCTGGGGATCTGGTCACTCAGATTCATCACATCAGCCCTGACTATCAAACAGTCCAAATGCTTTACTTCCACATTCATTCTTTCAATTTTTGAAGCCTCAAGCAGTGAATCACATTATTTTCTTCCATCAAGTCCCCAGGTAGTAATTTGTGAATTCTGTTGTAATTTGAGACTTGCAGGAAACATACAGTCCAGGATAGATACTGATCCCCAATTCTGTTTCTGATTGGCTGGTGACTATCACTTTGTCATGTGAGACATGGCCAGGCCATACAGTGCTGCATTACTAGCAGGGATTTGGCTTCAAATAGCCCAGCAGTCCTTTGGTGAGATCTACCTAAGGTCTAGAAACCAAAGAAAATATTTCTCCTTTCCTTGAAGGTAAGAAAGGATAGAAGAAAAAAAAGTGAAAGAAAATATTTCTCCTCATTTTCTTTTTGCCTTTGCCTATTTTTTTTTTTTTTTTTTTTTTTTGAGATGGCGTTTCGCTCTTGCTTTCTAGGCTGGAGTGCAATGGCACGATCCTGGCTCACTGCAACCTCCGCCTCCTGGGTTCTAGAGATTCTCCTGCCTCAGCCTCCCGAGTAGCTGGGATTACAGTCGTGCGCCACCACGCCCGGCTAATTTTTTGTATTTTTAGTAGAGACAGGGTTTCTCCATGTTGGTCAGGCTGGTCTCGAACTCCCAACCTCAGGTTATCGGCCAGCCTCGGCCTCCCAAAGTGCTGGGATTACAGGCATGAGCCACCACGCCCAGCTAACCTTTGCCTATTTTTTTTTTAAAGAGACTAAAGTTTGCTATACAAAATTCAAATTTTTATATAATCAAATTTACTAATCTTATCTTTCGTAACTTCTGGGCTTGGGGTTATATACATACATATATATATTTATATACATACATATATATATTTTTATATATATATATATATATATATTTTTTTTTTTTTTTGAGACAGAGTCTCACTCAGCCGCCCAGGCTGGAGTGTAGCAGCACAATCTTGGCTCACTGCAACAACTGTCTCCCGGGTTCAAGTGATTCTCCCGTCTCAGCCTTCCGAGTATATGGGATTACAGGCACCTGCCATCATGTGCAGCTAATTTTTGTATTTCAGTAGAGACTGGGTTTCACCATGTTGGCCAGGCTGGTCTTGAACTTCAGACCTCAGGTGATCTGCCTGCCTTGACCTCCCAAAGTGCTAGGACTACAGCGTGAGCCACCATGCCCAGCCAGGGTTAAATTTTGTAAAGTCTTGCCCATTCTATAATTATAAAAATATGCATCCATGTGTTCTTCTAGGATGTCTGTGATTTCATGTTTTACATGTAAATCTTTGATCCATCTGGAATTTATTTTGGTATAAGAGATGATATAAGGATCCAGTTTTACTTGTCTTTTTTTTTTTTAACCCCAAAATGGCAAATCAGTAAATCCCATCACCATTTATTGAATTAATCTACCTTTTATAGAAGTCCTTTAAATAGAATCTTCTCCATGTACATTTAAAATGACTCAATTGATATAAGTTCTATGTATGGCTTATAAAATTCCTGTTCAAAACATAATACCAGGAAATAGCCATGATTGTGGACAGTTATTTAACCCCTCTG
Source organism: Homo sapiens (assembly GCF_000001405.40). NCBI lineage: Eukaryota > Metazoa > Chordata > Mammalia > Primates > Hominidae > Homo > Homo sapiens. Next base: position 117,331,831 of record NC_000001.11, on the reverse strand, counting down.
GATCTGTTTCTCTACCTGTAGAAATGGAGACAGCAATATCTACCTTGCATTGTTTTTATGAAGATTTTAAAAAAATAAAATATGTGGATGCATCTACCTCAAAAAAAATGTGAGTTTCTCTTTCTTTTCAACTTTCTGTAATAAAGCAACATGGGCCCTCAGTTAGAATTGAAGATCAAACTTGGCAATAAGACTTGGTTTCTATATTTATTTCCTGAGCATATGGAGAGAGCAAAGGGGGTCATGGCTTTTTCAGTAGTGACACATAATTGTTTTCCTCTCAGTTCAGCATCTAGAGGAGTATCCTATTTAATCCTCTTGAAGCACCAAACTTATTCCCAGTTCCACAAATATTTCAACAAGCTATGGTGCTAGGGACAAGTGATATCACATAGATCTGAGTTTGAATTCCAGTTATGCTACTTACCAAATATGTTACTCAACTCCTGAGTAATTTACAATAGCCCCTATGTCACAGGGTTCTTGAAAGGGTTAATTAAGACTCCTCGTAAAACATAAGCGTCATAAGGACAAGAACTTTGTCTGGTTCATCACAGTGTCCTAAGTGCTAGAACAGTGCCTGGTATACATTGCGGCTCATTAAATCAATATGGAAGGGAAGGGAAGAGGAGGAGAGGGGTAAGAGCACTTAGCTAGGTGCCAAAGTGAGTGTACTAAAACTGCTAGCTGCAGGCAGTGGTCAGAGGTAACAAAGATGCAGTCCTGGCTTCAGGGGCTAAAATCTGGATCTGAAAACCAAGGTTATAGCACTTCCATACTAAGCATAATGAAACACATAATACAATACAGCACAAACATAGTGCTTTGAAAACAGGTGGTAAGTAATAATTCCAGCTGGAGGATTAGGGAAACACTTTATGGAAGAGGGCTGTGTTTAAGCTGGACCTTAAAAGATAATACAATTTTTGATAGAGGGGAAAGGGGCAGCTTTCCATGCAAGGCAAAAAAGTACAAAATTGGGAAAATATTTGGCATGTTCCAGGACCGGAGCTTAATACAAGTGATGAAAGTGCAAGTCAGGCAGAAGAAAGAACATCTAGAAGGTCAACCCCAGTGACCTTGAATGTTCAGCTATGGTGTTTAAGACAACACACAGACTTGAAGGTTTTTGAGTTGCAGAATCACAGGCACAGGCCCATATGACTATATTATATTTATTTACTTATTATTTCTATTTATTATTCAGAAATCAGTGTGAAAGGTAGATTAGATGGGATCTGGTCACTCAGATTCTTCAAATCAGCCCTGACTGTCAAACAGGCCAAATGCTTTATTTTCTCATGGATTCTTTCAATTTTTGAAAGATTTTCAATATTACATTGGAAACAAATATAATATAATCATAATAGCTCATGAGAAAAGTCCAAACTCAGGAGTTGCAGAGAATAGGGAAAGAAGGAAGAGATTTAACAGTGAGAGGGGAGGACAGGGTCAGAGTAGTTGAAAGATCACTGGGCAGTTAGGCTGCTGATGATGTTGTTTTCTGAGGTCAGGAATTCATGAAGACAAATGGGATCAGTTTAGTTTGGGAAATGTTGACCTTAAGGATGTCTTTTGAACACTCAGTTGGAAATAGGCTATTGATGCCCAAGATGTTAGAGCAGGAGAAATGGAGATGTGTCAGCATTGCTCCATCATTAACAAGATCAATGTTGCTTTTCTAAGATGTTTACAGTCAACCTAATATGTGCATATCAGAATGGAAGCATCTCAGATCAATGAAGATAGGTGAATTGTTTAATAAACAGTGTTGGGAAAATTGGCTGGCTATTTGGTCAAAAAAATGTGGCACCCATCTCATACTGCACATAAAAATAAATCCCAGATGAATTAAATGTGGAATTGAAAACACAACAAAGAAAAGTATTTAGGTAAGGAATATACACACAGATAGACACACACAGACACACACGTATTGACAAAGATATACATAAACACATTTACATCTGAATTTATTTCCATATTTACATATATTTACTGAAATCCATGAGTTCACACTGGTATCTCCAATATCAATTCAACACCACAGTGTTCATTCTAGTTTTCTCCCTTTCCTTATTTCTAACTCTCTTCTACAACGAGAACCTTAGTTCCCATTATTTTTAATTTTTTTATTAGATCAAATCCCCTGTATATAGCCAATATCTTATCATCATTGCTGCCCCTGTCCCTGAGTAGAGCCCCCATCCCATCTGGGCTCTGACATCCCACACCAGGCCACCCATCTGAATGGATGTCTACCTTTCTCTGCTCCATACAATGGATTTAGGATGGAATTGCTCAGAAAGGAGAAGGGAAGAGAAAGAAGAAGGGAAGGGAAAGGAAAAGGAAGGGAAGGGAAAGGGAAGACACTTCCATTTTTTGTTTATTGATTTATTTGTTACAGAAAATAAATACCCCAAATTGCCAAAATCTACCATTTTATTTATATATATATATATATTTGATTCCATTTCATTCAAGTACCATAAAAAGTGTACTTTTTATGTTTAATCCATTCTGGGAAAAATGAAGAGGTATTTCCCAGAGCATCACTTCCACCCAGGAATTTATAATCTCATTGAAGAAGTTAAACAATGCATATTAATAACACAAACCAAAAATAAGCAGTTCAATAGAATAGTGGCATGAGCTAGCACTAGTTCCCTGGTTCTCATAGAACCAGGTAGATGAATACACATTTTCTGCAAGCCTGACTTATCTGGGGTTTGGCTCTGACAGAATAATCCTAGCCTGCTAGGGAAGGTTGAAGACTCACCCTTAATAAAATGCAAGCGGCCTAGAGCAAGGGTTCTTTCCAAATTATTGTAACCACTTCTTCTTGCCAATGGTTTTTTTGTTTGTTTGTTTTTGACATGGTCTTGCTCTGTTGCCCAGGTTGAAGTGCAGTGGCATGATCCCGGCTCACTGCAGCCTTGACTTCCTTGACCTCCTAGACTCAAGAAATCCTCCCACCTCAGCCTCCCAAGCAGCTGGGACCACAGCCAGGCACAACTATGCCCAGCTAATTTTTAAATGTTTGGAAAGACGGAGGTCTCACTTTGTTGCTCAGGCTGGTCTTGAACTCCTGAGCTCAAGCGATCCTCCTGCCTCAGCCTCCCAAAGTGTTGAAATTGTAGGCATGAGCCATTGCACCCAGCCCTTCCTTCCAATTGAATAAAAATTGCTACCATCCCATATAACACAGAGCAGAAAACCATCTGCAAATCTTAACGGATCATTGTCCCATTCCCAAGCAGGGCGGGGTCTGTGATTCCAAGCCCTCCACTGCTCACACGCCAAATGAGAACATGGGAAAATGAACATGGGAACTGACAGTCTCCCCGCGAACGTGGGAACTGACAGTCTCCCCGTTCACTTTGTTACATAAGTGATACAAACTCTTTTTAGAAATTATACACAGGCAAAAGAGCAAACATCACACATAGTCTTACAACTTTTAGAGTAAATGCTTCCAGAATTTTTTTCTATGCATTTGTAAGGTAAGTTTTATAAATAATTGCTATGCATCAGTTTCCTCATCTGTAAAATGAAGATGATAATAATATCTGCCTCATTTGAGAGACTGAGGACAAAACATGAGTTTAAAAAAAGAGCGCTTCATATAGCACCTAGTGCATCTATAAAGGTAACACAATCTATATCTTTCTAGCACTTATCTGTCTAGATTCAGCTACATTTTTTTTTATAAAATAGATGGAAGTATTCATATTTCCTTGTAGTTTGCTTTTTTCACCTAAAGATATAGCATGATCTTCTTCCCTTGTGGGACAGTTCAAAAAGGGCAAAGAGACCGTTAGATCCTTTGAGTGACATTTTAAAGTGGAAAGTGGTGTGGGGAAATGGGCCCTAGTCCTTCAAGGGTATTATTTCGAGGTGATGAGCGAGGTTAGGGCAAAGCCTGCATCTACTACTTCTTGGACCTACAAGCTTAGGAATGCTGCTTGTATATACTCTCAGAGTCTGAGTGCCAGGCAAACCTTGAAGCTCAATCCTTTCCAATTTTGTTGTTGTTGTTGTGTAAGCAATAAAACCATGTTTCCCCCAACAAAATCTTATAAAGAACTCAACAAGTAAAACCATTCTGAAACATCAGAATACATTTATTTTATAAGCTTGAATGTATACTATTTGTTAATTGTAAGGCTTATCAATAAGATCAATAAGGCTGTTTGAGAAACAGAAACTGAAATCCAGGAATATGGATAACGATCACAGTCTTTGTCAACATCAGCTTCCATGAAATGGAATAAAACATTTGTGAAAATTTTGCAGTACCACTCTCATAGAATGAAGTACTAAAACTAGTGCCCCAACACCCTTATTTTACAGATGAGAAAATTAAGGGCCAGAGATATCGCATACTTTTTAAATATTAAGAGCACCAATAATAAAAATACTCTGATAACAGGAAGAAAATATTTTACTGAAGAAAGTATCTGGAATGGTTAATATGTATTTTCCACAAAATATGGTTCTTTTCCATTTAAATGATTGCCATATCATTCTCCAATTAATAAAATGGAAATGGTCAATTAACTTAGCTGCCATTTTTTGTTATTTTGCTTTAGTCTCATAGCTTGTAAGCCCTGAATTGTGCTGACTATGTAATTTGTATTTTATTCTGTTCCTGGATGTAAAGATTTACTGATTATCTCTAATAATTAAATTATGCATTTTAACTTATGACTCAGCATCCCACTTTCTACATATCAGCTGTTCTTGTCTATTAAATATCTATCTCATCATCTGTAATTTCAGTTCTTTTCTCATCATGAGGCTTGTCTGTAAAATTCAGGAAGCCACTATCTACAAACAGTCTCCTGCACTAATGAAACAAGGTCAAGCTTCGCTGACAGAAATTTAAAAGCTGACTCCAGATTTTACCCTGCCACTGCCTCCTTCCACATGGACAGTTGATGGACAACTCCTTAGTGTAGTTACAATTATTCCACCCTGTCTATATGAGGACCGACACACCCCTGACCTCCACATGGATCATAGTTTCTCAAAACTTTGCGTATATTTTGTCTTTTTAAAAAATATGATCCAAAGTCATGTTTTTAAAAATTATATTGTGAAATACACTATACATGCAAATAAATGTATCAGTGATGTTTATTTATTTATTTTTATTTTTATTTATTTATTTTTTTGAGATGGAGTCTCGCTCTGTCGCCCAGGCTGGAGTGCAGTGGCGTGATCTTGGCTCACTGCAAGCTCCGCCTCCCGGGTTCACGCCATTCTCCTATCTCAGCCTCCCGAGTAGCTGGGACTACAGGTGCCTGCCACCACGCCCGGCTAATTTTTTGTATTTTTAGTAGAGACAGGGTTTCATCATGCTAGCCAGGATGGTCTCGATCTCCTGACCTCGTGATCCGCCTGCCTCAGCCTCCCAAAGTGCTGGGATTACAGGCTTGAGCCACCACCCCTGGCCCCTTATTTTTATTTTTTGAGACAGAGTTTTGCTCTGTCACCCAGGCTGGAGTGCAGTGCACAATCTTGGCTCACTGCAACCTCTGCCTCCCAGGTTCAAGCGATTCTCCTGCGTCAGCCTCCTGAGTAGCTGGGATTACAGGCACGCACCCACGCCCAGCTAATTTTTGTATTTTTAGTAGAGATAAGGTTTTGCCATGTTGTCCAGGCTGGTCTTGAACTCCTGACCTCAGGTGATCCACACACCTTGGCTTCCCAAAGTGCTGAGATTACAAGCATGAGCCACCACGCCCAGCCTATTGAAGGTATTTATTTTAAAGTAATATATTCTTTTTGAAAATTAATAGTTTCATAAGATCATACTTGCTTATTGTAGACAGTTTAGAAAATATTTTAGAAGTATAAAAATACCTAATGACATGCTGAAAATCACTCATAAAAGAGTCTGCTCTTTGTTTTTCTCTCTTCCTACATATTTTGTGTCCTCCATTTTTCACTCAGGATTATAACAAGATTATTTTCTCACACATTAAATATTTTAAACAATCATGATGTCTAAAGGTATCTTAGGTATTTTAAACAATCATGATGTCTAAAGGTATCTTATTTATTCCTCTTTTATTGAACATTGGTTCTTCTCATACTATTTTTAAAATCATGAATAAGACTGTGAGGAAGAACTTTAGGTATAAATATTCATCTTCATCTCTAATTTCTCCCTTTGCATTAAAGTAATATCTTCTGACACCAGATTTTGTGAATAGATTGATAACTTCCTTGGTAATACTCCTAAATCCATTCTCATTACTATATAAATGATTTAGATAGTAAAGTTCCTGGAAAAATCATTATAAGTTTATGTCAATAGCACTGAGAATTATGGTTCCTATTTTTGGTTAGTTTACAGAGCTCTTGATCCTGTAAATCTTATGGCTTCTAGAAGTTGCTTTTGGGCTGATCTGTGTTGTCATGATGGTAAATATGCAACTAAAACAGACTAAGACTTGATAGATACCCAGGATTAATGGGAAGACCTGAAGCCAGGAAAGGAGAGATAAGGAAAGGCAGAAAAGGTAGGAAGGAGAATATATCACAGAATTGTGGAAGTTGAAACTAGAAAAAGAAAAATCAAGTGAGTAATTGGGCAAGTGTCAAAGGCAACAGAAAGATCAAGATAAGATGAATCAAAGAGATGTCATTAGCTTTGGCCATAAAGTGATTATCATTTACTTTTGAGCAGTTTAAGTGGAAGGAAAGGCAGGATAGAAGACATGGAGAATGCCTCAAGAACATTGAGTTAATAACCCATAAATCCTGAACCTCTTATCTTGCCTCAAGCTTATTCTGCTGATAACAGTAGCATAAGACAATTGACCCTTGAACAATGCGAGAGTTAGGGGAACCAGCCACCTGTGCAGTCGAAAATTTGTGTATGGCTTTATGATTCCAAAACTTAACTACTAATAGTCTACTGTTGACTGGAAGCCTTACTGATAGCATAATAGTCTATTAACACGTATTTTGTATGTTATAGGTATTATATTCTGTGTTCTTACAATTAAGTAAACTAGAGAAAAGATCATAAGGAAGAGAAATATATTTACTATTCATTAAGTGGAACTCAATCATAATAAAGGTCTTCACCCTCACCATCTTCGGTTAAGTAGGCTGAAGAGAAGGAGCAAGAGGAGGGGCTGGTCTTGCTATCTTAGGGGTGGCAGAGGTGGAAGGAAATCTTTGTATAAGTGAACCCATGCAGTTCAAACCTGTGTTGTTCAAGGGTCAACTATACATCGATTCTGTTTATTTGCTCATCACACAGGTATTTGTTAAGCACTATTACGAATGAAGCACTGTGCTAGGATAGAGGGACACATCAGTGAATAAGACACAGACATGGTTCTTGCTCTGATTAAGCTTACATTCTAGTAGAGGGAGACAGTCAATTAACAAAGAAACATTAATAAAAAGAAAATGTGACATGGTGCTAGATGCAAGTGGAATAAAACAGAATGATGAGATAGAAGTTGTTTATGGTTGGGGCAACAACGAGTTTGTACACGGTGGTTAAGAAAAAGTCTTTTCTGAAAGGTAATATTTGAGATGAATTATGAGAAGGAGCCAGCCATGGGAATGTCTAGGAGATGCGCATTTCTGGCAGAGTAAATGGTCATTGAAAGGCTGGAAGATAAACAGCCTCTTCTAGAAACAGAAAGAAAGCTAGTGTGACTGAAGTGGCATAAATGAAGGGAGAATTGGGGTGGCTAGGAAGTGATAGAGAAGGAGGCTAGAAATGTAGTTGTGGGCAGGGGCCTGATCTCATTGAGACTTCGCAAGGATTTTGGACTTTATTCAAAATAAATCAACTTTGTAGGGAGATAACCATAAGGTCAAATGATTGTATTCTTCCCCATGTCATCTAAGTGCCTCATTTAAGGTACCCTAAAGATCCAGAATGTTAGTGCTTCTAAAAATAATATGAGCAGATATAAAGGAAATCTTTTGGTTTAGTCCACTTAACACCTTTCCCTCACTTCTTCTGGTAACTGTACCCTCTTGACCTACCCCAATCCAGGTAGGTCTACCAAACAGAATCCTACTTTCCCTGGAGTCAGGGGTGTGCACATCACCCAGGTCTAGCCAATCAAAGTATCCCATTCCTCTGAACACAGTGATTGACCCAGACATGGTGTATGACTTAAGCCAGGACTATCACAATGGTGCCCTGGGATAGAGTTGGCTGCTAGAAGGGAAAAGCTGTCTCTTTCCTCTGGGGTCACCAAGCTGGTGTGATGCAAGCATGGCAATGCCTGGGGCCATTTCATCCCTTTCCCACTCAGGACTCCCTTCTCTGCACTACTTCTGCGTAGAAAGCATCTATGCATTTGGAAAGAGCAAGGCAAACATCCAGAAATAAGGGCGAAAAATGGAGAGGGAGAAAAAGAACCTAGAGCTGACAACCGAGAGCACTTGTTAACTCTCAGGGATCCCTAAAGTCAAATCCTTCCCTGGACTTGCTGATAAGAGTGTCTGAGCAAATAAACCCCTTTTTTCGATCAAGCCAGTTGCACTAGTTTCTGTCACTTGCATTCCAAAGAATCCTCACTATTATAGCATGTGAAAGAGGAAAATCAATTAGCGTTTACACACCAGTGTCTCCATTCAGCGCACTTTTTTCATCACTAGAAATAGAGGTATGTGAACAGATGGGATGTATATGACTTAAGACTTCAGTTTTCCCCCAGAAGAAATTTACTATTTGTAAATGCTTCCACAGCTATCCACGTGCTCTCCCAGCCTTCTCACCAGCGGTGTGCTGGTTAACTGGGTCTCTGGGAGAGAGAAACACACTAATTTGTAAGATTTGCCAATTTCTGTCCTATAAATACTCCCACCATTGTGGATTAAGCTGCCAAGGGTATAACAACCAGATAGCAAAATTCCTGAATATGAGTGTAGATTAGGGCAGGCTTCAGTACAACAATGCTGCCTTCTCTCTTTCTTCATGTAATCTCTCTTCACTCCTCCCTGTTTCTTTCAGTTACCTTCCCTCTCTGCCATGAAATTACTCACAATTTCACCTAGTTTTCCTACCCACCCTTTCCCCTTCCCTTTCAATCCCACCAGCATTATCATCCTGTCATGTCAACAAAATAAGGTTACTGGAAAGAGCAGAGGCTTTGGAGTAAGAATTAGATTCAGCGTCTTGTTACGTGGAATAAGTGACTTAATTACATTGAGCCTCAGTTTCCTAATCTATAAAGTGATACAAATCATATCCCTTTCATAAGAGATGTCATGAGGATTATAAGACAGTTGATATATAAGAAATGCCACGTTAAGGCTTTTGTCTTTCCCACCTCCTTCGGAGAGAACAGTAACTCCCTTAAGTGTGTGCTCAGGGCATCCCACCTCCTTAGTTCTTGCCACATCTTACTGCTATTGTCTTTCCCATTACTTAAGAGAACTCTTTGAATGCAAGGCTTTTGTCTTGTTTATCTGCATACCCCAGATCCTAGCTCAGTGCCTGGAGCATGGTAGATGCCCAGTCAATATTAAATGAATGCTGTCTGTGTTATCCATTTCCTATTTGATCATGAGAAGTACTAGGACAGAAAGAACTTGACTGCAGAGGAGGAAGAGGTTTCGGGACCCAGGGACCCACTGGCATGGACATGAGCTGCCAGCACAGCAATCGGACAAGGGTGGGAACAATTGCTCAGAAGCTGATTTGTTAGCATATTGAGTTCTCCCACTGGCCCAGCTCATTAGTTTACTGGGTACACAGAGCTGAACAGAGCTCAGGGGAAAGATAATTCACTCAACAACATTGACTCTTTTTTGCTCTCTTGTTTATCTTAGTTGCTGGTGCTCATGTCATGTCTTTCAGTTTCTTTCACTGAATGCCTTTTTGGTTTAAATCTTAGTTATTTTTTCGTTGCTGTCCTGGAGATATATGAACCAGAGCCAATAATATAAGAGCTTTCTTTTTCCTTCACAGCTCTGAAAGCTTTACATAAGTGTTTCTTCACTTCTATTTTATGGCCAGGACCAGATGCAGAAGTGCTAAAATATTTTGATAAGAGCTGTCCTGGCAGTAGTTCTTGCTTTTACAGCTATCCAGAGGGAAAGAATTAGCTAGGAAGTCAGCCCACAGAGAGGAGAGATAGAAGCTATGAAATCTCACTACTGACCGAGATTCTCAATTTGTTTTAAAAATCAGTTAGATGAAGACAGAAGGAAAATGTTTAGGCCACATCACTATCTAAATGGAAAACAGTAAATAAATTTGAAGGTCGTAATAAGCTCTAATATTTGTAGGGTGGAGGCCTCTGAAGTGTATAAAATGCTTTTACATGCAAACTGATATCCTGAGACCTCTTGAGTGTTTGTTTGATACCTTTCCTCACCCATCATAAGGGTGATGCCTGATACTTCTATAACAAAACGCAGGTTAACAAGAGAAAAACAGAACAGATTTCTTTAATCAAAGTCTTACCTGATACAGGAAGCCTTCAGAAATGAAGACCCAAAGACCCAGGGAAAACTATCCATTTTTATTCTTAGATTCGATGAAGAATGGACAGCCATGTAGAAACGTGGTAGGACCAAAGAGGTCTGATCTAACGGTAAGAGACTGAGGGGGAAACCAAGCAAGCCCTGTCTGTTAGGATTCTTCTTGGTCTCTCTGTGTGGCCTTCCTTCTTCCCAGACGCAGGGCAGTACCACTCTGGAATGAGGGTCTTATAACCTATAATCAGACACAGTAAGTCAGAGAATTTCTTTATGACCAGCTCCTACACAGAAAGGCAGGGGAAAGTTAGAGAAATATCTAGGTTTTACGGTTTTCTCTGGGGGTAGAGGTGTTCCAGTTTCTATGATTTGCGTTGGGGAGGAGGAATTCTGGTTTCGATGACACTTTGGGGAAGAAAGAGGGGCAAGAGACTGAGGGGCAGGAGAAGGTTGGAGAAACCTTGGTTCTGAGGCTGCTTCTGAGGCTTCCAATCTCCTTTAGTTCAAAGTACTCAGCATGCCAAAGCACCATGATTGGGGCATCATTTTCTGAGCCCCAATGTTAGGAACTATTAATATTCTCATGGAACAGTTGAAATTAAGGCCCAGAAAGGTTAAGTAACTTGCCCAAGGTCACACAGCTAGTCAATGGTGATGCTGGTATTTAACCACTACTTTCTACTGCCTGTCATCTTTTTTGTAGGGGAGGAATTAGAGGACAGGGAGGTCAAGTGAGTTGTACAGGGTCATATAGAACAAGAAACAAAAAGGTTTGGGTCCTTTCTTTCTATACGCTGCAATGGAGTCACTATCTATCTCTGAGCCAAACACTTGCCTTGTGTTCTTTTACAACTTTCTCTTCATTTGGCCCATTCTTTTGTTTCACTTCATTCTACCTTCTTCTACCTTCTTATGTCCTTTGGGGGCACTATTTTTTAGCCCTCTTTCTGTATCCCAAACTCATGACTGCATTTCAACTGAGGTTCCAGAGTTTTTACCATGTGCCAGGGACTGGTCTAAGTACTTTGCAAATATTAACTCACTTTTATTCCCCAAAACAAATCTGCGAAGCAGACAATACGATTTATCCTCATTTTACAGATGAGGAAACCGAGTCACCTCACTTGTCCAAGGTCACACAGCTAGAAGGGTAAAGAGTCAGGATTCAAGGCTGAGCAGCCTGGCTTCATAGCCCCATTTAAATAATTTTGCTACAGCCACCTTTCATTTGGGCCTTGAATGGATCAATGTATCCATCTATGGAAATATGTTCATACTTAGGTTTTCCTGGACATAAATACTCTAGATGTTGTTGTTTTCCACACCTTTCGATCTACCTAACAAACACATAAATTTAGACAGTGTGATCCCAAACCCTGAGAAGTAACTTTGGGGAAAGGAATTTCTAAAGGATATATTTGGGATAAAACTAAAATTCGAGTTTTCTGAGTTTCAGTCTGGAATTCTATTTATCCATTAATTTGTTCATTCACTAGCCTGATGTTGCCTATTACCTGTCTGAAAAATATAATAGCAGCAAAAAATTACTCAATTAAGCTGCTTAAAGGATTAGTTCATAAAGATAAAATAAGCTAATAAACTAGTTGAATAGGTTGGAATATGTTTGCAACTGTAGAAAACATGTCATTTTCCAAAGAGAGAAATTTAGTCTGACAGAAGGGAGGATAACTAGCATGGGAATAGCAATGAAATAAAAATTCTGAATCCAATTTCCTTTGTAGAGATGTATCAGATTTTAATCATCCAAACCAAATGGCTGAAACCCATTTAAAGCCAAATCAACTAAAATTTGCCTCATACTTACGTAGGTATCATTTTTTTTCATTTGCCACTAGACTAAAAGCTGTTTGCATATGAAACTGAAGGATACACATTTTGGTCTCCCCCAGAATGCCTGGCACAGTGCCTAGCACATAGCAGGTGCTCAATAAATGTTTATTGAATTGAATTAAAAGAAGACATTCACTACTTATCAATTCTGCATTCACCCCAGGAGAAAAAAAGAGTGAATGTGATATTATGCTCTACTAAGTGCAAAAATGAAAACGAATGCCACCTCAAAGTTGGTAATTTAAGAATATAAGGACGTTGAAATAAAGGCTCTCCACAATGGAGAATTGCTTGCAAAGCATTTTCTATATCAAGGTTTACTATAATAATACCACAGAATAGCCCAATGCCTTTCTATTTTAATTTTAACTTTTCCAAGATCAAAGAATAAAAAACTCTCTGAAAAAGACAGTCACTCGTTATATTTGATCTCAATTTAAAGTTTGTTTTTTAACCTACTTAGATTCGAAGTAGAAGAACTTGGGGATTGAAGCAGCCTTGTTAATTTACCTGGGTATATCAGGGTTTTGTTTTTTTTTTTTTTTTTTTGGAGGGAAGCAATATACAATATCCCTTTCTTCTCATTGACAGAACCAATTGTGTAAGATACACAGGGGTCAGGCAGCTGTAAATCAAAAATATAATCTTTATTACTCATGAAGGTGCTTAGAGAAGGTGGTTTGGCTCCATTAGCGAGTATACTTGCCAGTACTGTGCCCTGAGATTAAATTTGCCCACTACATCTGCCATGCCAATCTTTGAGTGAAACAGCCTCAGACCTCCAATATAGGGGCGTGCCCCTTAGAACTCTACGGCACAGAATTATAGAGGAGATTGAAATACATGCTCCCTACAGGCATGTAGATCCCAAGGGAACAGTAAAATGGACTGACAAGAACAGGCCTACTTTGGTCTTCCAGATGGTAAATCATTCCTCTTTTTCTGGAAGGAATGAGAAAGGGGATGGAGCAAGAGGCTTGGAATGTTATTCTAATGGAGGTCACTTCACACAAAAAATCAGGAGCAGGGACTAATTGTTCCCTCCAACATATGACACATTTTACAGCAGATGTACTCTATTGCTGATAACTTGTGTATAATTTGAATTATATCTTTGAGTAATGATTTATTGAGTTCCTGCTATGTGCCAGGCACTATACTAAAAGCTTTATAAATGTGTTGGCTCATTTGATCCTCAAAATAACTCTAGGAGGAAAAACAGTTTGGTGTTTCCTCAATAAGTTAAACATAGAATTACCATATGACCCAGCAATTCCATTCCTGGGTATACATGCAAAAGAATTGGAAACAGGTGCACAAACAAAAACTTGCACACAATGTTCATAGCAACAGTATTCACAATAGCCAAAAGATGGAAACAGCCAAAATGTACGTCAACAGATGAATGGTTAAACAAAGTGTGGTATACTGCAACAGAATATTACTCAGTCATAAAAAGAAATGATTATACATACTACAACATGGATGAATCTTGAAAATATTATGCTAATAAGCCAGACACAAAAAGCCACATATTGTATGATTCCATTCATATGAAATATCTAGAAAAGGCAAACCCATGAATAGAGCAGATTAGTTGTTGCAAGGGAGAATGGGTAGTGTCTGCTTAATAGTTGTAGGATTTCCTTTTAGCATAATGAAAAAGTCCTGGAACTAGATAGAAGTAATGGTTGCAAAACATTGCGCGCTTAATATGACTGAATTGTACTCTTTAAAATGGTTAAAACCATTTGAAAAGGCCAGCCATTTTAACCATTTAAAAAGGTTAAAATCTTTTGGCCTCTTAAGATGCCTGGGACCCTTTTGTCTGTAGTCAGGAGGGGATTTTAGAAGTTCCTGAGAATTATAATCATTGTACTTTTTCACCGTCAATGGAATGATCAAAGCCTGCTATCAGAGGTCACCTGGTAGACAAGACTGATGAACTTGCACTTAGAATTCCAGATAGAGGTAATGGTTACACAACATTGTGTGCTTAATGTCACTGAAGTGTACTCTTTAAAATGGTTAAAACAGTGAATTTTGCCCATTCAGTATGCTATTGGCTGCGGGTTTGTCATAAATAGCTCTTATTGTTTTGAGATACGTCCCATCAATACCTAATTTATTGAGAGTTTTTAAGCATGAAGCGTTGTTGAATTTTGTCAAAGGCCTTTTCTGCATCTATTGAGATAATCATATGGTTTTTGTCATTGGTTCTGTTTATATGCTGGATTATATTTATTGATTTGCGTACGTTGAACCAGCCTTGCATCCCAGGGATGAAGCTCACTTGATCTTGGTGGATAAGCTTTCTGATGTGCTGCTGGATTCGGTTTGCCAGTATTTTATTGAGGATTTTTGCATTGACGTTCATCAGGCATATTGGTCTAAAATTCTTTTTTTGTTGTGTCTCTGCCAGGCTTTGGTATCAGGATGATGCTGGCCTCATAGAATGAGTTAGGGAGGATTCCCTCTTTTTCTATTGATTCGAATAGTTTCAGAAGGAACGGTACCAGCTCCTCCTTGTACCTCTGGTATAATTCGGCTGTGAATCCATCTGGTCCTGAACTTTTTTTGGTTGGTAAGCTCTTAATTATTAAGCATTCCCTTTGAAAACTGGCACAAGACAGGGATACCTTCTCTCACCACTCCTATTCAACATAGTGTTGGAAGTTCTGGCCAGGGCAATCAGGCAGGAGAAGGAAATAAAGGGTATTCAATTAGGAAAAGAGGAAGCCAAATTGTCCCTGTTTGCAGATGACATGATTGTATATCTAGAAAACCCCATCATCTCAGCCCAAAATCTCCTAAAACTGATAGGCAACTTCAGCAAAGTCTCACAATACAAAATCTATGTGCAAAAATCACAGGCATTCTTATACACCAATAACAGACAGAGAGCCAAATCATGAGTGAACTCCCATTCACAATTACTTCAAAGAGAATAAAATACCTAGGAATCCAACTTACAAGGGATGTGAAGGACCTCTTTAAGGAGAACTACAAACCACTGCTCAATGAAATAAAAGAGGATACAAACAAATGGAAGAACATTCCATGCTCATGGGTACGAAGAATCAATATCGTGAAAATGGCCATACTGCCCAAGATAATTTATAGATTCAATGCCATCCCCATCAAGCTACCAATGACTTTCTTCACAGAATTGGAAAAAACTACTTCAAAGTTCATATGGAACCAAAAAAGAGCCCGCATTGCCAAGTCAATGCTAAGCCAAAAGAACAAAGCTGGAGGCATCATGCTACCTGACTTCAAACTATACTACAAGGCTACAGTAACCAAAACAGCATGGTACTGGTACCAAAACAGAGATATAGACCAATGGAACAGAACAGAGCCCTCAGAAATAATGCCACATATCTACAACCATCTGATATTTGACAAATCTGACAAAAACAAGAAATGGGGAAAGGATTCCCTATTTAATAAATGGTGCTGGGAAAACTGGCTAGCCATATGTAGAAAGCTGAAACTGGATCCCTTCCTTACACCTTATACAAAAATTAATTCAAGATGGATTAAAGACTTAAATGTTAGACCTAAAACCATAAAAACCCTAGAAGAAAACCTAGGCAATACCGTTCAGGACATAGGCATGGGCAAGGACTTCATGTCTAAAACACCAAAAGCAATGGCAACAAAAGCCAAAATTGACAAATGGGATCTCATTAAGCTAACGAGCTTCTGCACAGCAAAAGAAACTACCGTCAGAGTGAACAGGCAACCTACAGAATGGGAGAAAATTTTTGCAATCTACTCATCTGACAAAGGGCTAATATCCAGAATCTGCAAAGAACTTAAACAAATTTACAAGAAAAAAACAAACAACCCCATCAAAAAGTGGGTGAAGGATATGAACAGACACTTCTCAAAAGAAGACATTTATGCAGCCAAAAGACACATGAAAAAATGCTCATCATCACTGGCCATCAGCGAAATGCAAATCAAAACCACAATGAGATACCATCTCACACCAGTTAGAATGGCAATCATTAAAAAGTCAGGAAACAACAGGTGCTGGAGAGGATGTGGAGAAATAGGAACACTTTTACACTGTCGGTGGGACTGTAAACTAGTTCAACCATGTGGAAGTCAGTGTGGCGATTCCTCAGGGATCTAGAACTAGAAATACATTTTGACCCAGCCACCCCATTACTGGGTATATACCCAAAGGACTATAAATCATGCTGCTATAAAGACACGTGCACACGTATGTTTATTGTGGCACTATTCACAATAGCAAAGACTTGGAACCAACCCAAATGTCCAGCAATGATAGACTGGATTAAGAAAATGTGGCACATATACACATGGAATACTATGCAGCCATAAAAAGGGATGAGTTCATGTCCTTTGTAGGGACATGGATGAAGCTGGAAACCATCATTCTCAGCAAACTATGGCAAGGACAAAAAAACCAAACACTGCATGTTCTCACTCATAGGTGGGAATTGAACAATGAGAACACATGGACACAGGAAGGGGAACATCACACACCAGGGCCTGTTGTGGGGTGGGGGAAGGGGGGAGGGATAGCATTTGGAGATATACCTAATGTTAAATGACGAGTCACTGGGTGCAGCACACCAACATGGCACGTGTATACATATGTAACTAATCTGCACATTGTGCATATGTACCCTAAAACTTAAAGTATAAAAAAAAACCAGCGAATTTTGTTGTGTGTGTGTGTTTTACCACATTAGAAAAAATAAGCTTGGGAGATAGATAAAGATTATTTCAATTTTAGATATAAGAAGACTGAGGCTCTCAGAGAGACAAGAACATTACTAGCAGGCAGGGGATGAATCTAAGTATTGTGTGATCTGGATGGTGTACAATTTTGGAGGGCCCTACTTAATAAAAATAATATAAAATTATGATTATAAAACTGCTAGGCTACCTCAGAAGGTTTTGCAAAGGGCCTTTGCAAAGGAGAACTCTGGAGCTTAAGCTGTATTAACTCCAAGGTAAATTCACATTTGCTGTTATTATAATTGAAAAGTAAAAAAATAAAACCTATAATTCTGTTTTCAATAACAGCAAAAACATATAATACCTAGGAATACATCTAACAGAAGATGTGCAAGATCTCTACACTGTAAAGTATAAAACATTGCTAAGAGAAAATTTTAAAGACCTACATAAGTAGATAGATATACCATGTTTATGGATTGGAAGACTCAATATTGTTAAGATATCACCTTCTCCCCATATTGATCTATAGATTCACTAGAGTTTTTTGTAGAAATTGTCAACTGACTCTCACATTTATATGCAAAGAACCTAGGATGCCTACAGAAAAGCTGAAGAGAACAAAGTTAAAGGACTTAAACTACCTGGCTTCAAGACTTATTATAAAGCTACACTATTAAGACTCTATGGCATCAGGAGAAACAAATAAATCATTAAAACAGAATAGAGTGCCTTAGAACAGACCATTTACACATACAGTCAAATGATTTTCAACAAAAGCTCTATAGCAATCCAATGGAGAAAGAAAAGTGTTTTCAACAACTGGTGCTAGAGCAATTGGATATCCATCTGGAAAAGGAAGGAGATGGAACTAGATTTTGAACCCAGGTCTGTCTGCCTCTATTTCCCCTCACTACCTCTCTGCCCTCCTCCCATGCCTTGACTTTGCCCCACCTATCCTTTCTGGCCACAATGTTCAGAAAGGAACCTAGAGCTTGAGACAATGGAGCAGCCGAATCAATCATAGTGTCAGCTGTCTGCTAGGAAGATTGAGACTTGTCAAACGGAATGGAGTCTTGACTCTGAAGGAGTTGCCTGCCCTCAGTCTTTTGGCCTCTTAAGATGTCTGGGACCCTTTTGCCTGTAGTCAGGAGGGGATTTTCGAAGTTTGTGAGAATGATAATCATTGCACCTTTTCACTGTCAATGGAATGATCAAAGCCTGCTATCAGAGGTCACCTGGTAGACAAGACTAATGAACTTGCACTTTGAATTCTTGGGATCTGTTCTATTTCTATTATTTATTTATTTATTTATTTATCATTTTATTTTATTTTTTGAGACGGGGTCTCACTCTGTCACCCAGGCTGGAGTGCAGTGGTGCGATCTCGGCTCACTGCAAGCTCCGTCTCCCGGGTTCACGCCATTCTCCTGCCTCAGCCTCCCGAGCAGCTGGCGCTACAGGCGCCCACCACCACACCAGGCTAATTTTTAGTAAAGATGTGGTTTCACCGTGTTAGCCAGGGTGGTCTCGATCTCCTGACCTCGTGATCCGCCTGCCTAGGCCTCCCAAAGTGCTGGGATTACAGGCGTGAGCCACTGCGCCCGGCCAGGATCTTTTCTATTTCTGCCTCTGTGTGACTTTGGGTATGTCACTTTAACCTCCCTGATCCTTAGTTTCCTCATCTGAAAAACTGGGTTAATAAATACCTCCTCTGCTTTACCCTACTGGATTGCTGTTAGATTCAAATGAAATAGAGTATATAAACATCCTTTGAAGACTATGAAGTGTTGCATAAATATAATGTATTATGGGTCCATGTGTACCTTTTGTAGCTGAAGTGAGTAATAATATTACTTCATCTGTTTGAAATTCAAATTTTACATATCAAGTTTACTCTGTAATTATTTTTCTAGTTCATTTTGTGTTTACAAGAGAAATCTAACATTCTAGTAGTGATTCAAGATTCTTTTATTAGTGTAGCTTTTGAGTCAGAGATAACTTGTTTAAAATTTCATTTACTCATTTCTTTGATTTGATAAGTATTTAAAAATTTCACTCATTCCATTCATTCATTTTATTCAACAAGTTCTCGAGTGCCTACTGTAGGCAAGACAGTGTAAGTGCAGGGGATAAATGGATGAAAAGAGACTTGGTGTCTGTCTGGCGAGATATAGACACTTAAAGGGCCAGTTCTGCTACAATGCAACCACTGCTGTGAAGGACCCACGCGCAAGGTACTGCACTGGGGAGGAGCTTCTAAGTGTGCCTGAGATATCAGGGTGGGCTTCTCAGAGGGGGTGATGCCATAAGTTGGGACTTAAAGGAAGAAAAAAGACTTTATTAAGACAGTCTGTAGTGAGTGGTATGGGCAAAACATGGCTAGAGTGAAGGATGCTGTGGTGGGTGGAGTGGGGTGGGGAGGGAAGGGGAAAGCGGGGGTAGTGACACATGTAGGAAGGCCAGTTAAGTGGTCATTGCGATGGTCAAAACGAAACAGTGGAGACTTGAAGCAGGCTCATGGTAATGAAACTGGCAAAGAGGAGACTGACTTGAGACTTATTTAAGAGGCAGAACCCCTAGGATTTAGCAATTAGTTAATTGAATGCAAAGGCTGAAGAAAATCTCAGTCTACCTCTTTTTAGTGATGTGGTTTTCGGCACAGGGCTTGGCCTTTCTAATTCTCTGTTTCCTCATGTGGAAAATAGGCAGTAATATTACCCAATTCATAGGGTTATTGAAAGTCTTAAAGATGCTTATTGTAAAAGAACCTATCACAGGGCTTTGTACAAATAGATTTTCCACAACTAACTAGTTTTCTTCCCAGTTTCTGTTTTTCTCCTCAGCCTATGCTATAGAAGCGTTCTTCCAAATTATGGAGACTTTGCTCTTAGAAATACTCTCAATAGCTAAAGACATCTGGGGTTTGAGGCTTTGGGGGCAGCATGTCCTGCCATAACACATCTCTGGAATTTTCATGATAAAGCAACTTCTAAGCTGGATGGATCATGTTTTGAGCTCATGTGGTAATTCTTGTGTTCTTAAATTCTCTGAAGAAGCAAGTGGAGTTCCTGGTAAGGTTCTAGAAATCTCCAAATGAGGTCTGACAGTATGGACTCTGTACTTTGGGCCCGGCCGTTCAGTTTACATGGTCCTCACTCCAGACCTCCATGATGCAAGCTGATGGGAGCTGGGATCCTATGGCTCTCCTAGCTGCCAACAGGGCAGTGTGCCTCTTTCCTACTCCAACTTGGGGCAAATGAAGGAAGGATTCTGGAATTTCCCTTTAGTTCCTACATAGGGTGTTGTTGTTCCCCATACTTCAAGACCCAAAACTTTTCTCATTTTCCTATAATGCTAGAAACTACAACGAGAAATGGGGAAATGATTCCCTATTTAATAAATGGTGCTGGGAAAACTGGCTAGCCATATGTAGAAAGCTGAAACTGGATCCCTTCCTTACACCTTATACAAAAATTAATTCACGATGGATTAAAGACTTACATGTTAGACCTAAAACCATGAAAACCCTAGAAGAAAACCTAGGCAATACCATTCAGGACATAGGCATGGGCAAGGACTTCATGCCTAAAACACCAAAAGCAATGGCAACAAAAGCCAAAATTAACAAATGGGATCTACTTAAACTAAAGAGCTTCTGCACAGCAAAAGAAACTACCATCAGAGTGAACAGCCAACCTACAGAATGGGAGAAAATGTTTGCAATCTACTCATCTGACAAAAGAATAATATCCAGAAACTACCAAGGCCTTGAACACAACTTTAGGAAACACTATTCCAATCCTCCCTTTTCCCTGGTTGAAAGAAATGACGAAATCTGCCATACTTCCTCCCATGTCCTGGCTGGATGACCAGGTGGCATTAGAGAAAGCAACACTTGAGGAGAGACAAACCCTGTGTGATGTATCCCTGAGAAGGTAGAAACAGACCTTGGAAACAGTGGGTTGACTACAATACCTACTGCCTGGAGAGATGCGGATTGAAAGCCCTACAGTCTTCAGAGGTTAAGATAATTGAGAATTTAAGAGCTTTCCTAAAGTAAATACTCCCTTTATTTCTGACTACCATTTATTGGGTGTTATTGCTATAAAGGAGGGACTCGTGAGTAACATATGATATTCTTATATACAAATAATAATTAATTATCTCCAGCTCCTGTGGTCACTATTTTGATCAAGATTTATGCCACTCTTTGTAAAACTAGAGCAGAGCTGATTCTTTCCTTTGTCAACCCATTTCACATTACTTTGCTACAGACCATTCAGATCCTGAGCTCCTGGGAACCCTGTTAAGACACACCAGAGTAAAGTCATTAATGATCTGCCTGCAGAAAACCTAAGCTCTGCTTCTCGTCCCTGGCACCTTCTTTTGTGATAGAGCTTGGTCTAATGGTGTGAAATAATGTGCTAAAAAAAATTTTTTTTTTTGAGTCGGAGTCTCACTCTGTCGCCCAGGCTGGAGTGCAGTGGCACAATCTCGGCTCACTTCAACCTCCGCCTCCCGGGTTTAAGCAATTCTCCTGCCTCAGCCTCCCGAGTAGCTGGGACTACAGGCGCACGCCGCCACGCCTGGCAATTTTTTTTTTTTTTTTATTTTTTTATTTTAGTAGAGACGCGGTTTCACCGTGTTGCTCAGGCTGGTGGCAAACTCCTGAGCTCAGGCAATCCGCCTGCCTCAGCCTCCCAAAGTGGTGGGATTACAGGCGTGAGCCACCGCGCCCGGCCTGTGTTAAAACTTTGAGGGAAATTGAGTTTTTCCCCAGGAACTCTGTGCTGAGCAGGGATTCAGTCTCCTGAATGGTGTCTCTGCAGTAGAGAACAGCTGGGACGTTGCATCTTCACAGCAGTTCTGCTGGGCTGCAGGATGGGGCATTGCAATTAAACCAGGAGTAGTAGAGGATGGTAGCAGTCTTCACCTGGCAACTCAGCACCCGGTCCATAGACGTAATCACGATAAGTAAATCTGTGGTCTTATAGGAGATGTAATTTAGGATAGTACTAGGAGCCAACTTATTATAATAAAAAATCACATACAATGAATTCTTAATTATCTGATAATGAAGAGAGGATACCAGAAATTGCAGTTCACAGATAATCCAAAAAGCTCATTTCAGATACTTGTTGTTTTTCTTTCTTTCTTTCTTTCTTTCTTTCTTTCTTTCTTTCTTTCTTTTTTTTTTTTGAGACAGAGTCTCGCGCTGTCACCCAGGCTGGAGTACAGTGGCATGATCTCGGCTCACTGCAACCTCTGCCTCCCAGGTTCAAGCAATTCTCCTGCCTCAGCGTCCTGAGTAGCTAGTATTACCGGTGCATGCCACCACGCCCAGCTAATTCTTGTATTTTTAGTAGAGACAGTGTTTCACCATGTTTGCCAGGCTGATCTCAAACTCCTGGCCTCAAGTGATCTGCCCACCTGAGCCTCTCAAAGTGCTAGGATTATAGGCGTGAGCCACGCTCAGCCACATGTTCTTTTTCATCCAACATTAATTCAGGGCAGTGAGTTTGCCCTCTGTATTTTTAGTAGCAGATACAAATAAAAGTCAGGCTGCTTTGGGATAGCCAGGCATGGGGGAGCTAAAGCACTGCCTCTGGTTATACCTCTTAAGCTCATTCCCCCTTGTAGCTGTGGCACCTATGGTCTCAGAGAGGAAGCCCAGAACCCTGAAGAACACAGTTCAAAAACCACTGGCACACATTAGCTCTCGACTCTCACCTGCCCTGGGAGGTAGGCAGGTCAGGAATTAACATTCTTATTTTACAGATAAGAACAGGTTCAGGGAGGCTATGTCACATTGGTAGTAACCCGTGGATCTGGGACTTCAACTCAATCTTCTGGTGCCAAATTCAATATTCTTTTAACTGCACCTATCCCCTGTCCTTTGCTCACTTCCCCAGTCTAACCTCTGATGGTGGAATGCCACAAGAAGAAAATTCACCAAAGGAGAATTAAGGGCTAACCCACACACCATCAGAAATCTACAAAGCCTCCCACATTTGCTGAACTATTCTTTCCTCATTCTGGAAGTGACAAGTCAACCATGGGTCTGATGACGAGAGGTTGAAATGAGAGTTGTTCTCTGTTTCACTGATCACCTTTAGTGACTGGAATTTCAATTTCTTAATCATTTCTGTCACTGCTTTGCTCTGTCTAAATATTTAGGCAGATCTGTGCAGAGTGGATTTGTCTGTTTGATGTGCTACATATATTTATGTATTCTGATAGTCAGTGAGGAAACCATGCCACAGAGAGCAGATGTGATGTGACAGTTGCCAAGTGTGGCTCTCACTTTTCCTGGCATTCCCTGGGCCTCTCAAAGGCAGTGCTGGATTCTGCCTTGGGACCACAGACTCCTGGAGAACTCGACCACCTGACTTTCCTCTTCTATGTTCATTTCCTGTGAAATATGGCCATATCCATGGCTTCTATTACTTTCCCAAACTCTGGCCAGATGCTCGATTCTATATCTGCAGGCCTAAACTCTCTCTGAAGTTCCAGAGCTTCCTTTCCGGTTACCCGTTTGTAGGAAGCATCCAAACTTGGATATTCAAAGTTAAATTGACTTCTGGCTGAAATGGTGACCCCTGAATTTCCTTGACTAAGGCTGCTGCCACCTACCTCCTAACAAAGCTAGAAAACTCAGAGCTTTCTTGAACCCTTCTCCTCTTTTGCTATCCACTTTAACTAATATACCAAGTCATTTAGATTCAACATTTTAAATATCTCTCATCTCTACCTCTCCGCTTCCCATCCCAGTTCCCACAGTTTTAGTTCCATCCTTCATCATTCCCTACCTGACAATTGCAACAGTTTAATGGGTGTTTCTCCAATTAGCTTAATTGGCCTCTTTCTCTGTTGATTCATTTCCTATGTGCCCCAACACTTAACCTTTCTAAGATTAACTTCTTATAAAGGATCCCGCACAGTCTATCTTTAATCCATCTTGTCAGACTCATCTCCCATTGCACAACTCAATCTTTTTTTTTCCTTCACTCCTATATCCATTCAGTCGGGAAATCCTCAAGGCTTTTTGATAAAATATATCTCACAGACCCTGCTGTGCTGTTCCCACTGCTAGTCTACCAAGATAATGCTGAGACTCATCACTCCTTGCCTGTACTTTTGTGATCATCTGAGAGTTCAGCTGATCTCCTTGTCTCCAGTACACCTTCATGTGTTTTTTCCTCCAGTATATCAATATATTTATTATTACAGCTTTATGTTCTATACTTAATATCTGCCACAGTGAGTTCTGCCCTATTTCTCTTTTGTCATCTCTCCCTCTTGTCATGAACTCATTATTTTCAAGATTACCAGCTATTTATAAACTTTAATTCCATGTATATGTTTAAGATCTTAAAATATTAAAATTACAGTAGGCAGATTAAGTTGGAGGAGAAATAACCTCTTTATAATTTTGAACTTTCCCCATTCATTAACATGGTATGTCTTTTTATTTGTGCATAAACATTTAAATCCTTTAATAGAGTTTTTAAATTTTCTCTATGAGGTTCTTTTTTTAGGTTAACTCTTAGATATGTTATTACTTTGTTGCTATTGAAAATAGTATTTTGTTTATATTATATTTTTCAGCTGGCTGTTGCTAGCATACAGGATGCTTTTTTGTGTCCTTTCAATTTTGGAACCCGGTTTATATATAAATGAGTTGGGTAACTTTCAGGCCTTTAAAATTTTCTGAAACATCTTTGATAAGAGAGAGAGTATCTATTCCTTGAAAGTTTTGTAAAATTTACTTGAGGCATGTGTGGGTGTGCATGCAAGAGGGGTGTGTGTGTGTGTGCGTGTGTGCACATTTAGGTACAAAGTTATTGATGACTATTTTAATTGATTATAGTTGATTCCAATTTTTTATTTCTTCTTGCCTCAATAATTTTGCTTGAGAAAGTTCTGCCTCCATTTTATTTGTGTAATCAAATTTATTAGCATATAATTCCTCATAATATTCTTTCATTATGTTTAAAATCTATTATATTTTTAGTTATTTTCCATTTTTATTCTATATCTTATTTATT
Organism: Homo sapiens; assembly: GCF_000001405.40. Lineage (NCBI taxonomy): Eukaryota > Metazoa > Chordata > Mammalia > Primates > Hominidae > Homo > Homo sapiens. Next base: position 117,306,740 of record NC_000001.11, on the reverse strand, counting down.
TGTATCTTACTTTTTCTCCCTCATTACTCTTGCCAGAGGTTTGTCTATCTTACAAATCTTTTTGAAGAAAACAATTTTGGTTTTGTTTTTCTTCTTTATTGTATTTAACTTTTTGAGTTGATGAGTTAATTTTAGTTTTTAGCCAAGGAGTATTTTTTGGAATGTCTCTTGCATGTTAAAGTTCCTTTAGCCTTGTTTACCCAAGAATATCTTTATTGAATCTTCACATTTAAATGGGAAAGTTTAGTTCTAGGTTAGAAGTCCTTTTATTTTTACTCCTTGAAAATAACACTCCATTATGCCAGGTGTGGTGACTCACGCCTGTAATCCCAGCACTTTGGGAGGCCAAGGCAGGCAGATCACGAGGTAGGGAGTTTAAGACCAGCCTGGCCAACATGGTGAAACCCCATCTCTACTAAAAATACAAAAACTAGCTGGGCATGGTGGTGCGTGCTTGTAATCCCGGCTACCAGCTACTCCAGAGGCTGAGGCAGGAGAATTGCTTGAACCAGGACCCGGGAAGCGGAGGTTGCAGTGAGCCGAGATCACACCACTGCACTCCGGCCTGAGCTACAGAGGGAGACTCCATCTCAAAAAAAAAAAAAAAAAAGGAAATAACACTCCATTGACATATTGATTCCCATGTCACAATTGAGACAAATGATGTCAAATGTATTTGTGTTACTTTGTAAGTCATATATTCTCTTTCTGCATGATTGTAGAATTGCCTTTTGGAATTATACTATAAATCCTAAGGGAGGTTTTTTCTGCCTTTTTTTTTTCTTGTTCTTTTGGTATTGTGTTAGTCTTTCTATCTAAAATATTTATTTCGTCTAAAATCTTTTATTCTGGGAATTTTAGGTCTTTTTTACTCATATATTATCTCCCATATCAATCATCTATTGCTAAATACATAACAAATTACCCAAAACTTAGTGGCTTGCAAGAACAACAGTTATTTCTTGTGGTTCTGTGAGTTGGCTGGGTGGTTCCACTGCTCTTCTCTGGCCATACTCATGTGGCTGCTTTCAGCTGAAGAGAATCCAGAGGGCTGGGTTCATCTAGACAGCAGTGGCTAGGCCCCTCTCTCCATGTGATCTTTTGTCCTTAAGAAAGCTATAGTAGGCTTCCTCAGATGGTCAAAGCAGCTTTTGGCACAAGTGCTTACTAAGCCTGTTTGCTTCAAATTTACTGGTATTTCATTGGCTAAAGTAAGTTACATGATCACATATCCCACCCCAACCCCAAAGCACATGTACTTAACACATTTTTGCTTGCATCACATTTATTGATGTCCCACTGGTCAAAATAAGGCAAATGATCAAGTTCAGCATGAATGTGAGATGGGATTGATCATGCATTGTAAGAGGTGAGATTCACTGAGGAGCATAGTTTTGCAATCTACCACAATTCCTTTGTCTTTCCTTCTGGGACTTCTATTACATGGATGTTAATATTTTTATTCTAATTTTTTTTCACTTTTTTCTTCCTGGTCCCTTGTGAAGTTCCTCAGCTGAATCTTGTGTTCACAAATTCAAATTTTTCTGAATCTATTCTGCTTTTTCTCTCTTCACTTAATTTCCTTAATTAAGCTGTTATATTTTTTCTACCTGGTATTTTTGCTTGGTTCTTTTAAAAATGATTGTATTCACTTCATGTTAACAATATACGATCAGGCCGGGTGCAGTGGCTCATGCCTGTAATCCCAGCACTTTGGGAGGCCGAGGTGGGTGGATCACCTGAGGTCAGGAGTTCGAGACCAGCCTGGCCAACATGGCAAAACCCCGTCTCTACTAAAAATACAAAAATTAGCTGGTCATGGTGGCAGGCACCTGTAATCTCAGCTACTTGGGTGGGTGGGTGAGGCAGGAGAATCGCTTGAACCTGGGAGGCAGATGTTGCAGTGAGCCGAGATCATGCCATTGTACTCCAGCCTGGGCAACAAGAGCGAGACTCCATCTCAAAAACAAACAAACAAAAAAAGCCAACAACAACAAATAATATACGATAATCTCTCTCTTTGATAGTATATGTTATGCCTATTTTAATTTTTAATTAATTAATTAATTAATTTTTGAGACACAGTCTCACTCTGTCGCCCGAGCTGCAGCGCAGGGGCTCAATCTTGGCTCACTATAACCTCCGCCTCCCAGGTTCAAGTGAGTCTTCTGCCTCAGCCTCCTGAGTAGCTGGGATTATAGGCATGTGCCACCATGCCCGGCTGATTTTTATATTTTTGGTAGAGACGGGGTTTCACCACGTTGGCCAGGCTGGTCACAAACTCCTGACCTCAAGTGATCCGCCTGCCTTGGCCTCCCAAAGTGCTGGGATTACAGGCATGAGCCACCATGCCCGGCCTATTTTAATTTTTTAACATCGATCCCATCTAGTAGGAGTGATGAAGTTTATTACCTTTCTTTTAGTGGTTGCATTCCTCAGTTATCTGGTATTTTTCACTGTAATTTCGTTTTGCCATGTAGGTGTCAGCTATTTGACAGGACATTTGACTTAGAGGGGAGAAGCCTAATCTCAGCCTCTCACTGGGGTCATTCCTGTTGATTGTAAGGAGGATGAAGGGAGTCAACGGATCAGAGCCTGGGTTTGATCATTGCTGGTTGTTGCCTCTTCATAAGGCGACCCTGCCCCCATAATCTAAGTCCTCATAGCTCTGTCCTAGATACTGGTTGAGGTTTTGTTGTTGTTTTCTTTTTCCATAGGCGTTGTACTGTCTTGATGGGAAGGCAGAAAGAAAGGGCACTGAGGTATTCCTTTCTGTTCCTGTCCATCCCTCCTCCTCACAGCAGGCTTCCAGAGTCATACAGTGAACATGCCACCCCTCTACTGGCCTAGAACTCAATTTTTCTGCCTCTCAATAATGTTGGGGCGGGCAGAATCATTTAAAAAGTTTTCTCTATTTTGAATCTCCCCCTGAAGGGGAAGTTGGCCAACTACAAACCACCATTTAGAGCCTGAGTCGACCCCTCCCAGCCTCAGCTGGGTCTATTCAGTTTATCCCCTTAGTGGAGTCCCCTCTTTTTGAGGCCAAGTATTTATTAGTCATCTCTGATTTCCCTGGCCCTTGGAACTGTCATATGTTCCTTGTCTTTCCTCTGCTTCCTTCTAATTTGTTGTTGACATCAATAAGGTCATTTTACTTGGTGCTTTGGCCTCACCCTCTGACATTTTGGAGTTTATGGAGGTGCCTTGATACCTGGTTTTATTCAAGATGTTATCTGCAGGTGGTTTTGTTTATTGGTTTTGTTTGCTGTCTTAATTGCTGTGTCTCTTTTTGTGGAGGGGAATCAGGGAGTTGAAAAAACCAGACCTTCTAGATAAAAGTCCTTAGACATTTGTCCAAACCCACAGAATGTACACCACCAAGAGTGAACCTCAATTTAAACTATAGGCTTTGCGTGATAATGATGTGCCTAGGTAGGCTCATCAGTTTTAACAAATATACCAATCTGATGCAGGATGTTGATGATGGGAGAGGCTGTGCATGCGTAGGGGCTGGGACAAAAGAGAAAGCAACGAAACTTTCTGTCTCCACTGTGTGTTTCCTTATGCAACCTTTTTCTTAGTTCATGTACAGGCCTCTCTCTTTTTGAGAACAGCCGAGGCTCCTTTCTGTCTCTTCCTTCAAGATGTTTCCCTAACCCAGAATACCCCTGGCTCTCCCCTCTGACTATTCTAGTCTTCACCATTCACCAGGGACCAGTTCAAGTCGTGCCTCCTCGAAGACTTCCCCTCTTATGCCTCTCCTTCAATATCTCATCACTAGAAACAGTTACATTTTTAGAGCACTTGAATTTAAATGCCAGGCACTGCTAAATGCTCTATCTATATTATCCTATTTAATCCTCACAACAAACCTAGCAGATACTACAATTACCATCCCATTGTATAGGTAAGAAAACTGAAACTTAGGTGAAACGTAACATGCACAAGGCAATGGTGAGTGGCAGAATTAGGATTTAAACCTAGATTGTGTCATTGTGTCTTCAGAGACCACCTTCTCAAACGTTTTGTTACACAGCGTCTCAGAGATGGCTACCATTAACTTTTCTGATGCACTTCCTTCCAGACATTTCTTTTTCTTTCTAAATATACAGATACATGTGCTCTTTTTCTCTCTCTTTCAGATAGGAAAAGTTATTTTTTGCATAAATTTTATGTAAAATTTGCATACATTTTTTCCTTGATTCTTAAAGTTATTAGCTACAGAACCAAGAACAGTCCTGCCTTTTGCCTTCCAACTAGATTTTAAATTCCTTGGTGGCCTCTTATTTCTGGATATCCCCTTTCACTACAATTAATGCAGTACTGAGCACTCAGCAGGTGCTTTAGAAATGCTCACTGAAATAAGAAAGGACAAAACAAAAAAAGGCAAATTTTCACATAGGGTATAATAGGTTGTCACAAAGGCCTAGGGGGCTAGGAGAAATGATTCTTATCTCTCTCTGATCTGTCACTTCTAGGTGACTTTGGACAAGATACTTAGGTAGGAAAGGTTGAGAAATGAACCTCCTGTCTCCACAGCTGTGGAGGAAGACCAGGCATATTTGTCACGGTCATCAACACACCTCCTTGGCAGGGAGGTTTGGAGGAGAAGGAAGATAACATCTATCAATTGCTCAGAGCTCCCTGCAGAAGCTAGACCACACATGTACCAAGGATAATTGCTGGGGGAGGGAGCAGGAACAGGAGAGCTGGTCCTTGTGCTCACCCAGCAGGATGTGAAAAATTCAGCTGGGTTCTTTTTATAGTTTCAATCATCCCTGGTAATGAAGATTCTGCAATTAGAACTCAGCTGGCAGTTGTGTTAGGGATGTGTGAGGCAGAATAGAATCCTGGGTCTGCAGGAGGGCAGGCCTGTTTGTCAGGACAACTTCAAGGCGCCGCAGGAAGCAAGTGATGTGATGTAAGGGCGAGAGTTATTTTTACAGACCACTTTCTAGCCATAATCACTCCTTAAATAAGTCCACTTGGGCATTACAACTTTAACATTCTATTTAGGCTAATTCAGCTCTCAATGATCTGTACAAAAGGAGGGAAGTATTGACACAGATAGTGGAAAACAGTGACACCTCATTTATTTAGGTCACCACTAATATGGAATTTATAATAATTTCACCCAGACTTGATTGGAGTTTACTTGTATATGTTTTGGGAAGAGAGCATTTGTTGAAAAATATTCAAAATGGGTTAGCCTACTTAACAAGGTAAACTGCTTTCAAATACTTAAGCAAAACAGTAAATAAACTTTTATTGGGCACTTACTATGTGCTAGGCACTGTGCTAAACCCTTCACATGTATTGTTAGCCATAATCCATTCAGTCACCTTACTAGATAGGCACTATTATGAACCCCATATTGTAGGTAACGAAGTGGGCCTCTTTTCCAAAGTCACATAGTTAGTAAGTGCCAGTCCCTAGATCTAACCCCAGCTAAACCTAAGCCACTTTTGCTCTCAGGCATGAAGCAATAAGTTGGTTACAAACAAGGCTCCTCTCATCACAGAACAACTCTGGTCATCTCTACATGGCATACCTGTTAGCAATTACAGTTATCATCACTGATTTTTAAAAATCTTTGTAGTAGGCCAGGTGTGGTGGCTCGCGCCTGTAATCCCAGCATTTTGGGAGGCCAAGCCAGGTGGACTTCACCTGAAGTCAGGAGTTCCAGACCAGCCTAGTCAATATGGTGAAACCCTGTTTTTACTAAAAATACAAAAATTAGTTGGGCATGGTGGTGGGCACCTGTAATCCCAGCTACTCGGGAGACTGAGGTGGGAGAATCTCTTGAACCCAGGACGCAAAGGTTTCAGTGAGCTGAGATGGAGCCACTGCACTCCAGGCGGGGTGACAGAGAGACTGTCTCAAAAAAAAAAAAAGACCTGCCCGGCCAGCCACCCCATCCGGGAGGTGGGGGGCAGCCCCTGCCCAGCCGCCGCCCCATCTGGGAGGTGGGGGGGCGCCTCTGCCCGGCCGCCCCGTCTGGGAAGTGAGGAGCCCCTCTGCCCGGCCGCCACCCCGTCTGGGGGGTGTACCCAACAGCTCATTGAGAACGGGCCATGATGACAATGGCGGTTTTGTCGAATAGAAAAGGGGGAAATGTGGGGAAAAGAAAGAGAGATCAGATTGTTACTGTGTCTGTGTAGAAAGAAGTAGACATAGGAGACTCCATTTTGTTCTGTACTAAGAAAAATTCTTCTGCCTTGGGATGCTGTTAATCTATAACCTTACCCCCAACCCCCTGCTCTCTGAAACACGTGCTGTGTCCACTCAGGGTTAAATGGATTAAGGGCGGTGCAAGATGTGCTTTGTTAAACAGATGCTTGAAAGCAGCATACTCGTTAAGAGTCATCACCACTCCCTAATCTCAAGTACCCAGGGACGCAAACACTGCGGAAGGCGGCAGGGCCCTCTGCCTAGGAAAACCAGAGACCTTTGTTCACATGTTTATCTGCTGACCTTCCCTCCACTATTGTCCTATGACCCTGCCAAATACCCCTCTCTGAGAAACACCCAAGAATGATCAATAAACACTAAAAAAATTTAAAAAAAAAGAAGTTAACTAGAATAAAGTAAAACTATAACAGTTGTCAAAAAAAGAAAAAGAAAAAATATTTGCAGTAAAGGATAAGAGGGAAGTGTCAGTTTCTTGCTAAATTATGAAATGCCTTTCTCATTCCTTGCTTATGTATGTACCTCCTGGTTCCTTCTCAATTGAATTTAAAACTCTTGATAACAACTCCTACGCTGTGACAACCATTCCACCTCCCTAAATTGTCTTATAAAAACAGAAAGCACACTGGCTCAAATTGACATTTCCATCCTGACAAACTTATCTGGGAGCTACAAGCTGCAGTTTGCTGCTAGAGTCATGTCTTTTTGTGGGCTAGGTAGATACTTCTTGTTCCTTCCTTAGGTAGAAATTCTGGGATCACATGTAGCATACAGACTGCCACATGCAGGGCAGTAGAGACCCCATGAAAATAAGAAAAACAGAAAGAAAGAAAACTTACTGTTTCTTAATGCTCTCATAGTTGTAGAATACAATAATCTATTTTATACTTTTTAGAGAAGATGTCCATTCATGAATGGATACGGATAGACCCATTCATAAATGCGTAAACTAAATTCTCACATGTAGGAGCAGTATGGCTTTGTGGATATATATTACTCTGATAAAATGTGCCAATATGCTAAGTCAAGCATAACCATTACAAAAGATGAGTAAACACACACACACACACACACACACACACACACACACGGCTGGGCACAGTGGCTCATGCCTGTAGTCCCAACACTTCGGGAGGCCGAGATGGGCAGATCACCTGAGGTTGGGAGTTCAAGACCAGCCTGACCAACATGGAGAAACCCAACCTCTACTAAAAATACAAAATTAGCCAGGCGTGGTGGTGCATGCCTGTAATCACAGTTACTGAGGAGGTTGAGGCAGGAGAATCGCTTGAACCCGGGAGGTGGAGGTTGCAGTGAGCCGAGATTGCGCCACTACACTGCAGCCTTTTGAAACTCCATCTCAAAAGAAAAACAAAACAAAACAAGCCCCCCCCACCAACACACACACATACACACACACACACACACACACACACACCCCTAGTGATTATAATTAATATATTGGAAACCTTTATCCTTCTGGTACCGTAAGCCTTTAAGTCAACAGTCAAAATGTGAAGTTTCATTTATGTTTATAGTTGTGACAAAGAAGCAAGCCGAAATAATGGTATTTAGTGCCAGCAATGTAAAGATCAATAAGCTGGTGATGTTTCCCTTCAAAGACTGGAGCAGCAAAGAAACTGAGTTGAAGCTGACAGACATTCAAGTGGCTACAACTAAATAAGAGTAGGTTTTGGGTGCTTTGTAAAACCAATTTCACTAATAGCATATGCACTCACACAAGATTTTTATAAAAGATAAGAAAAACGTTTGAAGAAAGTGTACTTTGGCCTTAGGTTGAATATTAGTATTGAGAAAAGGCTCCTATGTTAAAACAGAAAGGAAAAATCTAAATGTGGTTTTAAATATAGCCCCCTTTAGGCAGATTGTCCCAAACACATTTTTTTTTTTTATCCCTGGTCAATTTAATTGCTGGTAGATTTTTTTTACTTCAGTCCTACTACATTCAGTAGATACGAAACAGAATATGAGTTAATTTTAATTCGAGTAAATCTACGGTGGCAAAATCTATATTAAAAAGAATCACCAATGACCTTCCAAGGACAACTTCCTGAAGCCCTAATTTTGTGGTCATCTGCTGTTTTGAATGATATGTGCCAATACCCACTGCCCTTTGTGTGGATAATTAGAGCTGCTGTCCATAAACTATGCATGATAAATACCAGCAGGTACACATGCAGAAGTTGGGGCAACAGGAGCACCTTAGCATGGCTTCCCTTCGGGTAAATTGGGAGGGCTGCTTGATTTCAGGCCTGGGCTGGGCATGGCAGTGGATGGGCCTGGAGTTTCACTGATTCCTGGGCTAAGCGTAGGAAGGCAGGATATGAGGGATGTTCTGAAGAGGTAAACTGAAGAGGGTAGGTGAGAAGCAAGAACCAAATCAAACTGTGGCAGAAATAAAGGGTGGGTGGTAGGGAAAGGTAGAATGAAGAGCTGTGCAGAGCTGCCACCAGCGCATATGGTGGCATTTTGGAGAATTAAAAAAAGATGTGCCTCTAAGTGGATACAGCACAGTGACAGGGTTCACAGCTAGACAAGCGTGCTTCAGACTGGATTCTGTCCCATGGGCTAGGAGCTTACATTCAGAATGCAGCCTACATAACCATAGAAGGTACCCTGGAGTCAAGAGGAAGAGGCTGGAAAGCCTTCTGAGGGATGGTCGGAGAGACTTTGGAAAGCTGTTATGAAAGTAAAATTAAGAACAATATATACTTAGCATTAAAAAATATAGAAAGAAGTAAAAGTAAGAAGCTCTATATCCCCAAAAGCAACCACTCTTGACGCTTCCTTGAATATTCTGGAAAAAAAATGTCTAGCATAAAATTTATATGTATAACATTTCTATACTAGTATATAGATATGTACATTTACAAATAATTTTGTATTTACCTGAAGTGTTCCCATGATACATAGTTTCTGCACCTTACCCTTTTCATTTAATATATTTTGAAGTAATTTCATATGGTTTATGTTAATCCCTGTCTTTCTTTTTTCTTTCTTTTTTCTTCTTCTTCTTTTTTTTTTTTTTTGAGACGGAGTTTTGCTTGTTGCCCAGGCTGGAGTGCAATGGCATGATCTTGGCTCACTGCAACCCCCGCCTCCCAGGATCAAGCGATTCTCCCGCCTCAGCCTCCTGAGTAGCTGGGATTACAGGTGGGCACCACCACGCCTAGCTAATTTTGTATTTTTAGCAGAGAAAGGGTTTCTCCATGTTGGCCAGGCTGGTCTCAAACTCCGACCTCAAGTGATCCGCCCGCCTCAACCTCCCAAAGTGCTGGGATTATAGGCGTGAGCCACCACGCCCGGCCCATGTCTTTTTTTTTTTTTTTTAACTGGATGTGTGGTATCCCATGATATAGATGTACTGTAGTTTAATCAGTCTTTTGTTATTAGATATTTAGATTCTTTCTGATCTCATACTATTTTGATACTTCAGTAAATGTCCTTTATATCGCTCTTGATATCCTGGTTAAGTAAGGAGAATGAAGTGCAATCACAACAGTATGTCCAGTTCAGGCTACAGTGAGCTAAAAGCCGTGGTGGGAACTTGGCCTGACAAGTCTCTTGCCTTCAACAGATTTGCCTTACTTATGGTGGCTGATGCCAAATAGGCTCTGGGGGTAAAATGACAGGGTGGTGCATTGGGAAACACATGCCTTGCTTCTTGTAGGTCTGATATAACAGCAGCTCTCTTTCTGAAGAGACCCATAGAATGACCCACGCACTCACCCCTGCAGTGGCTGCCCTCACACCCTCTGCTTTACACAACTGGATGGGTTATGAAGCAGGTAAAATCTCTTTAACAGCGCTCTGCGGAAAACAGGCCTTGAGTGGCAGCTGTGGATCCAGCTCCACTTGGCAAACTTTTTTCCAAGAGAATGGATCTTTTGAGAATACCTCTGATGTTGTGGTTACAATCCATTTCAGAGCTTCTGTGCTCAATTTATACTTCCCTGGAGAGCTCAGTGGGCTCAGTAATGCTGAATTATACTGGCTCTGCTTCCAGATTTTCTAAAATGAGAAATTGAGGAAGAAGTTACATTAATGACCTTCCTTCTTCCTGAAATTTCAATCAAATGATAGGAAAGCAATCTGCATAGTAATGACAAGACCCCTCCAAGAAAATCCCTGTGCCCCAGCCAAGGAGAAGAACATGGAAGTTGTATCTATAATGAAATTCAGACCCTTCCACTTCTAAATCACAGGGAGGTTAATTCAGCCTGTGCAAACACAATCAGAAGTAGCATAATATAGTGGTCACTGGGACAGCTCACATTGTTCTTCTCCGTATGGAAGGGCAATAGAAAATAAACTGTCACCTGGACAAGGCTTGTGCTGACAGGGACCTTAATCTGGGACTGGTTGTTAAGGACTTTATGAAGGTACCACTGACCATTCTGAACTATGAAGGGAAGCCCTGCCTTTTTCAGCATCTAAGCAGAAAATATAATAGCCAGAGTTCTTGCCCTAAATTCTCAAACCAAAGGATTACACAACTAGTGGATGCTAATGGTGCTAATGGGTCACACTTTAGACGAGTTAGAGTTGTTCGGGAAGGGAGAGAAGTACACATTCCTAACCTTTTGAGAGTGTCTACCCACAGACCTCCATTGATACCTCTGCTAGCCAGAATGTGGTGCTGGGGGTATTTACTGTTATGACCTGGCGTGGCATTTCTCATGCTTTCATTGATTGCTCCAATGAAATTACATGGAGCCTTTACTTTCTGTGATTAAATAATATTAACTTCTCAAGATGAAATAGATCCGCACTCAATCCTCAGGGCTGTTAATGGCAACTAAAGAGCCACCACTTGGTGTCTACAACCTGCTGGCATTCAGCAAGATTCCTCGGTCTCCAAGTTGTTCCCTAGGAGCCCTCCTTGTCTCTCCATTGCTGAGTTATCTCCAGTTCTTCCCAAGCCAGCAATTAGAGGAGGCCTTGGCCATTGAATATGCCCATTGTCCAGCTGGGTTTTTCAAAAAAAGAGGCAAGCTTTATTCCTTTTCTGTTTACTCTTGACAAGTGCTCCAGCCCCAGAAAGGTTTCAGAGAATGGCTTTCTTCCTAGAGTTCCAACAGAACTCTTGTCTGTGTTGAGCTTGAGGTTCTGATTGGTCCTTATGCAGAGCTTTGTGAAGGGTGGTGTCATGTGTGAGGTGGGCCTGTGTGGAAATGCTGAGTGAGAGGCACTGAATGACACCAGGGATTCCAGTGAACTAAGACATTTACACCATAAAATACTGCTGCTGGATGGCATGCGCTTTAGTGCTGGATTTGACCCTGTATCCTTTGTTTCATCACCTTGGGGGATGTGTGTGTGTGTGTAAGTCAGCATACCTACTCCTATGTCCTTTCCAAACTGTTACATGCTGTATTAATTTCCTGTGGCTGCTATAACAAATTACCACAAATTTGGTGACATAAAGCAATAGCAATTTATTCTCTTTCAGTTCTGGAGGCCAGAAGTCTGAAATCAGCACCACTAGGCCAAAATCAGAGTGTTGGCAGGGCCGTGCTCCCTCCAGACACTCTAGGGGAGAATCCATTCTTTGCCTTTTCCAGCTTCTGGCAGCTGCCAGGATTCTTTGGTTCGTTGGCTGCATTGCTCCCATCTTCAAGGCTGGCATCTTCAAATCTCTCTCTGCTGCATCCTTACATGGTCTTCTCTGCGTGTGTGTCTAATCTCCCTCTGCCTCTTTTTTGTTTGTTTTTTGTTTTGTTTTTGAGACACAGTCTTGCTCTGTCGCCAGGCTGGGGTGCAGTGGCACGATCTTGGCTCACTGCAACCTCTGCCTCGCAGGTTCAAGTGATTCTCCTGCCTCAGCCTCCCAAGTAGCTGGGACTACAGGCAACTGCCACCACGCCCAGCTAATTTTTGTATTTTTAGTAGAGATGGGGTTTCTCCATGTTGGCCAGGATGGTCTTGATCTCTTGACCTCGTGATCCGGCCCCCTCAGTCTCCTAAAGTGCTGGGATTACAGGCATGAGCCACCGCGCCCGGCCTGCCTCTCTATTTTAAGGATACATGTGATTGCATTTTGGGCCCACTTAGATAATCCCAGATAATTTTCTAATCTCAAAATCCTTAATTACATCTGCAAAGACCCTTTTCCCAAATATGTTAACACTAACATATTTGAAAAATAGAGGTTAATCATAGAGATTAAGACCTGAGGCCCTTGGGGGATATTATGCAGCCTATTACACATGCTTCTTCTATGTATTTCTCATATTGCTCTGCATGCAAAATAGACACTTTATAGATTCTTCTTTAATTAAATCAAATCTTTATTGGAATGAACCCCAGAAGTCTGAAAGATTAGCCTGTGTGAACTCATTGGTCCAGTACCTCCCACCCACCAGATTTCCCACTTTGGTTTTTTGTTTTGTTTTTGAGACGGAGTCTCATTCTGTCACCCAGGCTGGAGTGCAGTGGTGCGATCTCAGCTCACTGCCTTCGCCTCCTGGGTTCAAGCAATTCTCATGCCTCAGCCACTCAAGAATCTGGGATTAGAGGCACGCACCACCATGCCTGGCTAATTTTTGTATTTTTAGTAGAGACAGGTTTTACCATATTGGCCAGGCTGGTCTCGAACTCCTGACCTCAAGTGATCTGCCCACCTCAGCCTTCCAAAGTACTGGTACTACAGGCATGAGCCACCACACCCAGCCCCAGATTTCCCACTTTGGGAAGAAGAAAATCACCTGAGTTTCATGTTAGACACTGTACCAGGCTTTCCCCATACTCTGACCCACGGAGTTCTTACTCTAGCTTGTGCCACCCACTGGAGCAAATCCCCAAAGAAGGAATGGAAAGAGAATGAGGCAACCAAGTAGAAGAGGAAGTGGGAAAGCAGTTTTTATGGTGTCGTTCTTTTGCTCAAAAGGTAGAGGATGAAATTGAAGCCATAGGGAAATGGACTAGAGCATGGATTCACATTCCTTCTGCTCATCTGCCCATCAAATCCTATTCACATGAAAAAGTTAAGTCCCGTGGATACAGGAACCTCTGAACATAATGGTCATGGGCATACAGCACATGTCTGGAATCAGGCCCTGGACCATTAGATTTCTTCTCAATGACCAATCAGGAATTCCAATTTTCCCTTGAATCTATGACAGCTTTTGTATCTTCAGACTTTTTCTGTGTAATTGATTTTTCATGAATTAACAGAACACACCTTAGTCTCCCACCCAGGAGGGCTGTACTGGCTTTGAATTTTCTATATAACAAAAAATCAAAGAGGAATCTGAAGTTTGGGGCTGGAAGAAGAAAATGTTTTGATTGAGGAGTAGATTGGGACTAACAAGAATGTAGAATTACTGGATAGCCAAGGGCCCAGGAAGTGAACAGACAGAGAAAGGGAAGAGGAGAGTAATATTCTACCTAAGGATTCTCATTAATTGATTACAATGGTTACAAAGATAAACATTCAGACTACAAGAGGTAAAGCTTAAGCAGCCAAGGGGGGAAGACTATTTGTCTGTTCTCCTTTAGTTTCAAGCATAATTACCATCCATAATAAAAAGACTCCCTCAATCACTTCATAGAATGTTTCCTCAGCTTCCTGATCTGGTGTGAAACCCAGTGTTCTCCTGACATATATTCTGACTGTAGCCTCCTGAATAGAGGCTGAGAATTTTTTAGTCCTATATACCAAAGAGTGGGAAGGTAGATAGTCAGCATTCTTCCAGGCCCCACGCTGCTTTTAGACCCGTACTACTCAATATTCATGCCATCTAGCTACTTTGTTCTCTGCACTTCCTTATCACCAACCCCACCAAAATCTTAAGTTCCTCCTCTCTTCCCAAACTCTGCCATCTTCCTAGATGACATCCGTGTGGAAAACCCATCTTAGACCTCGTTATGCCACTGACTCTATTCTCACCAAAGTCACATGTGACCTAGTCATTAAACCCAATGGAGACTTTTCAGTCTTTAACTTGCTTTCTGTATTTCTGGCATTTGGCATTTTGGGGTCATTTCCTCCTCCTAAAACCTCTACCCCTGGCTTCTACTGCTCTCTACTAGGTCTTCTCTCTCTCTGAATGCTCCTTCTTCACCTCCTTCATGAACTTTCTTTCTATAAGTCTAGACAATCCCCTAAGGTTCTCTCCTCAGATTGCTTTTTTTTGGTCTGTATAAGATCTCATCTACTTCCATGATTTCAATTACTATCAATACACTGATGACTCCCAGATATTCCTCTCCAGCTCAGAGCTCTACCCTGAGCCCCAGACCCGTATACAACTATTTACTGAACATTTTCACCTGCATGTTCTTCCAATACTTCCCTTTCAACATATTCAAACTGAACTCACTATTTACCACTCCAAGCTAGCTCCAATCTTATATTTTTATCTTTTTAATTTTCATCAATTTATGTATAATTGTTAGCGTCATTATGAACTTTTGTTTTTTAGAGATGAGGTCTCGTTCTGTTACCAAGGCTGGAGCATAGTGGCTGTTCACAGGCACAATCATAGCGTACTACGGCCTTGAACCCCTGGGCTCAAGCAATCCTCCTGCCTCAGCCTCCCAAGTAGCTGGGACTACAGGAACACAGCACTGTGTTCAGCTGTCACTATGAACTTTTGAATTCATTATTCTTGTTATTTGTAAAATAAACTTTGGGCCGGGTACAGTGGCTCATGCCTGTAATCCCAGCACTTTGGGAGGCCGAGGCAGGTGGATCACCTGAGGTCAGGAGTTCAAGACTAGCCTGGCCAACATGGCAAAACCCCATCTCTACTAAAAATAGAAAAATTAGCCAGAGATGGTGGCAGGTACTGTAATCCCAGCTACTCACGAGGCCGAGGCAGGGAGACTTTCTTGAACCCCGGAGGTGGAAGTTGCAGTGAGCCAAGGTCGCACCACTGCACTCCAGCCTGGGCCACAGAGTGAGACTCCATCTTAAATAAATAAATAAATAAAAATAAAAACAAAATAAATAAACTTCGTACTGAATTGCAAAACACAGAAAAATTCACAAATCCTAAGAGTACAGCTTGATGAATTATCACCAAATAAACATACCCATGCAATCATCCAGGTCTAGAAGTAAAGCATTCATGAGCATCTCAAAGGCCTACCTTGCATGCTTTTCCAATCACAAACTGCCCCTCCTCCTTAAAGGTAACCAATATATTGATACCTTACATCATAAATCAGTCTTGTCTACTTTTTTAACTTTATTAAAATGGCACCGTAGAGTAAGTATTCTTTTGTGTTTGGCTTCTTTTTGTGAGATTCATCCAAGTAATGGTTCTAGCTGTAGTGCATTCATTTTTATTCTTATATTGTAGTCCATTCTGTGCATATGTATTTGTTTGCACATTCTGCAGCTAATGGACATGTGGGCTGTTGCAAGTTTGGAAATATCATGGGTGTTATTTTGAACATTCCAGTGTGCCTTTTGGCACATATACCTCTGTAAGCTTCTGTTCTTGGGTCTGCCATTTTCAATGCTTTAATTAATGACTCATCAAATCCATGAATCATGCAAGCACATTGGATAGCAAAGTAAAAATTCAAGAAGCTGTTGATATGTTGTAATAATTGGCCAAAAGCTAATGAAGTTAAATTTAACAGGGATAAATGTAAAATTTTATATTTCACTTTAACAAATGTATTATTGCACACAATATTTATTAGTTAAAACTAAAAAGCCTAAATACCCAATAATATGGGAATGGTTAAGCAGATTATTATTTATCTTCTCAGTGCAATGCTAAGCTGTGTCCCAAAATGAGATCTTGAGAGTTATTTAAGCTCAAGACAAAGATAAAAGATTTATGATTTTAAAAAAAACGAGAAAAAGAATATGTATATAATCATATAATTATATATGAACATGGCAAAACTTTGAAAAACAGAAAAATGAGTGAGAATGGTGTGATTAGAAATTAAATTCACTTTCAAAATTGCCTTTAATATATTTATTTCAATGAAAATATTTTAAAATTATTAGATTTGTATGGGACGTGTGTGAGTAGGGGCAAGGAAGCAGAGATGTGAAAATTAAGTACCTAACCCCTCTAAGCCTAGGTAAGGATAATAATACTCCCATCTCATTCATTATTATGAAGCTTAAGAGTTATAAGTGCCCAATAAACATCAAAAAATCCCTGGCTGCTGGCACTAGGGAGGACGCGAAGGGCAGTATGAGAGTGATATAGGAAGGGTCCATGAACTAAACAGCATGGGGAAAATGTAGGGAGCATGTTTATGATAGAAACTTTTCTCTTCCTAGCCAAAGCCAAACAAACCAGCATACAAACCCCTCGATTACATGCAAGCTGTGGGAAGACAAGGAGGATGCAAAATGGTATGATTACAATGGTGAGGAGGTGATGGTGCAGGGCAGACATGATTGCAATTCCTGCTGGAGAAGCTGTGGCAGCTGGGGAGCAAGTCAGTTGCCCAGGTCCAGTGAAAAACGGGCATGCTAGGATGAAGGATGTCCTGGCAGCAGAGGCTCTGATGATTGGAACTCTCCATCTGTCCATTGAGTTTCCCCTCCAATGACTACAGATTTGTGGAGTTGCGCATGCACCCCTAGATAGGGGTTCTGGGAGACTTTTAGCTTTGATCATTTGAAACCTATGGATTTAATGTTTGTTGTATATTTTCTCTATAACTAAATCCCTCTCTACAAGTTATATCAATAGAATATATAATGTGGTTGGGCAAGCCACCACTTTTCCCATTTAGCAGCAAGTTGCATAAGTGCTTGTTCTAAGATGGTGATCATCTTTAAGCTGGTGACCTTCAACCCTCCTTTAGAGAGCTCTGTGACTTTGAACTTGATCAGTCCTACCCTTTATCTGACTCTGTCCATTGTGTCTGCACTATACTTACTCTTGAGTGTGAGTGTGTGTAAAATATAACATGCATACAGAAAGGTTTTTAAAATGAATATACGAGTTAACAATCTGTAAAATAAACCTCAGTGTAATCTACTTGTGTCAAGCCATAAAACATTACTAATAGCTGTAAAAACCTTTTCCTGATTGTAACCTCTCACTCTCCCTAAGAGTGAATACTCTCTTGATTTTTATAGTATTTACTTCCTTATTCTTCTTTGATAGTTTTAGTCCTAAAACTTGTTTAATTTTGCCTTTTAAAAAATTGTGTATAGAGCCAGGCTGGGTGACGTGTGCCTGTAATCCCAGCTACTCCAGAGGCTGAGGGGGAATGATTGCAAGAGCGTAGGAATTCAAGATCAGCCTGGGCAACATGGTGAGATTCAGTCTTAAAACAAAAATTGTATATAAAGTACATTATACAGTGTATATTCTGTACTGTTTGGCTCCTTTCACGTAATATTGTGTCTTTAAGATTCATCCTCTATATATCATGCAGCTGTACTTTTTTCCTTATTTCTCATAATACAGTATTTCATAGTATGAATAGATCACAATTTGTTATTTATTTCACTCTTGATAGACATTTAGGTTGTTTCCATTTGGAGTTATTATTCAGTACTGCTATGAATATTCTTAAACATGTATACTGGTGCACATAAACATATGTTTTATGAGGGTATATAACTTGGAGGTGAATTGCTGTGTCATAAATTATGCATATCTTGTATTTTATTTGATAATGTCAATCTGTTTGCTATAGTAATTGTGCCAATTTACACTTCCATCAACAACATTTGAGTTCTTGATGTTCTACAACCTTGAAAGCTTGGTTTGATACTCTAGTGAGGTATAGTGGTGTATCAGTATGGCTTTAGTGTACATTTCCCTGCTAACAAATGAGGTTGAGAATTAATGCTCATTTCATATTCATTATCTGTCAAATCTTCTGCCTGTTTTTTTTGTTGTGTTGTCTGTTTTTGTTTTCTTTTGACTGGTAGGTTCGTAGGAATTCTTTATGTATCTTAGATATGAACCCTGAACCCCTTGTTGATTACACACATTGAAAAATGGTGTTCCACTTTGAGGTTTGCTTTTTCTCTCCTTTAGTGATGCACTTTAATGAACAGAAGTTCTTGAATTTGATCTAGTCAATTTTTTCAAACTATTTTAATGTAGTCAACTTTTTCAAACTATTTTAAGTGCTTTGGGGATCTTGTTTAAGAAACCTTTCCTAATCCAGAATTCATAAAGATATTTTCCTATGTTATCTGCCAGAAGCTTTATTGTTTTACTTTTTCCATTCAATCTATAATCCACCTAAGAATGATTTTTGTATATAATGTGAGGTAAGTTTACTAACCAACTTTTGAAGGATTCTTTTATCTTTTGGAGAAGCTGACCTTCTGCTGTCCTGGTTTTACTCCTAAATTTGAGGCTAATCAAGGTGGTAGGTCTCCCAAACTCCTAACAGGTAAGTGATCTACCAGATCATCAAAATATCATAAAGAATATATACATATAATACAATTTATACATACAGTATGTATGTACATTCATACATAGTCATAATTATCTACCAAGAATAGAAAGAGGTATCCCTTTACAAGGAGAAAGAGATATAATGGTTAAGTGTGACTATGTTTTTGAGACAAGGCAGAAGATAAGAAATCTGAAGGACTGGTTATCAACAGAGAAATTAGGGATCTATTTATTTATTTATTTATTGAGACCAAGTCTCTCGCTCTGTTGCCCAGGCTGGAGTGCAATGGCACTATCTCGGCTCACTGCAACCTCCACCTCCCAAGTTTAAGCAATTCTCGTGCCTCAGCCTCTCGAGTATCTGGGATTACAGTGACGTGCCACCACGCCCAGCTAATTTTATTTTATTTTATTTTATTTTATTTTATTTAGACAGAGTTTCGCTCTTGTTGCTCAGGCTAGAGCGCAATGGCATGATCTTGGCTCACTGCAACCTCTGCCTCCTGGGTTCAAGCGATTCTCCTGCCTCATCCTCCTGAGTAACTGGGATTACAGGCATGCACCACCACGCCCAGCTAATTATATATTTTTAGTAGAGACAGGGTTTCTCCATGTTGGTCAGGCTGGTCTCGAACTCCTGACCTCAGGTGATCCACCCGCCTCGGCCTCCCAAAGTGCTGGGATTACAGGCGTGAGCCACCACACCCAGCCAGAAGTTAGGGATTTAATAGTTGGTAGGTATAGTGGACATTTGTTGTTTGTCCTGCCCAGAATAATATCGCGCTGCTTAAAGCCTTACTAACGTGTGCTTCATGAACTCAGGGCATTATCTGTCTTGCTCATCACCCTGTATTCTTAACGTTCAGCACAGTGCCTAGCACAATAGTAGCACTAAACAAGTATTTATTGAATAAATGAATGAAATACTCCTACTGTCATGATTCAAATGGAAGATATCATCTTTTGGTAGACCGCCTGCACAGCCTTAATAATAACTTTGTTGCATGCTTACTGTGTGCTAGACAAGATGCTAAATGATTCAAATTTGTCATCTCTTTTATTTCTTGCAACCATCTTACAAGATAGGAATGATTATTATCCCTATTTTATAGATGAAGAAACCAAAGGCACAGAAGAGTTAAGCAACTTGCATAAGGTATAGCTAGTAAGTGCAGGAGTTGGAACTTGAAATCACATCATCAGACCATAGAGCTTATGCTCTTAATCTTTCCATTGAATTGCCGTAGTGATTGATCTAAGCATGACCTCCTAACCCTCCAAGCTGAACCAGTAATGAGAAAAGCTAATGACTATTGATTACTTGCCTTGTGCTGGGTACCATATAAAATTGTTTACATATTTTCCTCATTTAATCGTGATATAAAACCTGTAAACCATTATTGTCCCCATTTTACAGATAAGGAAACTGAGGTAAAAGAGCTTAAGTAAATTGCTCAAGATCAATCAGCTAGTAGGCAGGGGAGCCAGTGTTTGAGCTCAAGCAGTTGGACTTCAGAACCCATACTGATACCCACCAGGCTATCTGCCTCTATTAAGACCTATTTCCCTTACCTCAGAAAGGTACACCTTGAAGAAGCAAGGCCAATCAGAGCCCTTCTCTGGGACCTTTGAACTAGAGACCATTGCTTTCTGGTAGGGAAGATGTGAAATTATGAGCCAAAGAGAGCCACCACCCCCATGAGGGGGCAGATCCCATCTGCAGTAGAAGAGTAAAGCTGACTGACAGAGAGAAATGCAAGAGGTGAAGGTGATAATCTTGATGGCTCTTTCATTCACCCTGCCCGGCCAGCTCTTCCTTTTGTTATGTGAGCCTTCCCATAAATTACTCCCCACCCTCCTTTTTATTCTGCCTAAACTAGTTCAAGCTGGGTTCTTGTCACTAGCAACCAGAATAGTCTCAGCTAACACAGAAGGCTGTGGTGTTCTCCCAAATGTGCTAACATTTATGAAAAAGCATCAAAGCCCTTTGGAGTTTAACACAAACTGTATTTCCTGACTTTCCATTTGATGCATGAATGAGGATGATGTCTTTTTATAAAAGTGCCTTCTGTGGGTTTATAAATGAATAATAAGTTGGATCTTCTTTGTTAAAGGCTGCAGCATCTTGCGTACATCTTTCCAGTGAAGCGGATGGCCTGATATATACTCTTCTAAACTAATTTTTTTTTTTTTTTTTTTTTTTTAGAGATGGAGTTTTGCTGTTGTTGCCCAGGCTGGAGTGCAATGGCATGATCTCGGCTCACTGCAACCTCCACCTCCCGGGTTCTAGCGATTCTCCTGCCTCAGCCTCACGAGTAGCTGGGATTACAGGCATGTGCTACCACGCCCAGCTACTTTTTGTATTTTTAGTAGAGACAGGGTTTCACCATGTTGGTCAGGCTGGTCTCGAACTCCTGACCTCAGGTGATCCACCCACCTCGGCCTCCCAAAGTGCTGGGATTACAGGTGTGAGCCACCACACCTGGCTTAAACTAAAAAAAAAACCTGCTTATCGAATATGTCAAAATGCAGGCTTTTTGTGATGGACAGCTCCTCTCAGCTAAACAGTGGTGTATCCTGGATTCCCACCAATACATGGTAAAATTATATTTCTTCACTGGGTTTTGAGACTATATAGCTCTCTAAGTCTCAGTCATCTTATCTACAAAATGGAGGGATTGGTCTGCAAAGGACCTTTAGGGCCTTTAGGGTCCTTTTCCCAACTCTAAGCTTTGTGGTTTAAAAAAACTTGAGGCTGATATCAACTCAAGAGGTACTAATGGTCATTTGCTTTGCGGACCTGCTGTTGGCTTAGGTGAGATGACACTTGCCATTTCAAAATGTGAAGATCTTTCTTTTTTAAGTTCACCTTTTCAATGTCTAGTGTCACATTTCCCCCAGAATATTCTACAGAATGGAATGCTAATCCTTGGAATTCTCTCCAATCAAGGAGTCATCGATCAAAAATTATATACCATATCCCCCTGGGAGATTAACAATTCACGTTATAAATTTAAAGGCCCTGAGCAATTTTTTAGTAAAGAAACCTGTGTAACTTATTTTACCCTAAGATTTTCCAAATACATTTAACCAAAGAACCCTTTCTACAAAAACACACAGTGATATCACATGTAGAACTGCTGGCTCAACATCTTCCCTCTGGTTCTGTACAGTAGAATAGATGTTATGACTGCCTTAGTGTGAGCATATTTAATAGGTAATAATGTTATATTTAATTACCCTATTTCCTGGGTGTAGCTTTTTGTGAATTGAAAAGTGATCACTAGGAGATTATTATTTGGTTCTATACTAGGTAGCATCATATATTAATTCTTCCCCTGAGCTCTAAATGGCTATAAAGATTCCCTTCAATTGACCAGAAGAGGGAAGCAGAGGACCTGAGATGGCATCTGAAGTCCCAGTAAGTGACTTGGGAACAAAGGAACACATGTAAGAAGATAAGGCAGCATCAGTTCAGGAGCTTGTCTTGGAAAGATCATCTCCCAAGCAGACTGAACCATTCACATTTCAACCACATCATCTTCAGAATGCGAAGGCCCATTATTGGAAGCCATCACCTCATACCATTATGCATTTCCTAGAGCTTCCATAGCAAACAGGTCTCCTTAAAGTCGGGGAGTACCAGGAGATCATCAGGATGGGGCTGATGGAGACATCAGAAAACAGTGAAGCAAGGCCAGTAGACCTGGAGATTGCAGCAACAGTTCCCAAGAGCTGGGGCTTCCTCACAGCTGTGTGTGTTTGCATCTTCTGGTCCCAAGAGCAGCCACTGCTCAGGTAGGCTCATAGCAGATTATTCACCTGCCAAGCCATTAGCCAGACATGATTTTAGAATGGCAGGCCCATTATCACCCATGTTATTTGAATTGGAAGACATGGTATTTGGGGTTGGGGGTAGTATTGGGCTTGGGCTCAAGGTTCTGAACACCCAAATCCTGCCTTGCCAGAGCTTTGCCCTTGTCCATGAGTGCCACAAGGGAGACATCATGCTCAGAGGACAGGGCCAGGCAAATGCATGCATTTTATAAGAATGTTTTGGCTTCAAATACTACCCTAGGCCATTGCGAAGCTAGGGATAACCACTGAAAGATTCTTTTTGTCTAATCTAAAGGCAAAATTAATGCTAAAACTAGGCCCTGGCTAGGTGTCTTGGCTCATGGCTGTAATCTTAGTGTTTGGGGAGGCTAAGTGGGAGGATCACTTGAGGCCAGGATTTCGAGACCAGCCTGGGAAACATAGCAAGACCCTTAAAATAATAATAATAATAATAATAATAATAATAATAATAATAATAATAATAAAATGTCCAAGTGACCGTCTTGGTACTTTCCCCCTAAGTTTATACCTCTTTCTCAGGCTTTGTTATTTTAACTTTGTGACAGCAAGAAAAGATGAATCCAAGGAAAACCATGCCAACGAAAGGAGAGAGAAATGAGCCTCTCTTTAAAATCTGGAGCATAGGTGGTATAAGTGTGCTTTTCGCACACCAGAGGTACAAAAGAGAAATTCCCAGGACATGAACACCCAAAAAAAGAATGTGGCCAATAAAATACCTTTGAACTTGACTCATCCTCATTACCCTTTTTATCACTCTCTTCCTTGGATGTATAGGTGGGAATTAATGGGGGAGAGTGGAGTGAGGTAAAGAGAATCGAGTGAAGACCGCAGAGGAGGCCATCCTCTCACTTGGCCTTCCTTCTCCTCCCACTGGCCTCCTCCTCTGCTCCTTTCTACCCTATGCCAACCTGTCAGAGCCCCTAAGCATAAACGTCAGAGTCACTGTGTTGAAATGTCAGTATCCATGCTATATTCTTTTGCACTTTGTTTCCCATCTCTTGGTGGTTCTGTAAGAATGAGAGAGGAGTTTTGGTGTTACTTGGTGGTATCACCCATCTTCTCCTCTGTGAGGAACCCAAGAATATCTGAGTCCTTAAATGGTCCCATCTTGCCTTTAGTGTCTCAGGGGAGTTCTGTGCCAGGAAAGGAACAGCAGGAAATGAGAATCAATGAATTATATGATTACTAGCTAAGTCAGCACCTGATAATTCCCAATGC
This sequence comes from Homo sapiens, assembly GCF_000001405.40. Lineage (NCBI taxonomy): Eukaryota > Metazoa > Chordata > Mammalia > Primates > Hominidae > Homo > Homo sapiens. The sequence goes on along the minus strand of NC_000001.11, from coordinate 117,283,104 downwards.
AGCGTTTTCTGGTAAAAGATGAACTTGAGCATGTCTTAAGCCTCAGTGTGTAACTGGGATTTTTTATTTCTCTTCAAATGGAAATTTTAGGCATATTGTTTGATAGAGAGATCCAACCTTTGAGAGGAATACTAAATGCATTTACTCTCTAGCATCAGGTTGAGGAAGACCTAAGAGATCTTATGTCTGCTTACCACTGGGAGATAGGAAGCAGAAAATGCGGGAAAACAGGAACTGGGTGCTGACATTTTGAGACAGTGGCCCTGCCCACTGATTACTGGGGCCCAGTCAAAACCTTGGACTGTGATCAATTGGCTTCCAGACCTTCTTCCCTTGAGTAGAGGAGAGTAGGGGAGCTGCAGGGGATGTGAACAGAGGCAGAATCTCCCTCATGAAAGAGGGAAGTCCTCATAGGCAGGAAGTTTCCCTCACAGTTTTTAAAATCTGAAAAGAAGTCATAGTAGATTTTTGACTCCTAGGAAGGAAATCACCATTTACTGAACATCAATTATGCCTTCAGTCATGCTAGGCAAGTTTCATTTGTTGGTTTCTTAGTTGAAAGTAAAAAATAATTCTGACTTACTCAAAGCAAAAGAGGAATTTATTGAAAGGATATCAGGTAACTAATAGAATTCTAGCCAGTGGGCAAGCAAGCTCAGATACTCTGTAGTCAAAATCAATTCCAAAAATAAAACTATCCTATATTTGGCTGGGGAAGACTATTCAAGTTGGTTCATAAACCCACTGAAATGATAACTAATAATTTGGTTGCTACCAGGGATGACAAAATTTTATATGTACAGCTTTTACATTTCCCTTCTCAGGCCTAGAGTCAAAGATTTTTTTCTAAGAATCTCTGGTTCATTTGAATAGGAAATGGTATTATAATCTGGGTACTAGTGGTCTCATTGCTACTGAGTTTATCTTTTCTTTCAGGCCTTTTCAATGGATAGATATAATATATATAAATTATATAGTCATATATAAAGTTATATTACAAATATGTATGTGTGTGTGTGTGTATATATATATATGCTCATACTGATAGTTTCTACTCACATTTAGGACTACAGGTTTTTCACTTAGTCTTAGCTATCTTACATCTGTATTTCGTTTCTCCTATGTGAAAATTTTCAATTTTCAATGGTACTTGTTATTGGACTGAACTGTGTCTCCCAAAATTCATATGCTGAAGTTGTAACCTCCAGTGACTATATAGTTGCCACTCCATATCTGTGGATTCCACATCCATGGAGTCAATCAACTGAGGATCAAAAATATTTGAAAAAAATTATAATACAGTATTAAAAAATAACACAAATTAAAAAACCAATACAGTATAACAACTATTTATATAGTATTTACATTGTATTGGGTATTATAAGTAATCTAGACATGATTTGAAGTATATGAGAGGATGTAGGTAGGTTTTATTTAAATAAATAACATTTTATATTATATATGAAATACACTTTATATAAGGAGCATAAGCATCTGCCGATTTTGATATGGTGTGTAGCCCTGGAACTAATGCCCCATGGATACCAAGGGATGATTGTATTTGGAGATAAGGCCTTTAGGGAGGAAATTAAGGTTAAATGAGATCATAAGGGCGAGGCCTTAATCTGACAGGACTGGTATCCTTATAGGAAGAGGAAAAGTCATGTCCGGGTACAGTGGCTCACACCTGTAATACCAGCACTTTGGGAGGCAAGGGTGGGAGGATTGTTTGAGGCCAGGAGTTTGAGACCAGTCTGGGAAACATAGTGAGACCCTTGTCTCTATTATAAAAAAGGAGAAGAAGAAGAGGAAGAGACAGTGATCTCTCTCTCTCCTTCTCTCCCGGTGTGCAAGGAGGGAAGGCCATGTGAAGTCATGGTAAGAAGGTGGCTGTCTACAAGCCGGGAAGGGAGGCCTCACCAGAAACCAGCTCTGACAGAATCTTGATCTTGAACTTCTAGCCTCCAAAACTGTGAGAAAATACATTTCTGTTGTTTAAGCTCCTGGTCTGTGGTATTTTGTTACAGCAGCCCTAACACACTAATACAGTACCATAATTACTCTTTTCGCTTTATCCCACAATGCCCACATGATAATACCATTGCCACCACTAACAACATGATTACTGTGAGTAGTTTAACATTGTCCTATGTCATTCTTTTTGCTTTTAGGGTATATACCACTAGTGATATACAGTCAAATTACTATTTCTGAAAGTCACTTTTTTTTTTTTTTTTTTTTTTTTTGGAGACGGAGTCTCGCTCTTTCATCCAGGCTAGAGTGCAATGGCGCAATCTCGGCTCACTGCAAGCTCCGCCTTCCCAGTTCACGCCATTCTCCTGCCTCAGCCTCCCTCTGAAAGTCACTCTGACCAATCTCTCTCTATGTGGTTATGTCACTATTTAGATACATGTTAGGATTGTTTCCTTTTACTTTCCACTTTTAGGGATTGCTTTTTTTAAACTTTAAGTTTGTTTCATAATTATGTAAAATATTACATGATTCTAAAGTCATATCTAGAAGACATGCTTTCCTCATAGAATGCTAACATTAGCATCCTTATGCTCAACTACAACTCTGGTTTTTCAGACGATTCAGAATATATTTGGGTGGCTATATAGCAATCTTGGCCACAGTGTTAATTTATGTTTTCTCTCTGATGACTTTTTTTTTTTTTTGAGATGGAGTCTTGCTCTGTCACCCAGGCTGGAGTGCAGTGGCATGATCTTGGCTCACTGCAACCTCCACCTCCCGAGTTCAAGCGATTCTCCTGCCTCAGCTTCCCAAGTAGCTGGGACTACAGGCACGTGCCACCAGGCCCGGCTAATTTTTGTGTTTTTAGTAGAGACAAGATTTCACTATGTTGGCCAGGCTGGTCTCGAACTCCTGACCTCAGGTGATCCACCCACTTCAGCCTCCCAAAAAGCTGGGATTACAGGCGTGAGCCACGGAGCCCGGTCACTCTCTGCTTATTTTTATTTTCTTTTTCTTTTGTTTTTAATACTTTGCCATAATGTGCCTAGTTTTGGATTTATCTATTTTTATCCTGCTGAAGATTTAATGTATTTCTTGAATATAAAGATTTACATTTTTATTGTTTCTTAATAATTCACAATAATTTTATCTTCAAATAATTCTTTCTCATTTCTCCTAATCTTTCTTTTGGGAACTACAACTAATCATTCTTTCTTAGTCTGTTCTTCCTAACTCTTAACTTCTTTTTCATATTTTTTATCCCTTTATCACTTTGTGTTACATTCTGGTTAATCCTCTAAGATTTACCTTCTAGTCCATTGATTACTTCCTCAGTTGTGTTTACATCTGCTATCTAATTTTTCCTTTGAATTATAATTCCAACTACTACATTTTCTTTTATAAAAGTTTTTTTAAAAATCTATTTCCGGCCAGGCGCGGTGACTCATGCCTATAATCCCAGTACTTTGGGAGGCTGAGGCAGGTGGATCACGAGGTCAGAAGTTTGAGACCAGCCTGGCCAACAAGGTGAAACCCCGTCTCTACTAAAAATACAAAAATTAGCCAGGCGTGGTGGTGGGTGCCTGTAATCCTAGCTACTTGGGAGGCTGAGGCAGGAGAATTGCTTGAACCCAGGAGGCGGAGATTGCAGTGAGCCGAGATGGTGCCACTGCACTCCAGCCTGGGTGACAGAGCAAGACTCAGTCTCGGGAAAAAAACAAACAAACAACAACAAAAAAAACCATAAGAAACTATTTCCCTTTGTCACTTTCATTATTAATATTGTTATTAGAGACAGGGTCTCGCTATATTGCCCAGGCTGGAGTGCCTGGGCTATTCACAGCCACCATCATTGAGCACTACAGCCTTGAACTCATGGGCTCAAGCCATTCTTCTGCCTCAGCCTCCAGAATAGCTAAGAATACAGTTTAATTATTTAAAAAATACTATTTTTATAGTCTCTTCAGATTGTACTATCGTCTAAAATTTGCAAAGCTACTTAATCCTACTAGTCATTGAGTTTATTGACTTTCCTAAATAGGGCATGAGTTAGTTGCAGGGTAATCTTTTATTGTAAGCTGATCTTTAGTAAGGATATTTTATCCCTTTGGGCTCTCTTTGTCCTCTAAATCATAGGTTGGCAAACTTTTTCTATATAGGGCCAAATAGTAAATATTCTAGTCTTGGCAGGCTACACAGTCTCTGTCTCTTCCTCCTTCTCTTCTTCCTTTTTTTTTTTTTTTTTTTTTTTTTTTTTTTTTAGTAATAACCTTTTAAAAATGTAAAATCCATTCTTAACACACAAAGTCTACAAGAGCAGGCCATGGCAGTATTTGGCCCACGGGCCTTAGTTTGCTGACTCTGGCTCTAGACGTTGGAAATGCACGCTTCCCTCTGCCAAGTTGATTTGCTGGCTTCAAACCAGTTTACGTTAATTTCTTGGACTTGAGGATGCCTATGCCACCTGCGTAGTTTATATTTTGGTTTAAAACAGTCTTGAGGTTTTGGTTTTTAAAGGAATAATTTTTCCTCTGATCAGAGTCCTAGGCAGATTCAAATTTCCTTATTGCTCTTCTGGGCAGAGAATTTCTTGTTTCTAGTTCACTGGAGGGTACCTCTCAAGGTCCCCATTTTATGCAGTGATCTTAGTGATAGCTTACCACCTTAGGCAGGCCCCAAACCATATCTGTCCTTTCCCTGAATGATTATTAGAGCCAATATCTGGATTTGATACCCTCACTCCTGTCCCCAAAGTTATCACTATATTATTTCATTATTTCATAATTCTGGCTTTAAATTCCTTTATTGTTTACATATTATTGTTTTTCTTTTTTTTCAGCTTAGCTATTCTTTTAATTATATGCATCATATATCATTTACCATTTCTCCATATTGAGTGAAGCAAGGCATCCACATTAGTTTATTCCTCCAAGCTGCCAGAGTAACGCTAAATCAGAAAAGGTATTGAATTTTATCAAAAACCTTTATTCATTCATTGTGATTATAAGATATGTCTTATCCGCTGTGAAAAAATGATGTAACATGTTATATTAATATTTTTTCTAAGTTATCCTTGTATATCTGGAATGAAGATTTCTTGGTTATGAAGCATAGTCATTTAATATTCTGTGGATACAATTTAGTAGGTTTATGATTCCAGATGTATAAATAAGATTGATCTAAAGTTTGATATGCTTTTCTTTTTCCTGTTTCTTTTCTTTTTCTCTTTTGTATTAGAGTTATCCTAGTTCTGTTAAAAATTGTGTAGCTGTCTATATTCATTTTTATATCTATATGTGTTTTTAAAAATTATTGATTAGATGCTTATCTTTTGTACTTTTCCTCCAGAGTAACTCAATCTTGGATTTATCAATCTTATCTTTTTTGTTTGATTTTGCACTTATTTATCTTGGTTGTCATCTTCATAATTTTCTTTCTCCTTTTCAAAGAATTTTCTATGAATAATTAAAGTATTTTCATTTTTGCACTTCCTGCATCCAGTTCTCTAACTTGGGTATACAGTGTAGGTCATCTCTCTGCTGGAATGTTCTTTTCCAAGATCTTCACAGATGAATTCTTTCTAATGTTCAGATCTCAGCTTAAATGCCACCTCAGAGAGGCCTTTCCAACCCAAAGTAGTGCCACTCCTATGGCAGTCACTCTCAGTCACATCATTGTGTTTCATTGTTATTTAAGCAAGTGTTACCGCCTGATATTTTCTTATTTATTCATATACTTGTTTATAAGCTGTCTTCCCCACTGTACTGGTGGAATATAAGTTCCATTAGAGCAGTGTTGTGTATCCTGCTCTTAGAACCGTATATAGTATCTAGCAGGTAATCAGTAACTTGGGTTTATTACATGAGTGCATAAAACAGTTCTCATTTTATTATTATTATTATTTTTTGAGATGAAGTTTCGCTCTGTCACCAAGGCTGGAGTGCAGTGGCACAGCCTTGGCCCACTGCAACCTCCACTTCCCGGGTTCAAGTGATTTTTCTGCCTCAGCCTGCCAAGTAGCTGGGATTACAGGCACCCACCACCATGCCCGGCTAATTTTTGTAGTTTTTAGTAGCAACGGGGTTTCACCATGTTGGCCAGGCTGGTTTCGAACTCCTGACCTCAGGTGATCCGCCGGCCTTAGCTTCCCAAAATGCTGGGATGACAGGTGTAAGCCACTGCGCCCAGCCTCATTTTATTGTTTTAATAATAGCCTATATCTAAAATTTTTATTCTATTTTGTCACAATAACTGTTTGGGAGTTTGCCCTCCACCTTAAAGTGGATGGTTTATTTGCTTGTTTAATTTCAAGTTTTATTACTTTGTGACATGATAAAATGGCTCATATAAATTTCATGCTTTGAAATTTACTGAGTTTATCTTTGTGTCCTATTTGTGATCTTTTTTTGTAAATGTTTCACAGAAGCTTAAAAAATGGCATACTTTCTTTTTATAAAGAAAATTCTATGATTTAGATCTTCTAATTTTTGTTGACAATTTTATTTATTTGAGCGGTCAGTTTGAGATATTTGTGTTTAAACGTCTCCTACAAATATTGTGTTTCAAGCATTTTTTCCCCTTATGTTTCTAACTATTTCATTATTGTCACATAAAGATTCCAGCTGTTAGATCTTTATTGTGGATTGTACCTTAATTCCATATAAAATGTTTTTCTTTGGCCCATTTGATGCTTTTTATCATAAATTCTATTTGCCTGAAATAAGCCACCCAGTCCTCTTTTTATTTGTATCTGTCTGAAGAGACAATCTGGGAACCTCTGGCCTAGAGCTCTGATGGCTCCAAGTGCCCCTTTCCTGATGTGCACAAAAGGATAAAATGATACTCTGAGGGCCAGCTGAATTTGAAGGGTTATTTAATGCACTGTATGTTTCAAAGCCTTCTCTTGCAGGAAATAAAAGACATCCATGGGTGAATCCCCAGGAGTGCTAAACTGACAACTTTACTAGGGCCAGAAATTATATACCTATCACCCAGCTTAGAAATGTCCTACAATATCCAGACATCAAAACTGCCTCCATAGTAGCTACAGTTGAGATTCACCCTTGACTATGTAATTGACTCTTTTGTGATGATGTCCCTGATGCTGACTATGATTTGAGATAGCCAGAGAGGTTCCTAAACATAGCTAAGGGAGAAGGCTAAGGGGCAGGTGCAGGAAGGCCCGTGCACTGGCAGGAAGGTCTATTTCCCAGATTCTCTCTGGCTTTAGTTGGTTAACAGTGGTTTGAGACATTCGTGATAGTTAATTTTATGTGTCAACTTGACTGGGCTAGGCATGCCCAGGTGTCTGGTGAAAACATTATTTCTGGGTCTGTCTGTGAAGGTGTTCCTGGAAGACGTTAGCATCAGAATATACGTATGCAAAATTAAGAAGATCAGCCCTCACCAATGAGGGTCAGTGTCATCCAATCTGAAGATGGCCAAAATAGAACAAAAAGGCAGAGGGAGGGTGCATTTTCTCTCTTTTGTTTAGCTAGGACATCCATCTTCTCCCGCCCTCAGACATCAGTAGCCCTGGTTCTTGTGCCTTTGAAATTGGACTAGAACTTACACAACTTGCTGCCCTGGTTGTCAGGCTTTCAGGCTTGGACTGGAACTATGTCACTGTCATTGTGCAGCTCCAATTTGCAGGCAGCAGATTGTGGGGCTTAGTTTTATAATTATGTGAGTTAAACCCACATAATAAATCTCTTTCTATATTTGCCTGTATATATCCTATTATTCTATTTCTCTGAAAAGCTGACTAATACAACATGCTCATGTACTCTTACAAAATCTTAGTTTTGGTACTGGAGCGTGGGAGTAGAATATGCCTGAGAAAGTTCATGAAGCTCTTGTCATGGGGCAGAGCTCTGAGAAGTCATTCTCCAGAAAACAAAACCAAAACAGTTTTCAGGTTTGGCTTCACAGCGTCTGTTTATGGTAGCAAAATAAAGAGTAAGCAATATTATAGTAGCAGAAGACCTGTATGATTATCTGTGACTGTCACTGGCTTGTCATATGTCACTTTTCATTATGAAAAATAGGCATGAGAAGGGCAAGGAGAACTTCACTTCTTAAGAGACTTCAGCAAGTGGGTGAGAAAAATGTGCTAGTTTGTGAAGTGTTGAGAGCAGTTTGAAAGAAAAATGCAGTTAAACAAAACAAAACAGTATAACCAAGCTATAATGAAAACTGTGATTACCACTCTGCTGCCCCTTCAAAGAAGGGCTTCTTGTCCCAGCTGCTGGGAGTGCTGTTGGCAGATGACCTTCAGCTGCTTTCACTGCAGGATGCTTGCACATCTAGGGTACCCCCTTTCTTCAGGTGACCCACATCTAGTGACTGATGGGGGGATTAAAGGCCTTGCCAACTTTGGGGAAATATATATATATATATATATACACACACATCGCCCAGGCTGGAGTGCAGTGGAACAATCATGGCTCACTGCAGCCTCAACCTCCCAGGCTCAAGCAATCCTCCCACCTTAGTCTTCTGAGTAGCTGGGACCACAGGTATGTACCACCATGCCCAGCTAATTTCTTTTTTGTTTTTGTTTTTGTAGAGATGGATCTCCCTAATCTGCCTAGGCTGGTCTCAAACTCCTGAGCTCAAGCGACCCTTCTGCCTCAACCTCCAAAAATGTTGGGATTACAGGTGTAAGCCACTGTACCTGGCTGGGAAATATAATTTTTTGAAAACATCTTCTTTCTGCCCAGAAAACCTCTGCATGAAGATAGTGGAGGAAAAAAACAGTTGTGTTATTAAATAAGCATTAAACCAGAATGTGATACACATCACAGGCAATCCACTAAGAGACTGCAGAGACAAAAAGGTATTATACCCCTTTACATAGGAATCTCAGTCTGCTTCCTGCTGCTATAAGAGAATAACACAGTCTGGGTGCAGTGGCTCACGCCTTTAATCCCAGCACTTTGGGAGGCCGAGGCGGGCGGATCACCTGAGGTCAGGAGTTTGAGACCAGCCTGGCCAACATGGCGAAACCCTGTCTCTGCTAAAAAATACAAAAATTAGCTGGGCATGGTGGCAAGCACCTATAATCCCAGCTACTTGGGAGGCTGAGGTGGGAGAATCACTTGAATCTGGAAGGTGGTGGTTGCAGTGAGCTGAGTTCGTGCCACTGCACTCCAGCCTGGGTGACAGAGCGAGACTCCGTCTCAAAAAAAAAAATAAAAAAAACAAAAGAGAATAACACAGACTGGGTAATTCATAAAAAAAAAAAAAATAATAGATGGTTATTTGGCTCATGGTTCTGGAGGCTGGAAAGTCCAAGAGCATGACTGGCATCTGGCAAGGGTTATCCCATGGCTGAAGGCATTATACGGTAAGCAAGCAATGAGGCAGAGAGAAAATGGGGTGATGTGTATTATTTTATCAGGAGCTCAATCCCAAGAAAACTAACCCACTCCTGAGATAATGGCATTAATCCATGCCTGAGGGTACAACCCTCATGACCTAATTACCTCTTAAAGGTCCCACCTCTTAACACTATCACAATGGCAATCAAATTTTAACATGAGTTTTGGAGTGGACTTTCAAACCGTAGTAATAGCCAAGCAGATACGACAATTATGAACCTGTTTTTGAGATAAATAATAACTAGTTCTCAAGTAAGACGACTTGTCACACATCATTTATCCTAACTTTATCATGGTAATTGAGGGACCACCTATGTTGGTTTTATCCAGAGGAGAAACAAGTTTCTTATCTCTTTCCAACAGGACATAGTTTTGCAAGGCACTAAGTACTCACTAAAGTTAGGCTAGTAGGGGAGGAAAAAAAATAATGTTCTCTAAACTGGGACTTCCTATAACAAAAGATAGATTAACAAGAGAAATACAGACAGAAGCTTATTAAAATGTATACCTCACATACACATGGGAGAAAACCCAGAGAAATCAGTAAATCTCTGGAGTATATCTCAAAGAAAGCATTTAAATTTCAGGCTTAGATGCCATCTTTCTCTGGAAGGAAAGATGTGGAGGAGGGCCTGGTTTAGATGAAATGACCTGGGAAAGCATCTTAAACAAAGGTAAGGTTTGTTTTGCAGATTTAAGTAGATACCTTCTCCATTGTTTAAGAGTCTCTAGTGATTTAGTCTTCTTTTCCTGGTGCAAAGATGAAGAGACCCTTGCAAATGGTGATTTCCTTTGCAGATATATGTTTCTCTTATGAACATCCATCTTTTCAGAGCTACTCCTGTGTCTTCAGTTTCTCAAAATAACCAGCTCAAAATAATCAATATGCCAAAGAGGCATATTTTCGGGTGACATATTCTAGTTTCCTACAGTCTTTTTTTGAGTGTTGTGTCCTGAGCCCCATCAGATTCTAACTCTTCCATAGAAGTGGAAGATAGAAAAGCAATTTTTTCCTGATGTTTGCATTTAAAAAGATGGCTTTGAGGTTCTTGAGGAAATATTTCTGAGTTATGAGACTGGCAAGAATCTTACTTAGCTACTATAAAGATTTATATACAGTTGCAAAGGATAGATAAATTCTGAAAATTAAAGGGAAATGGGGAGAACTCTTCCCTTATTTTCAATTACAGGAATTGAAATAAGAATTAAGACTCTTATTTCTGATTTGTATTTGCCCTTGTGCTGTCTTGCTCCAACTCAGGAAACTATGAAAGGCCATTCTATGTTCATGACCCCTGGAGGAGTTTCCAAGGCTGTCATTGAGACTATGTAGCCAGACTTCATTGAGACTGGATCCTAACTGCAATATGAGCAATGCAGACTAGTAGATGTGATCTGCGGGACCAAAATAGATGCCCTTTTATCAACTAAGATGGATCCCAAGGTTAAGAAAACAAAAGTTACCTGTGAGTCAAGGGTCCAGAGCTTGGCTGGCACAGCAACTTCCTAAATTCTGACTACAAGAAAAACCTTGAGCATGTTAAACTCCCTAACAATAGGTGCTATCAGGCAAATTCCTAACTCTGATTTACAACGCAGATCACTACAACTCTGATTGGACAGAGGAAAAGCATTCTTTTCTGATTAGCAACTGCAGACCTCAAGCCAGTTTCAGCTGGCTTACAGAGACTACACACAATCTCTATGTCTTTGTGTCCTATAGTTTACCTTTTGTCGTAAAGGGCCAAACTCTACCGCATTTTAATACTAAAACCCTGCCCCTACATGAACATGAGATGCGTGTTATATATATATGTTTGCCCATTGTGCATGCACTCAACTCCTCTCATAAAGAAGTATGGCTTTCCCCCCAGACCTGCTAAATATGTATGACTATTATGTAATACAGATCCTGTGAGGCATAAAACCCAACCTGCCCTTTCCCTTTTCAAAGAGAGGATACCGTTGGTACACACTGAAGACTGACTCTTCCCGTTTTGCAAACTGATGTTGCCAGTAAACTTGCCTTTCTACTATTTAGCCATCCTTGTGGTCTTTTGAGTGGCATAGGAAATTGTTTATTTCTTTCAACATTCCTTCACCAGAATTTAAGCACATCTTGAGTACAGGTATACCTCACCTTAAGAAAACACTGGTTATGTGAGTTTTATTGAAAGAGTTAAATTGGAGGGAAATTTTAATAATAGTGTGAAAGGAAAATATCTTGGGCCCCTTCAAGCTGGGAACTGCTCAGGGCAAATCTGCCTCCCAGTCTATTCAAAGTCATCCCTCTGCTCACAGAGATAGGTGTATATTCTGATTGCCTCTTTCGGAAAGACTTACCAGAAACTCAAAAGAATGCAACCATCTGTCTCTCACCTACCTGTGATCTGGAAGCCCCCAGTGGGGGGGCCTTGCTTTGAGTTGTCCCTACCTTTCTGGATGGAACGAACGTACTTCTTACATATATTGACTGATACCTCATGTCTCCCTAAAATGTATAAAACCAAGCTGTGCCCCGGTCACCTTGGGCACATATCATCAGGACTTCCTGAGGCTGTGTCCCAGTGCATCCTCAACCTTGGCAAAATAAACTTTCTAAATTAACCGAGATCTGTCTCAGATTTTCTGGTTTCACAATAGTTACCATTGATTTAGCACTATTATGTGCCAAATCCTGCTAAATGCTATATAACTATTAGCTCATTTAATTTTCATAACAATCTTTGCAGAGATCCTGTTATTAGCTTCATTTTATAGCTATGAGAAACTAAGATTAGAAAGGCTAAATAATTTGCCCAAGTTCAAATCTAGGAAGTGGTGGAGTGAGATTTGAAACTCAATTCTGTCTGACACCAAAAACTTGGCTAATTAACAACTAGACAAAATGCCCCTTGCAACTATATTACAGCATGCTTTCCTTGCTGTGAATAATTAGTTCTTTTGTAGCACTGAGAAGAGAATTGTATAATGCCAAAAAAAAGAAAAGAGTGTGTGTGTTATGTAGTATATTTTCTGGGGGAAAAATGGACACTTGTAGCTGCATAAATATTAAACCCTTCCTCTTAGTCTATTTTCTTCAACATCCATGAAAATAACTGGACATAGACTAAAAAGCATTTCTCAATATTCAATACATCAGGAATCTACAAATTATTCAGGACAGTAGGATCTACGGAAAGATATATCTTGAAAATAGGCCTTATCTGTTGCCCAAGAGATACAGGGCCATTGGTAATTTCAATGCCCTCTTTGGTTTATATGGACAGTGTTAAGCAAAATAACTTTTAGTGTATCTTTTTTAAACCTCTTTCAAAGAGAGATACTCTATCAAGGCCGTTTTCAATGTTTCAGTACCTCTTGCCAGAGCCCTGCACATGTTCCTGCATCCTAACATGCTCACTGTGGGTTATGTCCTGAGAAGACCTGCTTGGTTTAGCAGCTGTGGTACCCATGAAAGAAATACATCTCTGATCCTGTGGTAAGTGAAATCAAATTTCCCTGCATTTCCGTAAGACCCCCTATACCAAAACATTGTTGGGGCTCACAAACTGATACCTCAAAATATGCTCATTGACATACTTAACTGAAGAAGCCTCAAGGTCTCTCTGATCTTCCCCATCTGGCCCCCCCAGTCTGTCCCAAAGACAGGATGATGTTGAAGTTCATTTATCTGGCCAGACATGGTCTCTCACGCCTGTAATTCCAGCAGTTTGGGAGGTCGAGGTGGGCGGATCACTTGAGGCCAGGAGCTCAGGACCAGCCTGGCCAACATGGTGAAACCCCATCTCTACTAAAAAGAAAAAAAAAGAAGTTTCTTCATCTGTCTGAGATCCTGAACAGATCCTTTCACAAGATAACATACAAGTTCATCTCTGTTCCTTGAACCGTTCATTCTCTCCAGCAATTCCCATAACAGAATTTCTCTTCTCCATCACCCCATAACCTATTTTGCCAGGATGGTACATAAGTTTCTGAATCCCGTTGGGGTGGGGTAATCACTCTGCAATTCATTCTGTGTGCATGTTAATAAATTTGTATGCCTTTTCTTCAATCAATCTGCCTTTTGTGAGTTGATTTTTCAATGAAATTTTTTTTTTTTTTTTTTTTTGAGGCAGAGTCTCTGTCACCCAGGCTGGAGTGTAGTGGCATAATCTCGGCTCACTGCAACTTCTGCCTCCCGGGTTCAAGAGATTCTCCTGCCTCAGCCTCAAGAGTAGCTGGACTACAGGTGCCTGCCACCATGCCCGGCTAATTTTTGTATTTTTAGAAGAGATAGGGTTTCACTATGTTGGCCAGGCTGGTCTCAAACTCCTCACATGAATATTCACACTGAATATTCATGGTGATCTGCCCTCCTCAGCCTCCTACAGTGCTGGGATTACAGGGGTGAGCCACCGCCCCCGGCCCTCAGTGAAATTTTAGAGTGGGGAGGGGAAGCTTTCCTTAGGCCCCTATAGCACAATGGTCAGTTTAGTATACCTTGTTTTCGATTCCTTTTGTCTTTGCTAAGAATTTAAGTAACACCTGAAGCACCAGTCAGGCAGCATTCCAAAGAAGGTTCAGCCGCATTTAAACCGTCGTGTCCCCCTGTGAGGCACTCCAGGCCAGATCCCAATCTCAGCCACATTCTTCACTTACACTTGACTGGCTGAGAAAGAACAGAACAAAACTGCCTTGGGTCAGAGGCCACTTTTTTATATCAGATGATCTAAACTGTTCCTGGAAGGATGTTTATCTGCTGGAACAAACACCCTGGGGCCTCCTGGCTGAAGCTGGGCTTTCCTCTGTCCATGCATCCTCCAAGGCTATCCAGAGTGCTTTGAGCAGCCCGCCTTGTCCATTCTTTCCATTTGTCTCTGTCTCCCCAGAGAGAAACGCCACAGGGAAGTACATGACAAGCTGCTATGTTACCTTAACATTGAATTCCCAGCAGGGATCACAAAGCCATGGAAGATACTGGTTCAGAAATTAGCTGAGAGGGACAGAGGGCTTTTAGCAGACGAGTGCTGGCTTTGCCTTAGAGAGCTTTCTGGGTGGTGCTCTGACTAAGGGCATTCAGGTCTTTATGATTCAGGGTTATTATAATGGCGGTGCTAACTTTTCTTGCGTACTGATGTAACTGGCAGCACATTAAGTGCTTCACCTATATTACTGCAGTCTTCCCAAGAATGCTATGAGATTGGACCATTAGTGCTAGGAGGTAGAAGGGCTGGGAGGTTCCCTTACCCATGGCCATACCAAGGGTCTGAGCCAGGATTCACACTGGTCTGCCTGGCTTTAGCATTCATCCCTCACTGTTACTATGCTGCAGAGGATGAATTGGCAGCCCATGGGCTGGATTTTGTTTAGCCTGCCAGTGTTTTAAAAGACATTTAAAAATCTGAGCCAATATTTAAAATGCAAGTGATTTCACATATAAACAAACAAAATTCTAACATCTCTTAAAAATAGCTATGACTGGCAACACTGGGTCCTCAATCCCAAAGGCTCCTGGCTATTGGAGGTAAGTATTGGCTTCCCTGCTACATGGGGCATGTGCTCCCAGTTTCCCATAGAACCTAGTATGGCAGGCTGGCTCCATTCATGTACCTGCTCCAGAAGAGCCAGACTTGCATTATAGCCTTCTATAGCATGATTTTTGGGTGCTGTGTGTACCCCTGACCTGGCATAGCCCTAGAAACAGAATTCTGTGCCAATACCATAGCTTGGGTTGGTTAGGAACAGAGAACTCAAGTGTAAGCTGCTGAGGGTTTGTGGCAGGTAATTTATGGTTAATTCCAAAGTCAGTTCATCTCCAAGGGAGAGGGCAGGATAAAGAGGTGGCATGGGAAGTGCTGGAAGTGACCATAGACCTGGGATTGACTCCAGGTTCTGCCACAGGCTGGTTACATGAGCCACATTGAGTCACTTTCTTTCCCTGTACCTATAAGAAGGAGAGATTGGAGTTGATGTTGTCAGGTGGGTGTCAGCTCTGAAATTCTAATATGCCACTGCTTGTTAGTCAAATTTTCACAAGAGAAACTGACTTTGGAGGTGTATCTTCTGGCAGTGGACAATGGGTGCAAACGAATAGGTAATTAGCAAACAACTCCGGCTCAGGTTCAGAGCAGCTGGAAGGTTATGGACCCGGCCCAGTGAAGAGAGGTGTGGCCCAAAGCACTGCAGCCATTTTGAATGCCAGAGCTTTCTGTCACATTAGTTCAGGGGTCAGTTCAGGGCTTGGCTCTTTATTTAGAAACCATAATAGGAACTACTTAAACCATTCTTTTCCAGAGCAAATGCCTCACCCCAAAAAATATCACTGGGAACTATATTAGAGAGAATTGCACAATCTTTCAGTGCATTCAGAGGAACTCACAGGAACTGTATTGTTTTCTACTTTCTTCCTTGCTTTTGAAACACAAACCTTATCACAACAAAGTGAACCTGTTTCTCCAATTAAAGCAGTCATGAAAATAAATAGTTATCCACAAAACTGCACTGTAAGAAATAAAAATAAGTCAGTAGATCAGGCAAAGTGCCAAGAAAACTCCTTCGTAATACATTTTACTTATCTCCTCTTTTGTGCCTCTGCAGGTC
Organism: Homo sapiens; assembly: GCF_000001405.40. Classification (NCBI taxonomy): domain Eukaryota; kingdom Metazoa; phylum Chordata; class Mammalia; order Primates; family Hominidae; genus Homo; species Homo sapiens. The sequence continues at coordinate 117,267,166 of NC_000001.11, read as the reverse complement.
TCTTAATTCCCTCTGGCCTGTCACCATCTCTGAGTGTATGTTTCATTGGCTTCTTTGAATAAGCCTTATTGTCTCTTTAGCAAAGGTGGTGTGTGCAACCTTATGTTCTGTTGCTTGTCTGAAAATGAGACCTCAGGCATGACTTCCTGGTATCTCCCAGGAATGAGCAGGTTTTAGGATGTGGACCCAATAGAAACTCTTCTGAGAGCCAGATACCAATTGAGGTTCTTAGAGACCTCTATGAGAAGGCCAACTTGACTGAACTGAGCCTACTGGCTTGACTTTGTAGAAACTTCCTTCTATAGCGGAGGCTAGCTGACTTTCCAGCTTGTTCTGGGGCAGTGCCTCCTAGATCAAGGCTTCTCCAACTTTAATGTTAGAATGTAGATTCTCATTCAGAAAGCCTGGGGCATGGTCCAGGAGAGGGTCTGCATTTCTCCCAGGGCCCCTGGTGATGCTGATGCTCCTAGTCCAAGGACTGCATTTTGAGTTGCAAGGTCCTACACTAGTAATTCTCAAGTGTCTGCTACCAGGACCAACAGCAACAGCATCAACTGGTAACTTGTTAGAAATGGAAATTCTTAGGCTCCACCCCAGATCTCCTGAATCAGAACCCCTGGATGTGATCCAGTAATCTCTATTTTTTTTTTTTTTTTTTGAGACAGACCCTCACTCTTGTCCCCCAGGCTGGAGTGCAGTAGTGTGATCTGGGCTCACTGCAACCTCTGTCTCCCGGGTTCAAGCAATTCTCCTGCCTCAGCCTCCTGAGTAGCTGGGCTTACAGGCACCTGCCACAATGCCTGGCTAATTTTTGTAGTTTTGGTAGAGATGGGGTTTCACCATGTTGGCCAGGCTGGTCTTGAACTCCTGACCTCAAGTGATCTGCCCGCCTTGGCCTCCCAAAGTGCTGGGATTACAGGCGTGAGCCACTGTGCCTGGCTGTAATCCGTGTTTTAACAAACCTTCCAGGTGAGCCTGATACATGTGAGAGTTTGAGAACCACTGTCTGTGTCATTGTTATGGGTTGAATTGTGTCCCTCCTCTAAAGGATATATAGAGAACTCAATATATGAAATCCTAACCTCTAGTACTTATGAATGTAACTTTATTTGGATATAGGGTCTTTGCAGATTTAATCAAATTAAGATGAAATCATTAGGATGTACCTAGCCTAATATGATCAGCGTCCTTTAAGATGATCATGTGACATCACAGAGACACAGAGGGCAAAGATGATCTGATGACAACAGAGGCAGAGGTTTGAAGTGATGCATCTACAAGCTAAGGAATGCCAAAGATGACCAGAAAAAAAAAAAAAGAAGCTAGAAGAGGCAAAAAAAAGAATGTTTTTTTCTCCGTGTTTCCGAGGCAACATGGCCCTGCCAACATCTTAATTTTGAAAGTTTAGCCTCCAGAAGTGTGAGACAATAAGTCGCTGTCATTTTAAACAACATCATTTGTGGTACTTCGTTACAGCAGCCTTAGGAAACTAATACAATCGTGAAAGGCTTTCCCTGCTCAGTGATAGAACAGCAGGTACTTATAGGGCTCAGGTGCGGCTATTGACTGATGGGTAGCAGAAGATAGGGAAAGAAATGGAAGAAGGCAAAATAGAAAGCAAGAAGCAGTGATGATTTTTGTTCTGAGGTATTTGTGGGCTTAATAATTTTTAAAACATTATTTGTAAGTTAATTATCAAACATTTATTGAATGCTTACTACATGCCAAGATCCGTTTTAGATTCTGGGGATATAACAATGATCAAGTCCAGTTTCTTTTCCTCAAGAAACTTGCAGTCAGTACAGGAAAGAGTTGAGTAAACACGCCCTCACTATGCAAGGGCAGATGGCACTCAGAGTACACAGGCTATGGGAGCAGGGAAGCCACACAGAGTTGTATTGGTTGCGCATTGCACCACACATAGTCTTAGATGTAAATGGTCTCCCCTAGGGTTGTGTGGTGCACAAATGCTCTACTGAGCATGACAGCTCCGTTAGGAAGATTCAAGAGGAACATTAAATTCAGTTCTTTTGATTTTTATTTTATTTATTTATTTATTTATTTTTGAGATGGAGTTTCACTCTGTCGCCCAGGCTGGAGTGCAGTGGTGCAATCTCAGCTCACTGCAACCTCCACCTCCAGGTTTCAAGTGATTCTCCTGCCTTAGCCTCCCAAGTAGCTGGGATTACAGGCACCCGCCACCACACCCAGCTAATTTTTGTATTTTTAGTAGAGATGGGGTTTCACCATGTTGGCCAGGATGGTCTTGATCTCTTCACCTTATGATCCGCCCACCTTGGCCTCCCAAAGTGCTGGGAATACAGGCGTGAGCCACTGCACCCGGCCGTCTTTTTATTAATTTATTAAATTTTCAAGGCAGTCCTCTAGGGTCCATTCAATTTATTCTTGAAGGTCAAGAAAAGTTTCCCAAGGGAAATAGTATCTAAACTGAGACCTGAAGGGTAAGTAGAAGTTAATCAGGTAAGGGAAGCTGAGGGGGCTTTGGGTAATTGAAAAGGAAAGTGTTTAGAAAAACAAAACTGCACATACCAGACTGAGAGACAATGGGAGCATCTGTGAGGTGTGTACTCCATCAAGGGCTCTGTAGGCAAAAAGCTAACTACCTGATTTGCTAGTCAGATTCTTTTCAGGGCCTAGAGCCCCTTAAATAAGCTCCATTTTGTAGTAAGACTTTCTTTGGTTGCTCAAATATCTCCGAAGTAATTAAAGCCTGCAGATCTTAGTTGTTAAACTGCCTGATGCAAATTTCTTATAATAGAATAATTTAGGTGTCTAATGGAACAGAATATAATATGAGTAGAAGACATGAGATGTCAATGCTATGTTTAAAATGTGTATGTCTAATTGGCTAAGTAACTGTAACTTTTAACTTTCTATTTTAGCCAGGAGTCTTCCTCTTTTCCTTCCCAATGAGGGTCAGTTGTGGGGAGACCATATTAAAGCTGGCTTGTTTTTTTTGTTTGTTTTTTTGTTTTTTTTGAGACAGAGTCTCGCTCTGTTGCCCAGGCTGGAGTGCAGTGGCGTGATCTCAGCTCACTGCAACCTCCGCCTCCCGGATTCAAGCAATTCTTCTGCCTCAGCCTCCCGAGTAGCTGGGACTACAGGCGTGTGCCACCATGCCCGGCTAATTTTTGTATTTTTAGTAGAGATGGGGTTTCACCATATTGGCCAGGCTGGTCTCGAACTCCTGACCTCGCGATCCGCCTGCCTTGGCCTCCCAAAGTGCTGGGATTACAAGCGTGAGCTATGGCGCCTGGCCAGCTGGCTTATGTTTTTAACGTACTGTACCTTCTCAAAAATCCAAGGCTGTGTAAAGTCCACTCATGTAGAGAGAAGGAACCTGCTCAAGTTTTATTCTTGGAACTAGAAAAATCAGTCTTCCCTTTGGTGTTGAGTGTGAATTTCTGACTGGGAAGTCCAAGCTGAGGGGCAGGTGGAGGCCTGGGGGAGTTGGCCATGGCTTGGAGAAGGCAGCCACAGCTCAGCTGAGGCAGCCATGAGCACAGGGCAAATTGGGCAGACTACTCCTGGCAGCACAAGCTAGAGAGCATGTTGGGTGCGTCTGTTAGCGGTGGAGAATCCATATGGGTCTGCAACAACCTCAGTTCTTGCCTCCTCAGAAGAAAGAATTTGGCCAAGGGGTATAAAGCAGAAAAAAAGTCCTGGCAAGTTTTAGAGCAGGAATGAAAGTTCATTAAAAAGCTTTAGAGCAGGAACGAAAAAAAGTAAAACATACTTGGAAAAGGACCAAGCAGGCAAGTTGAGAGATCAAGTGCACAGTTTGACATTTGACTTGGGGTCTTATATACTGGCATGCTTCTGAGATTGAATCCCTCTTTCCCTGATTGTTCCCTTGGAATGGGCTGTCTGCATGCGCAGTGTGTTTATGGGAGTTGTACGCATGCTCACTTGAGGCATTCCTCCCTTGCGAGCCGAAAGTTTCTAGAAGATCACATACCAGTTAAACTCTGCCATTTTCCTCTTAGTGTGCATGCTTGAGCCCACTTGCTCAACTCCTGAGATCTTATCAGGAAGCTGCTGATCACCACTTTTAAGTGTTTTCTATCTATTAGGAGACTGCCTTTCCCTGGAGCCAGCTGTGCCCAATTGTTATTTTAGAGAGACAGTTAACAAACCACCGGACCATCACCTGATGGTTGCCTGACATTACAGGTGTGGGAAGGGGCCCCCTCTTGTCCTGCTCCCATCTGCCTGACTATCTACTGGAACCCTTCTCCAGCAGCAGCTCATAATATCATTCAGGTGAGACCAGGATGCACTGAACACTGGGTCTACAGGCTGGGGTGGGGCTGATGGTGGAGCTTCAGGGGAGGCCCAAAAGAGCAACACACACACCTGGAGAGCAAAGCAGCAGCTCCTAGTTGCAATCCTCATATTGGGAGTTGAGGGATAAGCTAAGATCTGGCTGTTTATTTACAAGCTGAAATGGCCTTTGCAAAAGTATGACTGAGGAAATTATGACAGTGAAAGAAATCAGACCTAACCAACTCCATCTTGCTTCTAACTTTAAGCTGTCCTTGTTCATTCCTGGGCATAGACCAAACTAACTTTGGGAAGGAATTCAGTTCATAATTTGACTCTGAAACAAAATTGATAACAGCCCTTTCCTGAAAAGACCACCCTTCTTGCCTGGGAACCAGTTCACCTTTGCAGGACTAACAAATTAGCTATAAGATGAGAAATTACAGTTTAGGGGTCATGCAGTCTCTGGCTCCAAGAGTCTGAACCGCCCCAAATTTTAAAACCTAAGATCAGTGCTTGAGATGTTTTACAGACCCTGCACTTGATGGATCAGCTGACACCACCCAGACCAGTAATCTGGCTCAATCAGTTTTGCCATCCCACCCAGGAACAGAAAACAGCAAGAAAAACTCACCTTGACCCCCTTTGGTTCCATCTCCAACCTGACCAATCAGCACTCCTGACTTCCCAAGCCTCCACCTGCCAAATTATCTTTAAAAACTCTGATCCCTGTATGCTTGGGGAAACTGATCTGAGTAATAATAAAACTCCGGTCTCCCACACAGTCGGCTCTGTGTGAATAACTCTTTCTCCATTGCAATTCCCCTGTTTTGATAAATTGGCTCTGTGTAGGCCGTGGGCAAGGTGAACACACTGGGCAGTTACAAAGCCTCAGATTCCTTTAGGACCAACGATTGAAATTTCTTCCTAAAATCAGGAATTCCAGAAGTAGAAGCAGTGCGAAGGTCATCACATATAAGAATCACCCTGGCCTCGAACATCACACACGGGGGCCTGTCGTGGGGTGGGGGGCTGGGGGAGGGATAGCATTAGGAGAAATACTTAATGTAAATGACGAGTTAATGGGGGCAGCAACCAATATGGCACATATATACCTGTGTAACAAACCTGCACATTGTGCACATGTACCCTAGAACTTAAAGCATAATTTTAAAAAAATTAAAAAAAAAAAAGAACCATCCCAGCCTCATCTTGCCCTCCAGTTCCCTCCAGAGCTGTGGTGCCCTGCAGCCCACCAACAGCTGGGTATCATGAGAGCAAGTTGCTCTCTGTCTCCTGAACACAGCTGTGGCTGAGGAAACTTTCCTTTTGGATTGAGTGACAATGAATCTTTCTGTAGCTTTCTTTCGCCAGAATTGTTGTCCCTTTCTCGGAGACCTCCACCACAACCTTGCTAAGTGACCTTGGGAAGCTCACCTTTTCTTTCTGTGTCCACATTTTCTCTGCCTGTCTAATGGGATTTCTGGCAGGATCAAATTAAATTACTATGTGAAAGCACTTTGAACAAGTAGACTGTACATGTGGTGGTCACGGTGGTTATTGGTGTTTGGTATTATGTTTCGGCTCTCTCTGACCATGGTCTTCCTGTGCTCTGCCAGCTGCAGAGCTCTATACCCTGGACTATGAAGAAGAGATCTTGTATTCCAGGGCCCAGCTGTCCCGGTGTGAGCCACTCATTGTTCTGATCTCCTCAAGAGAGGAGTGAAAACAAATTGAGGAATTTGAAACTTTTAGACCACACCCCCAAACACAGCCCTAATAAATAACATACATTCAGTTTTCTGAAAAGATTAAATCTTGTCCACATACTCCATCAAAAACTACACCCCAGTGCATCCAAGAGCTCTTCAACAGGGGTGTTTACAAACCTGAAACCAGCCATCAGAGCCACTGAAACTTCAGCTGGTGCCTGTATCGGGGAGTAAAAAGACCTTTATTCTCTGTGTTTAGGCTTAGTGCCTGGGGTTCTGCAGATGAAACAGAGAAAACACAGGTTAGCAAGAGAAAAGGGTTTCTTTCATACACATATGGAGGAGGCTCACAGAAATGAAAAAAAATCCAAGGGGTGCTCATACCTAGAGGCTTATATACCATTTTAACAAAATGGTATATAAATTCAAACAAAAATAAATTTGTAAAGAAGTGAGAAGATAAAAAGAGTTTGAAGTTGTTACGAGTAGTAAATTGTGGGAAGGTAAATACAGGGAGGAAATAAATGGAATAAAAGAGATATTTTAGTAATATTTGGTATGTTGGTTCCTCTCAGACTCCAGTGATTAAGAGTCTAATCTCTCTGCCCTTCCTGCTATGAGAGAGGAAAAGGGTAATGTCCTCACAAAGGGAATTTATGCCCTGCCTTTAGGCAAATGGGAGGAGGATAGAGAACTTTTTTTGTGTCTGCTGTTTTTTAGTTGCCTTCAGCTCAAAATAATCCTTATGCCAAAGTGGCATATTTGGGGGTGGCCTATTCTGAGCACCTTCACTTGCATAACTGTAGCAACAGCATCTTCTGAGCCATTTGTACCTCTGTTATTTCCCTCTCATTGTCCTTTGGTCAACCATGCTGAGACTGAAAATTATCCAAGAGTTTTGCCGGCCGCAGTTAAGAATCCCCATCTCTCTAACCAAAGGGTCAAGTCCCATCCCTACCTGTCAAAATCCTACTTGTGTGTAAAGGGATTATTTTAAAGGCAATAAGTAGTTTCTGAGTACAGAGTCATTGGTTTGGAAGTATAACCACAAATTGACTTTCATCAATCAATTGTTATTGAGTGCCTCCTAAACACCAGGGCCTATTCAATGTGCTAGAAAACAAAGATAAATCAAGCACAATTCCTGCCTTTTGGAGAGCTTTACCTCTTGGGGGTCTGATATAGTTTGGCTGTTTTCCCACCCAAATCTCATCTTGAATTGTAGTTTCCATAATCCCCACATGTCATGGGAGGGACCAGCTAGAGACAACTGAATCATAGTAGAGGATTCCCCCATCCTGTTCTTGTGATAGTAAGTTATCACAAGATCTGTTGGTTTTATAAGGGGCTTTTCTCCATTTTGCTCGGCAGTTCTTCTTGCTGCCGCCATGTGAAGAAGGACATGTTTGCCTCCCCTTCTGCCATGATTGTAAGTTTCCTGAGGTCTCCCCAGCCATGCTAAACTGTGAGTCAGTTAAACCTCTTTCTTTTATAAATTACCCAGTCTGAGGTATATCCTTATACCAGTGTGAGAATGGGCTAGTACAGTAAATTGGTACCAAGGGAGTGGGGTGCTGCTATAAGAATACCCAAAAATATGGAAGCAACTTTGGAACTGGGCAACAGACAGAGGCTGAAACAGTTGAGAAGGCTCATAAGAAGACAGGAAAATGTGGGAAAGTTTGGAACTTCCTAGAGACTTCTTGAATGGCTTTGATCTGAAAGGGATATGGACAATGAAGTCTAGGCTGAGGTGGTCTCAGATGGAGATGAGGAACTTGTTGGGAATTGGAGTAAAGGTCACGCTTGCTATGCTTTAGCAAAGAAACTGGCAGCATTTTTCTTCTGCCCTAGAGATCTGTGGAACTTTGAACTTAAGAGAGATGATTTAGGGTATCTGGTGGAAAAAATTTCTAAGTGGCAAAGTGTTCAAGAGGAAGTGGAGCATAAATGTTTGGAAAATTTGCAGCCTGACAATGCAACAGAAAAGAAAATCCCCTTTTCTGGGGAGAAATTCAAGCCCGCTGCAGAAATTTGCATAAGGAACAAGGAGCTGAAAGTTAATCACTGAGACAATGGGGAAAATGTCTCCAGGGCATGTCAGAGACCTTCATAGCAGCCCTTCCCATCACAGGCCTGGAGGCCTAGGAGTGAAAAATGGTTTCCTGGGCCAGGCCCAGGGCCTCTCTGCTCTATGCAGCTTCTGGACGTAGTGCCCTGAGTCCCAGCTGCTTCAGCTCCAGCCATGACTAAAAGGGGCCAACATACAGCTCAGGCCCATTGCTTCAGAGGGTACAAGCCCCAAGCCTTTGTGGTATACACATGGCATTGGGCCTGTGGGTGCACGAAGTAAAGAACTGAGGTATAGGACCCTCTGCCTAGATTTCAGAGGATGGATGGAAACACCTGGATGTTCAGGCAGAAGTTTGCTGCAGGGACAGGGTCACTGTGGAGAACCTCTGCTAGGGCAGTGTGGAAAGGAAATGTGAGGTTGGAGCCCCCACATAGAGTCCCCACTGGGGCACCGCCTAGTGGAGCTGTGAGAAGAGGGCCATCCTCTAGACCCCAGAATGGCAGATCCGCTGACAGCTTGCACCATATGCCTGGAAAAGCTGCAGAAACTCAACTCCAGTCGTGAAAGCAAGTGGGAGGGGGACTGTACCTGGCAAAGCCACAGAGGTGGACCTGCCCAAGGCTGCAGGAGCCCACCTCTTGTATCAGTGCATGCTGGATGTAAGACATGGAGTCAAAGGAGATCATTTTGGAACTTTAAGGTTTAATGACTGCCCTATTGGATTTAGGACTTGCATGGGGCCTGTAGCCCCTTTGTTTTGGACAATTATCCCCTTTGGAATGGGTGTATTTACTCAATGCCTCCATTGTATCTAAAAAGTAACTAACTTGCTTTTGATTTTACAGGTTCAAAGGCAGAAGGGTCTCATTGTCTCAGATGAGACTTTGGACTTGGACTTTTGAGTTAATGCTGGAATGAGTCAAGCCTTTGGGGGACTGTTGGAAGGGCATGATTGTGTTTTGAATTGTGAGGACATGAGATTTGGGAGGGGCCAGGGTGGAATGATATGGTTTGGCTGTGTCCCCTCCCAAATTTCATCTTGAATTGTGGTTCCCATAATCCCCATGTGTCGTGGGAGGGACAAGGTGGAGATAATTGAATCATGGGGGCAAGGTTTCCCCCATCCTGTTCTTCTGATAGTAAGCTCTTACAAGATCTGATGGTTTTATAAGGGGCCTCCCCCTTCACTTGGCTCTCATTCTTCCCCCTCTTGTCACCATGTAAAGAAGGATGTGTTTGCTTCCCTTTCTGCCATGATTGTAAGTTTCCTGAGGCCTTCCTAGTCGTATTGAACTATGAGTCAATTAAACCTCTTTCCTTTATAAATTACCCAGTCTTGGGTATGTCCTTATAGCAGCATGAGAATGGACTATTAGAGGGTCTCAGAATCTAAATTGTAAGTTCTCTGAAGAGCTATAAGTGCTGTGATAGCCTGAAATGTAGTATACAATGTGGATATAGGGAGGAAGAGGTCAGTTCTATCTGAGCAGGATGGGGTGGGATAGGGTAAAGCAGAGAAATTATCATAAACAAGTGATGTTCAGGCTGAGTTTTGAAAGAATGGGTACTCAGTGGGTGTTTAGGGGCCTGGGGCAATAAAATATTGCAATGATTCCCTTGTTTCTCAATGGTTTGCACCATTTACCCAAGGCTCAGTCATTAGTCACATGTCAAGATTTCTATTCCTATTTGGGATAATCTGGTTTCTTCATTCCTTGGCTCAGCAAGAGAACCTAAACTTCAACTTGACAAACTTTCAATGGCAGCAGCCACCTTCTCAATTGGAAATTATTTTATTTGTGTGCCTATGACACTTTCTGAATTCCCTTCTTATAGGATTTACCTAGTATTGTAATTGCTTATGTACCTATACTATCTGTAATCAGTTGTAAGTGTGATCAGAGCTTTGAAAGGAGAAGCCCAGTGTGATGTTTCAAGGTAAAGTAGGGAAACTGACACAGTGGAGATCCCAAGAAGGTGCCCTCAATGGGTACATAATTTTTTTTTTTTTTTAGACGGAGTTTCACTCTGTCACCCAGGCTGGAGTGCAGTGGCACAATCTCAGCTCACTGCAACCTCCGCCTTCCAGGTTCAAGCAATTCTCTTGCGTCAGCCTCCCAAGTAGCTGGGATTACGGGTGCATGCCACCATCCCCAGCTAATTTTTGTATTTTTAGTAGAGATGGGGTTTCACCTTGTTGGTCAGGCTGGTTTCAAACTCCTGATCTCATGATCTGCCCACCTCGGCCTCCCAAAGTGCTGGCATGAGCCCCAGTGCCTGGCTACATAATTCTATGTTGTTTAAATTAAGCTGGAAGACACTTGTCCCCAACTCCTGCCTGGCTAGTTTTACTCTTTGGTGTGCAATGCTCTCATATTTACCCTCTAGCTCAAAATCCTATAAAATGCCTCTCTATATAAATTCACTGTACCAGAGATCAAAGCCCCAATAGCTATCTATCCTTCTCTTTTCATTTGTCTCCTTCTCTGTCTTCTGTAATAAAACATCAATATTTAGCTGGGCAAATGGTTGCTCAGGTAGCAACTGTATTTCCCAGCCTTTCTTGTAGCTAAGAGGGAAATATGACAAAATTCCTCCTATTGGAGTGTGAGCAGAAGTGATGTGAAGAACATAAGGGCCACATTCTTTATAGATAAAAGGGCTTGTTGTGCTCCACTATCCATTTCCTATTGTGTGGGAAAGAGCAGCAACAGCAGCAGCCACCTTAGGCCACATGGGTGCCACCACTGAGGGTGACAGAGCTGCCCCAGTGCCAGTACCTTGGGATGATCTTAGGGAGCAGCATTGCCTGTCTGCTCTGGAATTCTAGACTCTCTATGGACCCTTCCAGGAGGGAAAATTAAACTTCTGTCTCACTGTACTTTGGGGTCTCTTTGCCAGGGCAGTTAAACTTGTATCCTAACTCATATATCCAGGCGCTGCCTTTTGGCATGTCTTTAGTTTAGCTGAGGGCCATAAAAGCATTTATCCACTTTGTCATAATCTGTGTATAGTTTCAGTGGGAGATTTCTCTTGAGTGATTTTCCAGTTTAAATTTTCTCATGATCCCCATCTGGCTGTCATTTCTTTTAACTCATCCTCCCCTAATGCTCACTTTTATTGTACAGAAGCTCTAAATATTTTGAGAACTGAAGTCATGGAGTCATGGGATTTCTTGGCTAGGTCATAATACTTTGGGAAAAGTGGACTAGGAGAGAAAGGGGATGTGAATGAGATTCTAATATGAAGATGAAAGTCTTAGTTACCCAGAGTCACAGCTCTCCATTAATATGAATGTTTTCACCACACCTAGAGAAAGAAAAAAACCATGATCAAATCAGCTGTTATTAGAGATCCATTCAAAAAAACAATCTTGTAGGCCTATGCCAGAGTTTCAGCCCAATTGGCTACCCTTCCATGGTGACAACCACAACTCTCTGTGATGAAGTGAGAATTTGTCATAATATCACTGAGGCCATCTTTTCAAGATCAGAGAGTCTCTGCTTTGTCAAAGCATTTTATTTGAGGGGAAAAATGGATGGCAATGCTTATTAAAGAATACATCATAAAGAAACACTATACAAATGTGCAAAGGTACACATATAAGGATATTTATTGTGGTATTGCTTACATTGGCAAAAAAGTGCAAACATCCTAATAGCCAGCAGTATGAGGAAGATTAATAAAGTATAGTTTGTCTTATTACATAAAGCAAAGCAGCCACTTCAAAGAAGGTATGTCTGTATCGACTGACTTGCAAAGCTGCCCACAATATATTGTTAGCAGAATGATTCTATCTTTGATAAAATTAGACAATAGATATTTATGTATACATTTTCATATACCTAGAAAAATAGTCTGGAAGGATATGCATGAAATTATTAATAATGATTACCTCTGGGGAGTAGAATTAGGAGAGATGGAGTAGACTTTCATATTTTACTCTGTATAATTCTATATTGTTTGAATTTTTTATGATGGTGGGAATTCATGATGAGGCAGAGATCATACTTATCCTGCTCACTGCTCTCTCATGCAGAGAATAGATGAGGTGATCAATAATAATAGTAACAGTTATGTAGCACCTACCATGTGCTAGTCACCTTCCTATGGACCTTACATATGTTAATCTATCTAATTTTCATATATATACTATGAGATAAGTACTATTACTATCTCCAATTTAAAGATGAGGAGACAGAGCATAGAGAGAACAAGCAGTCTGCTCAACGTAGCAAAGTGATGGAGCTGAGATTCAATCCAGGCAGATTGGCTCCAGTGACTGATCTTAACCACTATCATTTGTCGTGTTGATTAATCGATTGAATGAATGAATACTAAAAAATTAATTTTCCAGCTAAGTCTTTTATAAGTAGAAGAATCAATAAGCCAGGAAAGCTCATTCCGAGAGTATTCTACTTAATCAGGGTTTTACAATTTATCTTTCATTGCAAAGTAATGGGCTATTTATACTTAGAGCCTTCCAAATGCTGAAAAGACACTGATGTTAACTGTTGTTGATGAGTGACCAGGAGAAGCTGAACATTTTAATTTAAAGTAAGTGAAAGAATTAATTGCCAGCATATTAAAAGCCTTCATCTGCTGTTCCTCTGCCTTCCACCTGGAACAATAACAAGGGCATCATGAGCACAAGCATGACAGCCTGGCTTTTCCTTTTCAAGCTGCCTGATTTTCCAGCTTGTGAAATTGTCTTCTCTGTGCTTACATCTGGTAATTTGGAAATGTAGGACAGAATTCTGTAGTCTGGAACTATCTCTATGCCTTACGTGACCAATGGGACTCCTCCCTCAGGGAAAATGGCTAAAGAATAGACCATGTCCTTGGGGCAGAGGAACTAGCTTTTATCTTATTAGTATTCTCAGCATCTGGCAGAGTACCTGGTGCATAGTAGGAGCTTTATATAGCCTAGAACAAGGCCATCTTAACTGTCAGGTCAATAGAAATTTTTATGGTTTAGAGAAAGGCATAAGAAAAATAAAGGATAGGCCAGGTGCAGTGGCTCACACCTGTAATCTCAGCATTTTGGGAGGCCAAGCGGGCAGATCACTTGAGGTCAGGAGTTTGAGACCAGCCTGGCCAACATGGTAAAACCGCGTCTCTACTGAAAATACAAAAAAAATTAGCTGGGTGTGGTGGTGCACACCTGTAATCCCAGCTACTCAGGAGGCTGAGGCAAGAGAAATGCTTGAATGTGGGAGGTCAAGGTTGCAGTGAGCCGAGATTGTGCCACTGTACTCCAGCCTGGGCAACAGAGCGAGACTCTGTCTCAAAAAAAAAAAGAAAGAGAAGAAAAAAGAAAAAGGAAAAGAAAGCATACTCCTTGGCTAAAATAGTTTTCTAAGTATAAAAATGGCATTCATTTAGCAAATGAATACTTAGCACCTACTATGTGTAAAATACTGTGGGAGATACAAGTGAATACAAAATTGTCCCAGTCTTTAGCTTGTACTAGAGCCTGAGAGATATATGCGCATATGTCAGCCCTGTGAATTTAGATAGGAGAATTTTGTAAATTTGCAGTAGCTCCCCCACCAATCTTTTTTTTTTTTTTTTTTTTTTTGAGATGGAGTCTTGCTCTGTTGCTCAGGTTAGAGTGCAGTGGCACAATCTCAGCTCACTGCAGCCTCTGCCTCCCGGGTTCAAATGATTCTCCTCCTGCTTCAGCCTCCCAAGTATCTGGGACTACAGGCGACCACCACCATGCCCAGCTAATTTTTGTATTTTTAGCAGAGACGGGGTTTCACCATGTTGGCCAGGCTGGTCTCAAACTCCTGACCTCAGGTGATCTGCCTGCCTCGGCCTCCCAAAGTGCTAGGATTACAGGCATGAGCCACCCTGCCTGGCCTCTCTCAATCTTAAAGTACAACTCAGGAGTAATTTTTTGGGCATGTGGAATTTGTATACATGGCTAAAATGCATTTTTGTGTTATAGAGGGAACAAATAGAATCTCTTCCTGAGGACAATTGAATGTGGTTTCCTGGCAGATGGGGGTTGGTTTACCCATGCACAGTTGAGTTGAGAGTAGGTCTGCAGATAACCACTCCTCCATGAGAGAGAAGGCAGAAGAAAATCCCATGGGAAAAAGACACATCAGCCTGTTTGATGGAACAAATGAAGTTTTGAGGGGAGGAGGAAAGGAGAGCAGTACTTAAATGAACAATTGTTGGCCTGGCACGGTGGCTCATGCCTGTAATCCCAGCACTTTGGGAGGCCGAGGTAGGTGGATCACGAGGTCAGGAGATCGAGACCATCCTAGCTATCACAGTGAAACCCCATCTCTACTAAAAATAAAAATAAAAAAAATTAGCCAGGCGTGGTGGCAGGCGCCTGTAGTCCCAGCTACTCGGGAGGCTGAGGCAGGAGAATGGTGTGAACCCGGGAGTCGGAGCTCGGAGTGAGCCGAGATCGCGCCACTGTGCTCCAGCCTGGGCAACAGAGCGAGACTCCGTCTCAAAAAAAAAAAAAAAAAGCCAGGCGCGGTGGCTCACACTTGTAATCCCAGCACTTTGGGAGGCCAAGGCGGGCGGATCACAAGGTCAGGAGATCGAGACCATCGTGGCCAACATGGTGAAACCACATCTCTACTCAAAATACAAAAATTAGCTGGGTGTGGTGGTGGGCCCCTGTAATCCCAGCTACTCGGGAGGCTGAGGCAGAAGAATCACTTGAACCCGGGAGGCAGAGGTTGCAGTGAGCCAAGATTGCGCCACTGCACTCCAGCCTGGGCGACAGAGCGAGACTCCGTCTCAAAACAAAAACAAAAACAAAAACAATTGTGCAGGCTCCCTGATCATTAATGGTCTTCATAAAAAGGGCATAGAGCACTAAATAACTGACACAAAATTAGGGTGGAGTTAGAAAGGTACTTGTGGGAGAAAATTTGTGACGCTCACACTGTGTCTCACTCAAAGAGGATCTGCACAAGCATTAAAGTTCTGAGCTCACACAGAATGGGAATGTTGCAATTCTGTTTGTTTCTGTTTAGAAATAATAATACCTCAGCCAGGAGCAGTGGCTCACGCTTGTAATCCCAGCACCTTGGGAGGCTGAGGTGGACGGATTACCTGAGCTCAGGAGTTTGCAACCAGCCTGGGCAACACGGTGAAACCCCATCTCTACTAAAATACAAAAAATAAAAAAAAATAATTTGCCAGGCATGGCGGCATGCGCCTGTAGTCCCAGCTACTTAGGAGGCTGAGGCAGGAGAACTGCTTGAACTCAGGAGGAGGAAGTTGCAGTAAGCTGAGATCGCACCACTGCATTCCAGCCTGGGCAACAGAGTGAGCCTCCATCTCAAAAAAAAAAAAAAAAAAAAGAAAAGAAAAGAAAAAAAGAAATAGTAACACCTCATCATACATTTTTCATGAATCTTTGAGCCTTTGGGAAGACAGCATAGTTTAGTGATGAGAAAAGCAGGTGCCAGATTGCCAGGGTTCAAAACTTATCAGCTGTGTTACTCTGGGAAAACAAACAAACAAAAGAACACCTTATGTGGGCAGTAATATATTCAAAGGGCTAATGTTAAGATTAATTGAGACAATATATGTAAAAACATCATAAGTACTCAAGAACTGCTGGCTATGAACAGCAACAGCTATACAATTATGCATTACAACAAGAGGTAATGTGTGTAGAACCTTAGTTTGCAAAGTGTTTTCTCATGCGTGTTCTGGGGTGGGATCTTACAGGTCTGAGTTTAGATACTGGTTCCCTTCTCACCAACTTTGCAAACATGGCCAAGTTAGTTAACCTTTAAGCTGCAGTTTCTTCATCTGTAAAATGGGATGATAACAGTATGAAGCTCTCCTCACAAGGCTAACAAGAAGACAGAAACATAGTTAATTCTGGACAGAAATATAGTTATAATTGAGCATTAATCAGGCTGAACTTTGACTCACTTTTTTTTGCAAGCAAAAGTCAGGGAGCACTAGATACTGACCACTTGGATCCCCATTGTTCCTATAGATAGGATTTCTAGTGTTAGCATCATAAGGCTTTTGTTTAAGATAGATAGAATATCTGACATTAGAATCATAAAGCTTTTGTTTAAGAATTGCTAAAGCAGATCCTGAATTCTGGTTGAATAGCTGATGCCAACCAGTTTGAAGACCCCCACAGAGGAACCTAATCAGCATTGGAATACAGTTTCTTTATCTTCCTGCTCATGACATAACCCTGTATGCTTCAACCAATCATCCATCTCCACACTTTGACCCACTCTAAAACCTTTAAAAACCCTAACCCCAGACTCCTCAGGGGGATGGATTTGAGGTATCCTTCCATCTCCTCAGTCAGAAGCCCTACAATTAAACCTCTTTCTCTGCTGCAACCTGCCATCTTGGCATATTGACTTGCTACACATTGGGCAATGAACCTATTATGGTTACAAGTACATAAAGTATAACTTTTATGTAACCATAATAAGCCAATTATGGTTACAGGTACATAAAGTGTATAAAGCCGTTCTGAATGTTAAATTGAATAATGTATGTAAGTTGCTTAGTGTATAGTAAGTGTTCAGTAAATGTTAGCAATTGTTTATCTTCCTATTTATTCTCAGAGGTCTGTTCTGAGGAGCCTAAGACTCAGAGCTGGAAGCATTCCAGAGCAGGACTGAAATCAAACTCTAGTGCATGTGGAGCCCTTGCCTGAGAACATTTTCCAGTGATGACATAAGGGAGATGATATAGTTTGGATGTTTGCCCCCTCCAAATCTCACATTAAAATGTGATTCCCATGTTATAGGTGGGGCCTAGTGGGAGGTGTTTGGATCATGGCAGAAGATCCCTCATGAATGGCTTGGTGCCATCCTCACAGTAATGAGGGAGTTCTCACTCTACTATTTCACATGAGATCTGGTTGTGAAAAAGAGTCTGGGACCTCCTGCCTCTCTCTCTTGCTCCCTCTCTTGCCATGTGATACATCTGCTCCCCCTTTTGCCTTCTGCCATGAGGAAAACTTCCTGAGGCCCAACCAGAAGCTGAGCCAATGCCAATGCTATGCTTGTACAGCCTGTAGAACCATGAGCCAAATAAACCTCTTTTCTTTATAAACTATCCATTCTCAAGTGTTCTTTAGAGCAATACAAAACAGGCTGACACAGAAAGTGTCTCAGGAAATGAGCTGGAGGCTTTCAGAAGGCACACCTTGTACCTGAGCCAAAAATGAAGATTCTAGTCCCAGAGGCCTTAAAGCCAGCAAACCCTTTCCCATGGAGGAAGGACTCCATTTGAATCTGGCACAGTGACACAGAGATTCTGTCACTCCCCTAAATGAGTACATTAAGTTGGCGTTCTCCACTAGGCTTCTTTCTCACCATCAGGAATGAAAGCCAGTAGGGAAGTCATAATGGGCCTTGATGTGCCCAGAGAGCCCTTGGCTGTCCTCACAGCTCTGCTGGCCATGCCCTAAATTAAAGAAAATACAATACAGGGAGTCAAGAAGTGGGGCCAGCTTGGGCCTCTTTGATCAGCATCCATGATGCTGTAGGATGCATGATTCAGCTCTGAGATCTCCTGCTAAGTCAGAGGTAATGGTCTCCTTACAGGCACGTGTAGCATTTGCAGCAAGAGACATAAAAGAACTACATTCTGTTTCTGTTGATTCTATCCTCCATTCCTCCTACTTATTTTCTCTTTCCCCCTCCAGTTAACTCCCACATTGTGCTTACTCCGACCCCACCTTCTTCCTTGTGAACCCCTAATAACTGAGACAGGTCTCAGTCAATTTAGGAAGTTTATTTTGCCAATGTTAAGGATGCGCACCTGTGACACAGCCTCAGGAAGTCCTGATGATATGTGCCCAAGGTGGTCAGGGCACAGCTTGGTTTTATACATTTTAGAAAGACGTGAGACATCAATCAATATATGTACAATGTATATGGATTCAGTATGGAAAGGTGGGACAAGTGGGGTGGGGGGGCTTCCTGGTTATAGGTAGATGAGATACAAAGGTTGCATTCTTTTGAGTTTCTGATCAGCCTCTCTAAAGGAAGCAATCAGATATGCATTTATCTCATTGAGCAGAGGGATGACTTCGAATAGAATGGGAGGCAGGTTTGCTCTAAGCAGTTCCCAGCTTAGCTTAGTGATTTTGGGGTCCCAAGATTTATTTTCATTTCACATCCTGTATGCAGATGTCTACTCACTCAACTCTGCTACTGAGTTTTATATATGCATGATCCTCTGCATAGACCACACTGTCTTGATGAGTGTCTATGCCTGTCTATGTACAGTGTTCACTGCAGTGTGCATGTGAATGTGTGTGTTGGTGTGACATAGATATTTAGGGTCAGGGACTTAAGCCAAAACCATGAAGCTAAATCCTAAAGGAAACATACTGGTTTGCTGAACTAAGGTAAATCTAGAAATTAAGCTTACCTTGAACCAAAGCTTAGAAAAAAAGGGCTTAATTTGATTTAAGACAAAGAATAATTTTTAAAAAAATTGTTTAATTTTTAAAGTAGATAAAATGTTTATATGATTCAAAATTAAATAAACTTTTACACCTATATTTCTTTTTTCCACCCTTGTCCTGCATATGTTTATTCACCTTTGCAAACCAGTAACCTGCCAATGTTTTCCTTGAATTCTTTTTTTTTTTTTTTTTTTGAGATGGAGTCTTGCTCTGTTGCCCAGGCTGGAGTATAGTGGTGCAATCTCTACTCACTGCAACTTCTGCCTCCCGGGTTCAAGCAATTCTCCTGCCTCAGCCTCCTGAGTAACTGGGACTACAGGTGTGTGCCACCACACTCGGCTAATTTTTTATATTTTTAGTAGAGACAGGTTTCACCATGTTAGTCTGGATGACCTCAATCTTCTGACCTCATAATCTGCCTGCCTTGGACTCCCAAAATGCTGGGATTACAGGTGTGAGCCACTGCGCCTGGCTTCCTTGAATTCTTCTAGAGATTTTACATTTATATACAAGCAAATGCAAATTTACAATTCAATCTCTTCCTTTCCACACAAATTAGAAAACTATGCATATTATTCTGTATCTTACTTTTTTCTCTTTATAATTCATCTTAGCAATCTTTCAATATCTATTCATAGAAAGTGTCCTCATTCTCTTTATATTAATACAACTATACAATAGTACAATAGTCTATTATATGGATGTACTATAATATGTTTAACCAATCCCCTATTGGTGGACATTTAGGTTGTTGTCAAATTTCTTGCTACAGTAACCAGTATTTACTGCAATGGATAACTAATTTTTTTTTTTTTTTTTTTTTTTTATATACAGGGTCTCACTTTGTCACATAGGCAGGAGAGCAGTGGTGTGATCACAGCTCACTGCAGCCTCAACCTCCTGGGCTCAAGTGATCCTCCAACCTTAGCCCTCGAAGTAGATAGGACTATAGGTGTGTGCCACCATGCCTGGCAAATTTTCTGTATTTTTTGTAGAGACAAGGTTTCACCGTGCTTCCCAGGCTGGTCTCAAACTCCTGAGCTCAAGCAATCTGCCTGCCTCAGCCTCCCAAAGTGCAGGGATTACAGGCATGAGCCACCACACTCTGCCTTGAATAACCACTTTTGATAGTTGTTGCTAAGTTGCCCACCTACATGAGACACCAAATGCCATTTGCAACAGCGGGTAGGATAGTGCTCATTTCCTTCTTCCATGATGACAGTGTGCATTAGTACACTTCATTTTTACTAATTTGATAGTGAAAATGGTATCTCATGGTAGCTCGAGTAACATGAGTAAGGTTGACATTCATATATTTAAAAGCTATATGTACTTCCTTTTTTCTTTGAACTGTCTCTTTATATTCTTTGCCCAATTTTCTTTTGGATAATTGGTCTTTTTTTATTGGCCTGTAGGAGTGCTTAAAATATTAAGGACATTAAACGTTGTCTGTGAAATGAGTTGCAAACAACTTGCTCCCGTTTGTCTTTTGACATTGCTCAAGTAGTTTTTGCCAAGCAAAATTTTGATTTTTATGGAATTTAATTTTTAAAACCTTTTCCTTTATGCCTTCTAGATTTTATCTCTCATAGTTAGAAAGGTCTTCCTGCTCTGGATTTATACAGGAATGTTTCTTTTAGGACTTACTTTTTACTTATAATATTTGATTCATTTGGAATGGATCCTGGTATAATGCATCAGGCATAAATCCAACTCTATTTTTTCCAAATGGACCCAGAGTTGTTCCAACATCATATATTGAATAGTCTATTATTTTCCTCACTGATTTGAGATAGCAACTCTATCATAAATCCCTATATGTATTTGAACCTATTTCTAAATTTTTGATTCTGTTGTACTGATCTGTCAAATAACAGAATATTTAAAACTGTGTAAATCACTGAGCTATCAGCCAAAAC
The DNA here is from genome assembly GCF_000001405.40 of Homo sapiens. Taxonomy (NCBI): domain Eukaryota; kingdom Metazoa; phylum Chordata; class Mammalia; order Primates; family Hominidae; genus Homo; species Homo sapiens. Next base: position 117,246,739 of record NC_000001.11, on the reverse strand, counting down.
AGAAATATATCCTAAAGGACAGAGAAATTTGGGAAATGAAAATAATACTAAACTGAAGCCTTCTACAGGAATACTCGCCTTTCACAATTTCAGTGTGAATCTGAGGAGCGGGGCCAGGAAAAAGGTCAGAAGGATGGTCCTGTGTGATCTGAAGGCTGGGCACAAACATCCAGATGATACTCGTGGCTTTGCTATGTTCTCCATGAAGCCTTGCCCGTCCAGCCATAGATATCTGGCCCAGGGTTGAGGCTCTGACCCAACAGAGAGCCAATCAAAAACCTTTCCAGGAATTTCTGAACTTGAGACCAGAAAGAGAATCAGGCAGTTCTTGGTGGAGGTAATCATAAAATGTAAACCTCGGAACTACCATGAGCCAGGTTTTTTCTGCAAGAAATAGGCAGCAGAGAAAGAATAAAACAATACAGAGAAAAAAGCAGAGATGATGGAATACTATTCAGCAATCAAAAGGAATGAACTACAGATCACACAACAGCATGAATCAATCTGAGTGAAATCAGACAAAAATAAATACCTACTAGATGATTCCATTTATATAAAACCCTTGAAAATGGAAACTAATTTGTAATGACAGAAATCAGGTCAGTCACAGCTGGGAAAGGAGGAGAGGAGAAGTGAGGCAGGTATGGGAGGGGGAAATTACAAAGAGATATGGGGAGATTGGGGGTGATGGATATAATGATGGTTTCAAGGTGTGTGCGTATTTCAAAACTTATACAACTGTATGCTTTAAATATGCAGTGTATTTTATCATTTTAATTCAATAATACCTCAACAAAGCTGTTTTTTTTTTTTTTAAAAAAAAAGCAGAGATGGGAGGGAAACTAGTAGAAAGAAGCAGAAAGGAGGGTTGTGAGTAGGAGAGAGGGCAGGCAAGAGGAAGAATGGATTTAGATTACATTTGTTCTTTAGTTATAGATGCCCAGCTGTGTCTCCAATTTGTTTTCTTAACCTAAATTTGGATTATGAGGATAATATAGTTATCATTTTGCCCAAGCTGAGTTTCTGACTTTTGCAGACAGAATAATAAGACCAATATTTACCCACACTCTTCCCAAGAAAGAATCAGAGTCCATTTTGACTATTCTTCCTCCTTATCTGTCACACTCAGTTTATCACCCAGTACAACCAATTCTACCTCAAAATATTTCTTGCATTTGTTTTTTCCCTTCCAGATGTGCAGAGTCCAGGCTCCCATCCTCTTCTACTTCGACTCTTTTAAGGCCTCCCAAGGGGGCTCTCCCCCATCTTCTATCTGCCATGTTGTTTCCAAAGTTACATATTTAGAGCATAGATCTGATTCTTTCATCCCCCTTCTTAAAAAAATAATATTGGCAATTGGTGACCACTTAACATGGTATGGTGCTCACTGAGCCAACCCCCAGCGTCCCCTCCCAAAAATCTCCAGCAGACCCACCACTCTGGCAAGAATTGAACCTCAGCCATGCCAAGTATATTTACCCTTGAGTGCTCTTATCTTATTTGTCCACCTGACAAACTTCCAACATATTTAAAGGCCCAACTCAAATGTTGCCTTTTTATATCTTTATTTGGCTCTCTCCGGCTGAATTAATTGTTCCTTCATCTGTGTTCCCATAGCTCTTATCATCTCTGTTGTGGTGATTAATGAGTCTGTTTTTCCCACAAGATGATAAACTTCTAAAGAGCAGAAAGTGTGTCTTATTTATTTTTATATCCCTAGAAACAAGGATACTTCACAAAATGTAGCAGGTGCTTAATTAATGTCTGTGTAATTGATTTAAATCGAGGGAATTGAAATAGATCAATGGTTTTCAAGCCTTTTTGAATACCCCTCAGTACAACTCTTTAAAAACAAAATGGTACAAGGAATCTCAACACGTAGTTTAGATGAAGGTGGAACTGATCTTGTTGAAGAGTAAATTAATGTATTTGATGCAGATACTATTCTGGTATTTCATAGTTTTCTTTCTGTCTGCATCTATATATATAAGAGGTTTGCTTTTCTGCCACTTTCCTCGATTTCCTCATCTTCTCCATCACCTGATGAAGACTCCATTCACCCTTTTTAGATAGAAGTATCTGTAACCCTTCTGTATCATGAAATATCCCCCAAAACAACTCTTTGTGCTACCAGGCGCCCCTGCTCACAGCTTTCATGTATCGTCAAAAATTCCCAGTCATGAAAAAACCAAATGAACAAGTTTTTGGACAAAGCTGTCTCTGACCACAGAGAAAGACAGTTCTCATAAAGAGGCTTCTGTTTGCTCAAGTTACTAAGCTAGTTTCCAAACAAGTTAAATGCAAGCTTAAATGTGTCTCTAAAGTACCAAGGAGTCTGGGAGTGAAACCACTAGTTAAGTCATTCATTCCTCCTGAGGTTAAATAATAATAATAGGAGTGCTTTTCCTATTTATTCTTCCTTCATGCAGAGTTTTAATTTAAAATTTTGAGTCTGTTGTCTTTTATTTCCAGAATACCGCTTTATAAAATTGATTCTGACGTTGTTTTTTGTCCTGTATTATCTAAAGAGATACCATGTATTAATTCTTCCTGCAATTTTATAAACAAAACTCATTCAATATAGAACCCAATGGGCTACATCTGTAACCCACGGGAAGCATTCAGAATATTTGTGATGTATCAAATTTATGACAAAGATAAAACTAAAGCAATTTCATTGTGTTTGTAGGCAAAACGAGGGCATTTAGCCAGATGTTCACCAAGGGCTCTTCCAACCTTGTGAGTTTATGATTTTAGGGCAAATGAGAACAACAGCATAGGTTTCAGATTAATTGTGTGAGAAGTATATTGTCTTTGCACAGATGAATAGAACATAACGGCAACGAATATCAGGAAGAACATTTCCAAAATTATCTTAAATGCTTTATTATTGTACAGCTTCATTTTTTGGTTTTCTTACTTTGTAAGAAATGCCACTATTGTGGGGTTTCAAGCGTAATTCAGCAAATGGTATGTCTAATTGTAATTTCTTCCATATTCCCAGGACAGAAGCCACAGGACCAAGAGCCATTTTGCAAGGTCAATGGGACTAAGTGAGAAAAGGGGAGAACATTATCCAGTTGTTTATGTGTCCAGAAAGAGAGTTTTTCAAAAGTTCATCTCTTGGTAGGAATTCAAAATGCCTTTGCCCAAACCATTGAGACTATATGGTTAGGTTACCAGGCTAGATTCTAAGAGCCTGTTTAACCCTAAATATAAAAAGATTATTAAGGCAGACATGGTGGTTCATGCCTGTAGTCCCAGCTACTTGGGGAGGCTGAGGCAGGAGGATCGCTTGAGCTTGCTCCTGGGCTGCAGTGCTGTGTGCTGATCAGGTGTCTGCATTAAGTTCATCACCAATATAGTGACTTCCCGGGAATGGAAGACCACAAGGTTGCCTAAGGAGGGGTGAACTAGCTCAGTTTAAAAACGGAGTAATTCAAAACTCCTGTGCTGATCAGTAGTGGAATCACACCTGTGAATAGCCATTGCACTCTTGCCTGGGCAACATAGCAAGACCCCACCTCAATAAATAAATAAGTAAATAGGATTCTTCAAAATTTTATTTTGATTTATTTAGCCTCATGTATAGCATCTTTTTCTTAGGAAAAAAAGTCCACACTCCCAGCTGTAATGCCATAGACATATCTCCCCCAGCCCAGCAGTAGAAACAGACTTGCAGTGTGAAGACAGTCTATGGGCAGGGATCGGTGTAGGTGATCAAATCCACTCAGTACACCCAAGCTTTATATCTGCCTAAGAGAAGGCAAAATTGTTGCAAACTGGAGAACAAGGAAAAGTTACCTTGAGGAGTGGAGTTCTGAGTGTCAACTCTCTCCCTTGCTATATTTAAATTATATTACACATTGAATATTCACAAAGGGCTGCTTGTCTTTGCATTCATTTTGAATCCTGTTTTGTGACCATGATTGGGGACGCAAAGGTTTTTTGTCCTTTGTCATACTTAGTAAATGGTTTTATGTTCCTTGATTATGATACATTTGTTTTTGAAATTCATTGCAATATCTAAATTGATGATTATCACAAATGAGTGTCAGTGCTTGGCTGTCAGTGTTTTTCTTTTAGCAGAAATGAATGAACAACATTTTTTGAATTACTATCTTGTGGGTTTCATTTTTAACTACTGGAAGAGAAAAAACACAGAATGAAAAACTATATTTTGAACCAAACATGAGCTCAATCATTCATTCAACAAACATTTATTGAGTACCAATCATTGGGCTAAGTGCTTTGGAGTATAAAAAGATGAATGAATTGCATTTCCTGAACTCATGGAACATGATTTGAGGAAATAAGACAGATAAATAAATAGCTCTACTAAAGGTAAAGTGAATAAATACCTTAAGAGATGACAGAGCTCTTCGGGCATCAAAGTGGGAGCGGAGACCCCATTCAGCTGAGAATTTTCCAGAGAAATTGGCACATAAACTGATTCTTGTTAGAGAGGGAGGATTTAAAAAGTGTTGAAACGGGACCCCGAGGGGAGAGAATGGAAAACCACTGATGGTTTTAGAAAGGAAAATGACATGGGTTAGCTGTGTGGTTTAGAAAGATCACAGATACTAGCTCGGTGGCTATTGTAATGATTCAAATAAAGCTGTGAGCCAGGTAAGAGACCGCAAATGTGAATGGAACACACAGATTTGAGAGATGCTTCAGATGCAGAATCAACAAACCTTGGGGATGCTTTGGAAACAAGAGGTGGAAACACAGATCTGGCAATCAGTAAAGGTAATTACTAAAATCTAAAAATGTGGTTCTTAAGCTTATCAAGCACAAGAATTACCTGGAGAGCTTATTTAATGGCAGGTTTCAGGCTCCACTCTGCCGAGAGAAGATTCAGTGTTGAGCCCAGGAATCTATTTTTAAGCAGCATCCCAGAAGATGTGGATGCAGGTGCTGGGCTGATCACACTTTGAAAAGCACTGCGATGGAAGTGGAGGTCCCCCAGAGTGCCTAGGAAGAACAAAAGCCTCCTGAGAACAGCTTTTGTGAACCACCTACACTCAGGAGGTGGGAGGAGGAGGGGAATCTGCACACTGGAGCTCCTACTGTGTACCCCATGCTTTTCCTGGGATGTCCTACTGTGTGCCCCGTGCTTTTCTATGTCCTGGGATAGCAAGGCCTTGACTTCTTGGAGCCTCCATTCTAATGTAAAATAATACATACAGTAGACAAACACATAAATATATAACATGGGTTTAAATAGTGCCATGGAGAAAATAAAGCAGAATAAGGGCTTGAGAGTGATGGGACATGGGGAAGTGGGGGAGGGGGGAAGGGGAGTGGGGGTGGAGGAGCACTTTTTGATTGAATAAGGAGAAGCCTCTCAGGCAGTGACATCTGAGTAGAACCCTGAGACGAGGTGGCCATAAGAAGATCTGGAGGAAGAGCATTCCAGGCGGAGAATGAGATGCGTAACAATTCTGAGTTGAGAAACAGCTGGTTGTGTCTGGGGAATGGCTGCAGGGCCAGGCAGGGTCCAGTGGGGCTGTAGCAGAGTGAGTACTGGGGAGGGGAGCAGGAGAGGAAGGCAGAGGAGCCAGCAGGAGCTGGGCCAGGGAAGGAGGACTTTTGGCTGTGGCCTTGTAGGCCATGGTAAAGGTCTTGGAGCTTATTCTTAGATGTGTTGGGGACCTCACTGGGAGCTCTGAGGAGAGTGACATGATCTGACTTGCTTTTTAAAGGACCAGTTTGTCTACTGTGGATGGTAGAAAGTAAGTATGGAGTGGAAGACTCACCAGCAGGCCACTAAGCTGGTGCCCAGAGATCACAGTGGTTGGGCCATGGATGGGAGCAGGGGAGATGGTCAGAGGCGGGCAAACCTGACATGAGTTTTGAAGGCAGAAACAACACAACTGCTGAAGGATTAGCTGTGGTATGTGAGAGAACTTTCTGGTTTTCTAGTGTTTTGGCAGAAGGAACGATTGAACATTTAAGAAATAAACATGATGTAATGGGATGGAAGGCAAAGGAAAAGAGGACATCAGAGCCTTCTATGTCTTGGTATTGCTAATGCCTTGCACCATGATGCGCAGGGCAAGCTCTTAACAAATATGTTTTGAATGAATGTTTGGATGACTCAATGCTGCATTTAAGCTAGGGAGGCAAGGACTGAAAAAGCCATTAGATGGTATAATTAAGATGCTGTTGGGGGTCAAGGTGGACGGTTATGTTACTAACCAGATGAGGGACATGGAGGAAGCTGCGGTTTTCGGGCAAGAAGGTAACAGTTTACAGAGGTGATGAGGAAGATCAACAGAGGAGAATGGGCCTTGGCAGGGCTGAGCTGACACCGATGAGGGAGAGGAGTTTGAACCTAGAGTGGTAACCTAGACCAACTGAATAATGTCTGATACCTTGAAGCAGCACCATAATTAAGTGCTAAATGATTCTTCACCCTCTCCTGTGGGGACATGTGTGTATGTATAGATGAGTGTGCTTATACATTTGTGGAGATTTGGATCCATGAGAGTGGTGTTTGTTAAGAGGAAAAGGTGTTTATATCTTGAGAAATATATCTTTGTGCCAGCAAATTGCAGAAGAACTTTCTTCCATGCTTCCCTTTCTCTCTTTCATCTCTCTCCCTTCATTCTTCCTTTTTCTTCCACCTGGTTTTCTTCATTAATAATTTTATATTGATTACATGTTAAAGTGATATTATTTTGAACATATTGGGTTAAGTAATATATAAGTAAAATTAATTTCACATCTCTTGTAACTTATTTAATGTGGCTACTAGGAAATGTAAAGCCACAGATGTGGCTCGTGTTGTTTTCCATGGGTCAGCGCTGCTGTGGAGCCTCACACTCAGCGGCAATGTTCTTGCCTGCTTTAAAGACCTTTAATCAATGAGCTAAGATACTCCCTTGGAAAGAGGTTCTAATTTAACTATCCTGGTAAACAAGAAGGAAATAAAGGATTTCTGACCAAGGTCATACTTTAACAAGGCCCTAGGACAAATGGGAGTAGATGTTGTGTTTCCAAGCTGAATTGGTGACTTAAAGTGTGTTTCAAAAGAGCCTGAGGCTACTTTCTAAACAATAAGTCAGTGGACTGCCCTTTGTGTAAGTGTTTCTAAGCATAGGTAAACTTTGGGTGTCCTTTCATCTGTGACCCTATGAACTATTTTGGTCAGAAAATATGGTTGCAAAAGGCTTACCCCATTCCAGTAAACAGCATCCATTATCACTTAATGGATAGAATCTTGGAGAAGTAGTTCACATGTATAACATTTTATCTTTTCCAGACAGGCCCATTAAATTAGTTTTAAGTACCTCATAAAATAAGGCCATATTCCAAGTTTGTGTTCCTATAAGATTATCTTTAAATAAAATAATATAAAGACCTTTTCTCTTGACACAATAAACTACCATTTTAATACAACCTCCTGAATTTGAGAAAATTGTCCTATCTAAGTAATCACTTTTAATTGGTTAAACAATCTGCCTATTCTATGCAAACTTACAACAGCAAAACTGATACCACATTGGGCTAGTACCCCACCTGCTTTTTTTTTTTTTTTTTTTTTTTTTGAGACAATCTTGCTCTGTCACCCAGGCTGGAGTGCAGTGGCACGATCTCGGCTCACTGCAACCGCCGCCTCCCAGGTTCACGCCATTCTCCTGCCTCAGCCTCCCGAGTAGCTGGGACTACAGGCGCCCACCACCATGCCTGGCTAATTTTTTTTTATTTTTAGCAGAGACGGGGTTTCACCGTGTTAGCCAGGATGGTCTCAATCTCCTGACCCTGTGATCCGCCCATCTCAGCCTCCCAAAGTGCTAGGATTACAGGCGTGAGCCGCCATGCCCAGCCTATATCACCTGTTTTTAAAGATATGTGTACAAGTTTTTGTTGCACCTGCTTCGGTTTTGGGTGGTATATACAAAGGAGTGGAATTGCTAGATCATATGCTAATTTTATGTTTAACTTAATGAGGAACCACCAATCAACTGAGCACCTTTTACGGCATCCTCTCTGAAGACTTTCTTGAACTGTCCTTTCCCCTTCCACCCAAGTTATCCCTCCTTCTATTCCCACCATTTCCAATTTACACATCTCTTAGCACTTGAACTTGAGTTTAATAACCTTATATTACCTGCCTCCTATCAGTAGTTTGTAAACCTCTTAAGAGCTTACAGACCTTATTTTCCTTTGTATTGTTTACTTCAACTCCATTTATCTTTGATGTAGTAAGCCCTCGATAAATCTTTACTGGGCAAAATCATAGAAGGCTGTTCTGGGTGCAGAAAAGACTTAGCTTCAAACAGGGTGACTTTTCATTTGGGGAACCAAGAACTTGAGATGTTGTGAAGTGGTAATTGCTGTTTTTATCTGTAATTGCTGAGACTATGCTGGCTCACCAAGGTTGCTATTATATTTATTTAGACAAGAAAGAGAGGGTGTATGTGTCTGTATGTGTGGGGAAAGGGAGGCTGTATTTGGTATGCTACAGCTTTTTGACAGTAAGCTACATTTACAAAATCTGTCTACCAGCCAAGTGACCTCAACCAATGTGGGAGGAACTTCTCAGAACTTCAACTTTGCACAAGCCTGAGTTGCTGGGCTCCTGGCTGGATATGTAGATGTCTGAAAATGCTGCATTTTACAAGCCATGGTTCTGCCTAGGGAGGCTAAAATTTTTGGTAATCTTGCAAAAATCACAAGGGTTTTAATTAAATTGCTTCCAGCAAAGCTTTACTTAATGGGTCAAAGGACAAAATGTTGAATTAACACAAAGAATTTCCTAATGGAGTGAAAACAAATGGGAGGTGGCTTCTCTCGTGAACTTCCTGTAATTGGAACCACCAATCAGAGGTGTTGGCATGAGGGCTCCCTGAAGGAATCCTTTTTTTTTTTTTTTTTTTTTTTGCCTCTGAGTCAGCATACAAAATGAAATGCTGAAGAAAGGTTGGCTTTCCAAGTGCATCATTGCTGAGGATCAGACAGAGAAGCTAAGGCATTGCTTTTCTGCTTGCTAAGAGCTTATCATCTAGCTGTAGAGGTGTGAAAGGGACACAAAAGATCATAATAAATGTAGGTAGCATGTAAGAGAACTAAAGGAATAATATAAACAATTGGCATTAGTGGCGTTAGTTGGGATGGAAGTCGAGGGGCGAGTGCTCACTGCAGCCTTGGGTGGGAAGAGAGATGTCACTTGAGCATGTCCTTGAATTGTGGAGAAGTTCGTTAAGACAGGCAGAGAGGGTGCTGTGTGCCAAAGGAAAAGCATGATGATTGTGAAAAGCGTGTGAAGGTCAAGGGCCATGGAGTAATCTAGTTTGAATCGAGTAGGACATTCAACGGTGCTGATGCAAGAATGGTATGGGTACGTTGAGAACCAGATTGAAAAGAGCACTGGAAATAAAAATAAGTTTAGGCAAGGCCAAGCATGGTAGCTCACACCTGTAATCCCAGCACTTTGGGAGGCCGAGGCAGGTGGATCATCTAAGGTCAGGAGTTCGAGACCAGCCTGGCCAACATGGAGAATCCCCGTCTCTACTAAAAATACAAAAATTAGCCGGGCATGGTGGCAGGTACCTGTAATCCCAGCTCAGGAGGCTGAGGCAGGAGAATCACTTGAACCCAGGAGGCAGAGGTTGCAGTGAGCCGAGATCATGCCACTGCATTCCAGCCTGGGTGACAGAGCGAGACTCCATCTCAATCAATCAATCAATAAAAGTTTAGACAGATTTTCTTCTGTAGGGAGTGAGAAGTGTTTAGGTTTCTGAGCGGGAGAATGATACATTGACAGTTATATTTACAGCAAAGTAATCTAACAAGGTTTTGTGGACTGGCCTAACTGGAGAAAATAATGGAAAAGAGAAATAAATTAAGAGCCTATTGAAATAGTACAGCTGAGAACAGAGAACTTGAACTACAGTGGTGGGAATAGGGATATAAAGAAGGGTATGGTGGGGGCAGGTAGACCCAATCAATAAAGTTGAGGTCTCTTTTTTTTTTTGAGATGGAGTTTGCTTTTGTTGCCCAGGCTGGAGTGCAATGGCGTGATCTCGGCTCACCGCAACCTCCACCTCCGGGGTTCAAGAGATTCTCCTGCCTCAGCCTCCCAAGTAGATGGGATTACAGGCATATGCCACCATGCCAGGCTAATTTTGTATTTTTAGTAGAGATAGGGTTTCTCCACATTGGTCAGGCTTGTCTCGAACTCTCAAACTCAGGTGATCTGCCTTCCTTGGCCTCCCAAAGTGCTGGGATTACAGGCATGAGCCACCGTGCCCGGCCTAAGTTGGGGTCTCTTTAGTTTTAGGTAGGTATTTTAAATTGATGGGTTTTATTTTTAATGTCTCTGTTCCTACTTCATTTTCCCCAGACACTGCTCTGTTGGACATCAGAATCCCTTAGCTGACCAACACACAGTCATGGGACTGCTCTCATTCATAGCTTTGGTTCTAACCTCAAGTGGGTCCCAAGTGCTGCCTGGCAGTCTGAGCACATTTCTCTAGTGGATTCACTGGAGTATGAGCTCTGCATGGACAGAGATCTCTGTGCTATCCCAGCTGCCTGGAAGAGTGCCTGGTACATGACATGTGCAGTGAATGTGTATGGCTAGGCATTTCATATTCTCTCGCCTTTCCTCAGACCTCAAATTCATTTACCACAATTTGCACTCAGCTGTTGGTCTTACTACTTGTTCCACTGTGAAAATAGAATTAATCTGAAGAGAACATCCACACACTCCCACAACAAAGTCAACCAGCCCACGTGCAACCTTATCCACAGGGCTCCTTCCCACTCATCACCATTCAGCTTGTCCCAGCTGCTGTCTAAGGCTAACCCTCCCAACTGTGCAATGGATATTACCCTTCCTACTGGTTGACTCTTCTGTCTCCTGCATGATCAGTTTTGCCTCTCAATGGGATAATTCCCATCAGTATACAGAGAAGTTCTGGAGGAATCCCTGAGGTGGAAAAGCAAAGAGGTCCTCTGGTGTGTGTCTGAGGTAGGATGCTAGCAACTTGCACAGACCTGTCCGCAGGGCTGCCTTGAGGTGGGTTGCAGGCACCCACAACACCTGCTAAAGGAGTTTACACAGTTTTCCCAGTACATAATTTTACACCTGAAAATAAGTAGGTGCTCGATAAATTGTCACTGAAGAATGGATATCTCCCATCTTCAATTGTCCCTTCCTTGATTCCACATCCCTTCCAGCTACCATCCCATTTATCTGCACCCTTTTTTGGCAAAATCCACAAGATCATTGTTTATATACTCACTGTCTTCTCCTGTCCTCTTAGTCTCTCTTGCTGTCACTTGTTTGGACTTTTGTCTTTACTCCTCTACTGAAACTTCTCCTTTGAGATCACCAGTGACCTCCATTTTGCCAAATCCAGTTCTTAGACCTTTTCTGATTTGACCTTTCAAGCACCATTTGACAAGTGAGTCGCCTCTTCTTCCCTTTTCCTCACTGGCCCCTTCTTCTCAGTTGAATTTGCTGCTTCCTATTCAGCTCTCCAATCTCTTCATGTTGTAGTCTCCCAGCTTCTGCCCCCAGACAGCTCTTTTCTATCACCCTCTCCATCTTAATGTCCTGTCTCAGTGCTGGTGACTCTCAAGTGTACATCCAGGCCCTGGATGCAAGACTCATGTATTCAACATCTCCTCTTGGGTTTTGAATAGACATTTCTCTCTTCTAAATTTCAGGCACATAGAATCATAATCTGTGGTTGATGACACTCTTGTTTTTGTCAGTGCTTGGCCCTCTTTCTAAATTTTATTTATTTATTGTTTTAAATAATCCAATAAATTCCTGTGAACACACATCCCAATACAGAAAATAGAACATTGACCCAAGGCCCACAAGGCCCTACATGATCTAACTCTATGCGTCCTCATCTGCTAGCATTCTCCTTGCTGTTCCTTTGGCATAGTCTTTGAAGTTGCTATTTCAACTGTCTAGAATACTCTTTTCTGAGATATCTTCATGTCTTTCTCCCTCATTTTATTTGCGTTGTTACTTATCAGTGAAGCCTCCTCAGCATCTTCATTAAAAATAATATTCTTGCTTGGCTCCTGATATAGTTTGGCTGTGTCCACACCCAAATGTCATCTTGAATTGTAATTCCCATAATTCCCATACTTCCCATGTGTCGTGGGAGGGACCTGGTGGGAGGTAATCGAATGATGGGGGTGGTTACCCTCATGCTGTTCTCATGATAGTGAGTGAATTCTTATAAGATCTGATGTTTTGTTTTGTTTTATTTGAGATGGAGTTTCACTCTTCTTGCCCAGGCTGGAGTGCAATGGCACGATCTTGGCTCACTGCAACCTCTGCCTCCCAGGTTCAAGTGATTCTCCTGCCTCAGCCTCCTGAGTAGCTGGGATTACAGGCATCTGCCACCACACCCAGCTAATATTTTGTATTTTTAGTAGAGACAGGGTTTCACCATGTTGGCCAGGCTGTTCTCGAACTCCTGACCTCAGGTGATCCACCTGCCTCAGCTTCCCAAAGTGCTGGGATTATAGGCATGAGCCACTGTGCTTGGCCGAGATCTGATGGTTTTATAAGGGGCTTTTCCCCCTTTTGCTCAGCACTTCTCCTTGCTGCCACCATGTGAAGAAGGACATGTTTGTATTCCCTTCTGCCATGATTGTAAGTTTCCTGAGGCCTCCGAAGCCATGCTGAACTGTGAGTCAATTAAACCTCTTTCCTTTATAAATTACCCACTCTTGGATATGTCTTTATTAGCAGCATGAGAACGGACTCATAGAGCTCCTAGGTCACTTTCCAATTTGCTTATTCTGATCATCACCTCCTTTAACTTATTATGTGTGTATTTGTTTATTGTCTGTCTTCTCCCAGTAGATTGTATGCTCTGTGAGGGCAGGGACCTGTTCTTGTTCACTACTCTAAGCCACAAGCTAGAATAGTACCTGGTACTTGGTAGCCACTTGTTGCAGGTTGGTTCTCTGGGAAGCAGACTCTGCAATAATTTGATGTGCATGACTTCTATTAGGGAGTGCTCTTAGGATCAACAGCTATAAAAGGGAAAAGAAGGAAACAGGATGGGGCAGAGGAAGAAGTTGAGCTGTGATGCAGTCTTGACGATAGCCCCAGCCAATCTCATAGGAGGCTCTGAAGTTGTTCCAAATTAGTGTATGGGCCTGAACCTTTATAAACCCACATAGACCAGTTATTCATGCAGGTTGTCCTAGAAAGGGGGCATGACTTTGGAGAAGGGGCTCTTTTTAGGTAGACAATTGTATTGTGTGATAAGGGCTGAGGGCTTGCTGTCAGCAGCACCCCCAGGAGCTGGATAGCACATCACAGTGTCCGTAAGAGCACCCAATAAGGTGTATGGTTGAACACATGAACTCAGTGAGATCTAAAAACAGAGTGGATGCAGTGAGGTTCATGACATGCAAGACAGAAAGACAAGGAGAACCAGGTCAGTGAATCCTCATGCCCAAAGTCCTCCATTTTCTTGTTTATCCATTTTCCTATTATAGACAAAGCCCTGTCTGGGTACTATAAGGGATCTAACATCACAGACAATGTCCCTGACCTCAAGGAAGAGAATGAAACCTAGGCACAAACATCCATGGTACAAAGCATTGTGATATAATTTACATGTATAGCACAAATGGGTGCTTATAGAGGGGAAAGAGAAGGGAGAGCCCTTCCCGCAGAGGGAAGGAGGAGGAAGGCCCAGGGAAGGCAACATGGAGGAGGCTTTTGAAGCCCTGAAAGAGAACTAAGATTTCGTTGCACAAGGGAGGACAGAGGGCAGCCAGCAGGAAAAGAGGTAGTAGAACAAGGGTTCAGTTGTAGAAAATCCCAAGCTTGGGGTCAACAGTCCTCTCTCCTCCTATGCTCTGATACTTAAAGGTTGGAGGCTTGACCACATATGAATCCCTCAAATGCCATACAACCCGTGTGTTCAGGTCAAATCCTGAAAGAGGAAAGAAAGTGCTGCCTCTTTGCCTGCCAACACAATCAGCCTCAGGGGCTAAATTTGTAGTTCTGTGTGACTTGTTCTATTTTTAAAACTGTAATGAGCCAGTAAATCTAATCATCCAAACTGTAAAGCAGTCCATTGTATTTGGGAAATGGAGTGTAATCTGCATGGAAAAGACCATACCTTTCTGAAGAGAAACCAATGGGATGTTAGCTGGGTCCCTGGTTTTAAAAGTTTAGACTCAAGTACGTGGTATAAAACTCATCACTAGGGTAATGTTACAGATGAAGAAACTGAGGCACAGAAAGGTGAAGGGACTTCCTCAAAGTCACACAACAGATCAGTGTTTGAGGTGAAATCCAACCATAAACACACAGTCCCTGCGTTCCTTGAACAGCCCTCTAAAGCTTTTGGTCAGAGCTCCTTGTATGATGTCTGCTTTCCTGCTTCTTGAATTAACCGCAACAAGAGCCACTGGCCAGCCAATCCAGCTGCAGGTCAAGTGGCCCCTCTCATCTAATCGTAACCACTGCAAAGAGGCCTGACAGCAATGGAGTCAGCTTGGAGTGTGTTTTCTTGTAGCTCGTGGATGGCAAGCCCAGAAATAAACTATGGGCTTTATTGTTGGAGTAAGAGAATGATTTACAAGGCCCTGGCAGGTCATCGGCCTTGGCTCTGATGGAAAGAAGGAAATAGTCTGGGGCTGCAATTTCAGGGAGTAACAAATAGTCACTTGAAACCATGGTTTCAGCTTGAGATTCCAACTTGGCTTTGTGTTTTCCTGCCAGTTAACTAATTTCTGTTTGCCTAACATAATCAAACTGAGTAGCAACTTCCTCATGTGCTTCTAAAACAGTCTCTTCCCCCACTCCCCATACTAGAAAGGCACCCAGCATTTTTTAAGGAACTAGACTCCTTTGACTATTGAACAGTGATCTCAGACTTTAGCTTGGAATGTGTAGAGTATCTTGTGATCAGACCAGGGACCAAGGTGAACACTGGGTGCCAATAGCAGTTACTGCAGGGTTTGACTTTCTAGAATCAAAACCCAGATGGGAAATGACACTGTCAGAAATTAGGCCTGAAAGATACAATGAGCCCACATACAAAATTATTCAAAATGTGTTATCAGACCTCAAGAAATATAGAAGCAGGTAAATGTTTATTATTTATTCCAAACGTGATGGCTTTTAACTAGTGAAGAGGCACGCCCAGTTTTCTTAGTAGCAAGCCACATGACCACAGATACCTGGGTGTGGACCACATGAATCCTTTATTCATAATTATGGGAATTCAAATGGTCCATGCTTGCCCTACAAGTTCTGGCAGGGACCAAGTACATACAGATGTTCAGTTGATACCAATTATTCTATTTGTCAGGATCCCCCACAATGCCCAGTTTCAAGATGAAACTTGGGTAGGATGAAAGGTTATAGAATTACACTCAGGCTCAAATATCATCATTAATGTATAAAAGCCAGCTAGTGTTAGACCAGGCAGAAGCAGTGTGTTAGGCCATTCTTGCATTGCTAGAAAGAAATACCTGAGACTGGGTAATTAATAAGAAAAGAGGTTTAATTGGCTCATGGTTCTGCAGACTGTACAGGAAGCATAGCTCTGGCATCTGCTTGGCTTCTAGGAAGGCCTCAGGGAGCTTTTACTCATGGTAGACGGCAAAGAGGGGGCAGACACATCACATGGAAAAGCAGGAGCAAGCAAGAGAGAATGAGGGGAGGTGCCACAGACTTTTAAGTGACCAGATCTCCCTGGAACTCACTATCACAAGGACAGCACCAAGCCATGGGGGATTCTCCCCCATGATCAAACGCCTCCACCAGACCCCACCTCCAGCACTGGGGATTACAATTCAGCATGAGATTTGAGTGGGGACAAATACCCAAACCATAGCAAGCAGTTACACAGCTGTTGTGCTTGTGTGATGGAGCTTATTAGATACTAGTGGCCCGCCAGCTTAAGGGTTAGGCAACTCGTAAAAACGTTTTTGCTTTTCTAAAAATCTTAGACCAGCCACTCCTTATGGGTCACAGTTTGGAGACTACAGTTCAACCTGTCACTTGTTAGTGCCTCAAGTTTCCATTCTCTCCATCATTCACTTCTCTATGCCAGACTTTTGTCCAATTGTCTTGTTCAAAGATGGATTAACCATGCCATTAACTTGACCCTTTCACATCTACTAGGTACCTGATTCTATCGTTCTCCGCATGGCTGCAAATCTCAATTTAATCATTTCTTACTATTCAGATTCTACCATGATGGCCTGGTGGTGGTGATGGTGTGTGTGTCTGTGTGTGACATACGTCATCTTGTTTCGTTCTAAAAGCAGCCATGCTCATTCCCATTTTACAGATGACAAGATGAGAGGATGCAGTAATGACATGGTAACAGGTGCCAGATGAATGCAGACCTCATAGGCCAGGACAGTTTAGCTCAAGTGGGAAACGACTGGAGGGTTGTTAGGAAGTACATGATGTGATCTGCCTTATGCATTTGATCACTGTGGCTGCCACTGTGTGAATAACAGACTTGGTGATAAGAGTATCGAGGAGCCTGCGAGGTACTTCAGAAGAGAGTTCATAGCTTCTGTTGCCCATTGCTAATCCTTGATCTTCACTCACCCAGCAGGCTGAAAGCAAGTGAGGGAAGCTTTGGTGCTGCCTAGGATAGCAAGATACTGGTTCTTCTCCCACATCCCCTCCACCCATTGCTGCTCAAGTGCCCCTTGGGTGGAGTGGTTGGAAGCAGACTCAACAGGACTGACTGCTGTCAAACCCTCTTCCCTTTCAGACTCAGTGACACTGATGGCTCTACCTCAGGAAGGCCACGAGCCAAGAATATCCCATAAGGCTAAGATGCTTGATAGCCTGCTTTGGTTTGGTTCTGGTTTTGGTAAGAAGGGAGTTATGGGGTGTTGGGGGACATGGGGAAAGAGGTATGATGATGAAAGACAAATTGAAGTAAAAGCTGGCTGCGATGACCAGTGAAAGAGAGGAAAGGAGAAGAAAGGAAGTCACAGAAAGTGCCCACATTTACCGAAGATTCTTATGATGCCACCAATCCAGGGACTATGGAAGCAGTAAAAAGAGGGTTTGGGGCTTCATCCCACTTTTGTGTCCCTCACAAATGTTTGGGGTGGCAGATTATTCTGCCTAACTACCATTCCAACCCCTTTCCTCCCTTTATATCTCCCTTCATTTTTTTCTTTCTCTCTCCCTCCCTTCCTTCCTTCCAACCTGAGAGGCTTTTGATCTGTCATGTAGCTGATTTCAGGATAGTCATTTTCTTTTTACGTGTATAAGGCACTTTCCTACTAAATCGGAGCTTCCCAAGAACAGCAATTGAATCTTATAATTGTACCTCCTGAGGTGCTTGGTACATGCTACATAGATGATTGATGGATCCTGGCATGATTGATGCCAAGGTCTCTCATCTATGAGACAGAGATAAGCATTCTGATTTCGTGGCTTGTTAGAAAGATCAAATTAGACAGCATGTATGAGCATCTCTGACACACAGTAAATCTTCTTCAATAAGTCTATGAATCTGAATTAACTGGGGTCTTTCCACAATCATTGGGCCAAACCCATCATCAGTTATTTGGATTGGGTGGATGTGGCCTTAGTCATCTGTGTCTAAGACCGCCCACTGGGAGATGGGTACATCTCTCATTATGGGAAGCCACAGCAGAGTGGGGCAACATGATTTTCTGATAGGGCCACAAGTTCTGGGAGTGATTATATTGGACCAGCATTTCTGAATTCATAATTGTCAGTTTCTTACCTGGAAGTTTGCCTCCCCAAGCTAAGTTCTCCCTCTCTATTGTGTGTCCCATGGTCACTGAAGACAGCTATGCTTTTAATAAGCAATCATTTGTGGAGCGGCTACCAGGGACAAGGCATTATGTTAGGGGCTGTGAGGGAGACCGACAGAACCACCATTTGTTGAGTATTGTTTTCTGTGTACCAAACTCTGAGCTAGGCCTTTTATATACCTTATTTCATTTACAAAGATGAATAAAGTTTCTCACCATGAGGAGGTAAATATTATTTAAGGAAATAAGCATATAGACACAAAAGGATAATGAAGAAGGAAGAAGTCATTGCTAAGGGTGTGGTCATGAAAGTCTGCAAATGAAAAGTTGGATTTGATATGGGCTTGCAAGGACCAGCAACATTTGGGAAGGGAGAGAGAAGAAAAGTAGGCCAGGCCGGACGCGGTGGTTCACGCCTATAATCCCAGCACTTTGGGAGGCTGAGGCGGGTGGATCACCTGAGGTCAGGGGTTCGAGACCAGCCTGGCCAACACGGTGAAACCCCATCTCTACTAAAAATACAAAAATTAGGCAGGCATGGTGGTGGGCACCTGTAATCCCAGCTACTTGGGAGGCTGAGGAAGGAGAATCACTTGAACCTGGGAGACGGAAGTTGCAGTAAGCCGAGATCATGCCACTGCACTCCAGCCTGGGCGACAGAGCGAGATTCCCTCTCAAAAAAAAAAAAAAAAGAAGAAGAAAAGAAAAGGAGGCCATCCACTGGAAGCATTGCATGAGCAAGTCTACAAATGGGGATGAATTTCTGTGCCCATCAGGCATTGAGGAACCCACTCCTGAGGACTGAGTAGGATAACCCCCTCCAATAACTGAGAGACAATAGCGTCAGCGTCAAACAAACTTGGACTCAAATCCCACTTGTGTCACACACTAACTAAATTAGTAAACCTTTCTGAGTCTCAATTTCCTCATCTCTAAAATGGGAATAAAACGTTTCATCCCCAGAGTCTGAAAGAGGATTAGATCAAGTTATACTATATGTAAAGTACCCAGCCCTTTATGCTGGCAATAGTGAGACCAGAAAAACAGTTTACATCATGTACTATGTGGAAATTGATTGAGCTTCTGGTGTTAGAGCCCCACATGGTTTGCAAAACATTCTCACAAACACTACCTCAACAGAGATAGCCTCCCAATAATCCTGTGGGTAGGTAGAGGTGGCATGACTCTGATTCCCATTTTAAATTTGGGAAATCTGAGGTTTAGAGAAGCCTTGACTTTCCCAAGTTCCTGGCTTTAGGGTCAGACAGACCTGAGTTCAGAAGCTGACTCTGTCAGTGAGCAGCAGGGACACTTAACCTCTCTGAGCCTCAGCTTCTTTATGGCCTGTGGTCAACTTTTTACATCCACATTATTTCCTAAATATTTAATTTTATTATTTCAATTCTTGAATAGATAGTACAAGTTTCAAAAATTAAAAAAATACAAAAAGCTACATGATGGAAAGTCTCCCTCCCACTTCTGTCCATTATGTGCCCTGTTCCACCACATCCTATGGGTAATCTGTGACTCCTATGCTAGTTTTCTGTGTATCCTTTTCTGGTCTCTTTATGCATATAGAAGCAAATCCAAATGTGTGTGTGTGTGTGTGTGTGTGTGTGTATATATATATATATGTACTTCTGCAATTTACATCATTTTTTACCAACACATCTTGGGTATTTTTTCATATCAGTACCTTCCAGCTTCCATATTTTTTTCACAGTTGCATAGTATTTCATTATATGACTATACACCACCTTTACCTACCCACAGGATTATTGGGAGGCTGTCTCTGTTCTGGTAGTGTTTGTGACAGTACTTTGCAATCCATGCAGTCCTTTTTTTTTTTTTTTTTTTTTTTTTTTTTGAGACAGAGTTTTGCTCTTGTTGCCCAGGCTGGAGTGCAATGGTGCAATCTTGGCTCATCACAACTTCCACCTCCTGGGTTTAACCAATTCTCCTGCCTCAGCTTCCTGAGTAGCTGGGATTACAGGCATGTGCCACCATGCCCGGCTAATTTTGTATTTTTAGTAGAGATGGGGTTTCTCCATGTTGGTCAGGCTGGTCTCGAACCCCTGACCTCAGGTGATCCACCCACATCGGCCTCCCAAAATGCTGGGATTACAGGCATGAGCCACCGTGCCCAGCCTGCATTCTCCTATTGATGGGCATTTAGGTCATTGCCAATCTTTTGCTATTATAAACAATACTGCATATTGCATATAAACATTTGCATATAAACAATACTGAATAACCTTGTGCATATGTCACTTTCTATATGAGTACACTGTAGGATAAGTTCCTAGAAATACAGTTACTAGATGAAACAATTTGTGCATTTGTAATTTTCATAGCTGTTGCCAAATTGTCCTCCATCAGGTTTTACTCCCACCCACAGTGTATGAGAGTGCCTGTTTCCTCATGTCTTTACCAGCTCAGCATGTTACCAAACCCTTGTATTTTTGCCAATCTGACAGGTAAGAATTCTATCTTGAGGGAGTTTTAATCTGAATTTGTCTTACTATGAATGAGATTGAGCGTATGTCCATATATTTAAACAACTATTTGTATTTTCTTCACCGTGAACTGTATGTTCATAATCTTTGCCCATTTTTCTACTGAGTTGTTGGGCTTTCATATTTTATAAGAAGGAAATTTACATAGGGAAAAGTGTGTATTAGAAACCTAAGCCCTTTGTTTGTGGTATGAGTTGCAAATAACTTTCTCATGTTGATTTTGCTCCTTACGTCAGTTATTTTTTTCTGTGTACAAACCATCCCAAAATTGTTTGGCTAGAAGCAACAGTCACTTGTTTGCTCAAGATTCTATGGTTTGGGTTCCGCTGAGACAGTTCATCTGTATTCGTATGGTGGTCACAGGTTCCAGGAAACAGCAAGAGAGCAAGCACCAATGCCCACGTGCTTTAAGACCCTACTTGCATCACATTTGTTATTGTCCCTGTGGCTAAAGCAAGTAATATGGCAAGGCTAGAGTTAGGATGGGAAGGGAATACCAAAGATGTGAATAAAAGGAAGGAATTTTGTGGCTATTTTTGCAAACAATCTACCACACTTATGACATTTGTTTGCTTGGTTTTTATTTCTTTTCTTGGTGATAGTGGTGTTAGTTTATTTTTCTATCAAGTATGAAATTTTTAAGTAATGCAGTTTGTAATGCAATCTTTTCCTTCAAAGGTTCTGAGTTTTGAATAATAATTAGAAAGCCCTTCCCCACTCTCAGCTTATGAAGGTAATTCCTATTTTCTTCTAGTACTTTTACGGCTTCATTTATCACATATAAAGTTTGATCCATTTAGAATTCACCTTTGTGTTCACTCCACATATATGTTCTTAGCTAAAGCCTAGTTCTCCTCTATTTGGGAAGGTTGTCTTTTCATTCGGGATTGGCAAAGTTATGACCAATAACAAACAACTTTTAAATCTCAGTGGCTTTTAACAGCATGGTTTATTTCTGGCTCATTCTATGTGCCCATCATGGTTTGGCATAAGCTCAGTTCCATATGAACCTTCCTCCAGGCCCCAGGCCAGTGGACCACTTCCATCTAGTCTTCCATTACCAGTCTCGCCCAGAGGGAGAGAAAGCACAACCAAGCATGCACTGCCTCTCACAGCCTCCTCTTGGAGATAGCCCATGTCCCTCCCATTCATATTTCATTGGCTAAAGCAAGTTACATGACCAATCCTGCTGTCAACAGGGTAGCAAAGTACAATCCTCCCGAGACCTTAGGGACAGCAAATATTGGGAACATTTCATCCTCCATCATCGTCCTTTCTGTTGATGTGCAGCTTTGAAAAAGCACACACCTGGAGCCAGAAGCAGGCTGGGGAGCCCATCTCACCAGGTAGGCCGGCACATCATCACTGGCCTGTGATGATGTGTCTCAGAGCCAAATTAACCCCACACCCAACCTTTCTCTCCAAGATCTTGCATCCTGCTCAGAGCAGAGAGCATGTGTGCAGTCAGGAGCAGCAGAGTGGAGATAGGGAGGAAAGTGGGAATCCTCCAGGGAACATTAGGATCAAACTGTGTCCCACTATCTTAATCCATTTGGGCTGCTTTAATAGAGTACCATGAACTGGGTAGTTTAAACAGCCAACATGTATTTCTCACAATTCTGAGGCTGAAAGTTCAAGATCGGGGTGTCAACATGGTCAGGTTGTGGTGAGGGCTCTCTTCTGGGATGCAGACTGCTGACCTTTTGTTTTTCCTCACATGGAAGAGAGAAGGTGAGAGAGCTCTCCGGGGTCTCCCAGCTTTTTGTTGTCGTTCTTGTTGTTGTTGAGATGGAGTTTCGCTCTGCTGCCCAGGCTGGAGTGCAATGGCGCGATCTCAGCTCACTGCAACCTCTGCCTCCCAGGTTCAAATGATTCTCCTGCCTCATCCTCTCGTATAGCTGGGATTATAGGCACCCACCACCACGACCAGCTAATTTTTGTATTTTTTTAGTAGAGACCAGGTTTCCCCTTGTTGGCCAGGGTGGTCTCGAACTCCTGACCTCAGGTAATCTGCCCACCTCAGCCTCTCAAAGTGCTGGGAATACAGGCATGAGCCACCGTGTCTGGCCAGGGGTCCCTTTTATAAAGGCACTAAATCTCATTCATGAGGGCTCCTCCCTCATGATCTAATCACCTCCCAGAGGTCCCATCTCCCAATGCCATCACATCAGGGATTAGGATTTCAACATATGCATTTTGGAAGGACACATTCAGTCCATCACACCTCCCAAAAAGATATACTAGAGTCCTAAACATCCCCCTTTAGTACCTCAGAATGTGACTTCATTTAGAGTTAGAATTTTTTTTTTTTTTTTTTTGAGACAAAGTCTTGCTCTGTCACCCAGGCTGGAGTGCAATGGCATGATCTTGGCTCCCTACAACCTCTGCCTCCCAGGTTCCAGCAATTCTCCTGCCTCAGCCTCCCCAGTAGCTAGGATTACAGGTGCACACCACCACACCCAGCTAATTTTTGTATTTTTAGTAGAGATGGGGTTTCACCATGTTGGCCAGGCTGGTCTAGAACTCCTGACCTCATGATCTGCCCACCTTGGCCTTCCAAAGTGCTGGAATTACAGGCATGAGTCACTGTGCCCAGCCTGGAGTTAGGATCTTTAGAGAGGTATTCAAGTTACAATGAGGTCATTAGGGTGGGTCTAAATCCAATATGAATGGTGTCCTTATTTTTTTATTTTTTATTTTTTATTATACTTTAAGTTTTAGGGTACATATGCACAATGTGCAGGTTAGTTACATATGTATACATGTGCCATATTGGTGTGCTGCACCCATTAACTCGTCATTTAACATTAGGTATATCTCCTAATGCTATCCTTCCCCCCTCCCCCCACCCCACAACAGGCCCCGGTGTGTGATGTTCCCCTTCCTGTGTCCATGTGTTCTCATTGTTCAATTCCCACCTATGAGTGAGAACATGCGTTGTTTGGTTGTTTGTCCTTGCGACAGTCTGCTGAGAATGATGGTTTCCAGCTTCATCCATGTCCCTACAAAGGACATGAACTCATCCGTTTTTATGGCTGCATAGTATTCCATGGTATATAAGTGCCACATTTTCTTAATCCAGTCTATCACTGATGGACATTTGGGCTGGTTCCAAGTCTTTGCTATTATGAATAGTGCTGCAATAAACATACGTGTGCGTGTGTCTTTATAACAGCATGATTTATAATCCTTTGGGTATATTCCCAGTAATGGGATGGCTTGGTCAAATGGTATTTCTAGTTCTAGATCCCTGAGGAATTGCCACACTGACTTCCACAATGGTTGAACTAGTTTAGAGTCTCACCAATGGTGTAAAAGTGTTCCTATTTCTCCACATCCTCTCCAGCACCTGTTGTTTCCTGACTTTTTAATGATTGCCATTCTAACTGGTGTGAGATGGTATCTCATTGTGGTTTTGATTTGCATTTCTCTGATGGCCAGTGATGATGAGCATTTTTTCATGTGTCTTTTGGCTGCATAAATGTCTTCTTTTGAGAAGTGTCTGTTCATATCCTTCACCCACTTTTTGATGGGGTTGTTTGTTTTTTTCTTGTAAATTTGTTTGAGTTCATTGTAGATTCTGGATATTAGCCCTTTGTCAGACAAGTAGATTGCAAAAATTTTCTCCCATTCTGTAGGTTGCCTGTTCACTCTGATGGTAGTTTCTTTTGCTATGCAGAAGCTCTTTAGTTTAATGAGATCCCATTTGTAAATTTTGGCTTTTGTTGCCATTGCTTTTGGTGTTTTAGACATGAAGCCCTTGCCCATGCCTATGTCCTGAATGGTATTGCCTAGGTTTTCTTCTAGGGTTTTTATGGTTTTAGGTCTAACATTTAAGTCTTTAATCCATCTTGAATTAATTTTTGTATAAGGTGTAAGGAAGGGATCCAGTTTCAGCTTTCTACATATGGCTAGCCAGTTTTCCCAGCACCATTTATTAAACAGGGAATCCTTTCCCCATTTCTTGTTTTTGTCAGGTTTGTCAAAGATCAGATGGTTGTAGATATGCAGCATTATTTCTGAGGGCTCTGTTCTTTTCCATTGGTCTATATCTCTGTTTTGGTACCAGTACCATGCTGTTTCGGTTACTGTAGCATTGTAGTATAGTTTGAAGTCAGGTAGCGTGATGCCTCCAGCTTTGTTCTTTTGGCTTAGGATTCACTTGGCAATGCGGGCTCTTTTTTGGTTCCATATGAACTTTAAAGTAGTTTTTTCCAATTCTGTGAAGAAAGTCCCTGGTAGCTTGATGGGGATGGCATTGAATCTATAAATTACCTTGGGCAGTATGGCCA
The DNA here is from genome assembly GCF_000001405.40 of Homo sapiens. NCBI lineage: Eukaryota > Metazoa > Chordata > Mammalia > Primates > Hominidae > Homo > Homo sapiens. The sequence continues at coordinate 117,222,162 of NC_000001.11, read as the reverse complement.
TTTTCACAATATTGATTCTTCCTACCCATGAGCATGGAATGTTCTTCCATTTGTTTGTATCCTCTTTTATTTCATTGAGCAGTGGTTTGTAGTTCTCCTTGAAGAGGTCCTTCACATCCCTTGTAAGTTGGATTCCTAGGTATTTTATTCTCTTTGAAGTAATTGTGAATGGGAGTTCACTCATGATTTGGCTCTCTGTTTGTCTGTTATTGATGTATAAGAATGCTTGTGATTTTTGCACATTGATTTTGTATCCTGAGACTTTGCTGAAGTTGCCTATCAGTTTTAGGAGATTTTGGGCTGAGATGATGGGGTTTTCTAGATATACAATCAGGTCATCTGCAAACAGGGACAATTTGACTTCCTCTTTTCCTAATTGAATACCCTTTATTTCCTTCTCCTGCCTGATTGCCCTGGCCAGAACTTCCAACACTATGTTGAATAGGAGTGGTGAGAGAGGGCACCCCTGTCTTGTGCCAGTTTTCAAAGGGAATGCTTCCAGTTTTTGCCAATTCAGTATGATATTGGCTGTGGGTTTGTCATAAATAGCTCTTATTATTTTGAGACACATCCCATCAATACCTAATTTATTGAGAGTTTTTAGCATGAAGCATTGTTGAATTTTGTCAAAGGCCTTTTCTGCATCTACTGAGATAATCATGTGGTTTTTGTCTTCGGTTCTGTTTATATGCTGGATTATGTTTATTGATTGCATATGTTGAACCAGCCTTGCATTCCAGGGATGAAGCCCATTTGATCATGGTGGGTAAGCTTTTTGATGTGCTGCTGGATTTGGTTTGCCAGTATTTTATTGAGGATTTTGCATCGATGTTCATCAGGGATATTGGTCTAAAATTCTCTTTTTTTGTTGTGTCTCTGCCAGGCTTTGGTATCAGAATGATACTGGCCTCATAAAATGATTTAGGGAGGATTCCCTCTTTTTCTATTGATTGGAGTAGTTTCAGAAGGAATGGTACCAGCTCCTCCTTGTACCTCTGGTAGAATTTGGCTGTGAATCCATCTGGTCCTGGACTTTTTTTGTTGGTAAGCTATTAATTATTGCCTCAATTTCAGAGCCTGTTATTGGTCTATTCAGAGATTCAACTTCTTCCTGGTTTAGTCTTGGGAGGGTATATGTGTCCAGGAATTTATCCATTTCTTCTAGATTTTCTAGTTTATTTGCATTAGAGGTGTTTATAGAAGTCTCTGATGGTAGTTTGTATTTCTGTGCGATCGGTGGTGATATCCCCTTTATCATTTTTTATTGTGTCTATTTGATTCTTCTGTCTTTTCTTCTTTATTAGTCTTGCTAGCGGTCTATCAATTTTGTTGATCTTTTCAAAAAACCAGCTCCTGGATTCATTGATTTTTTGAAGGGTTTTTTGTGTCTCTATTTCCTTCAGTTCTGCTCTGATCTTAGTTATTTCTTGCCTTCTGCTAGCTTTTGAATGTGTTTGCTCTTGCTTCTCTAGTACTTTTAATTGTGATGTTAGGGTGTCAATTTTAGATATTTCCTGCTTTCTCTTGTGGGCATTTAGTGCTATAAATTTCCCTCTACACACTGCTTTGAATGTGTCCCAGAGATTCTGGTATGTTGTGTCTTTGTTCTCGTTGGTTTCAAAGAACATATTTACTTCTGCCTTCTTTTCGTTATGTATCCAGTAGTCATTCAGGAGCAGGTTGTTCAGTTTCCATGTAGTTGAGTGGTTTTGAGTGAGTTTCTTAATGCTGAGTTCTAGTTTGATTGCACTGTAGTCTGAGAGACAGTTTGTTATAATTTCTGTTCTTTTACTTTTGCTGAGGAGTGCTTTACTTCCAACTATGTGGTCAATTTTGGAATAGGTGTGGTGTGGTGCTGAAAAGAATGTATATTCTGTTGATTTGGGGTGGAGAGTTCTGTAGATGTCTATTAGGTTGCTTTGGTGCAGAGCTGAGTTCAATTCCTGAATATCCTTGTTAACTTTCTGTCTCATTGATCTGTCTAAGGTTAACAGTGGGATGTTAAAGTCTCCCATTATTATTGTGTGGGAGACTAAGTCTCTTTGTAGGTCTCTAAGGACTTGCTTTATGAATCTGGGTGCTCCTGTATTGGGTGCATTTATATTTAGGATAGTTAGCTCTTCTTGTTGAATTTATCTCTTTACCATTATGTAATGGCCTTCTTTGTCTCTTTTGATCTTTGTTGGTTTAAAGTCTGTTTTATCAGAGACTAGGATTGCAACCTCTGCCTTTTTTTGTTTTCCATTTGCTTGGTAGATCTTCCTCCATCCCTTTATTTTGAGCCTATGTGTGTCTCTGCATGTGAGACGGGTTTCCTGAATACAGCACACTGATGGGTCTTGACTCTTTATCCAATTTGCCAATCTCTATCTTTTAATTGGAGCATTTAGCCCATTTACATTTAAGGTTAATATTGTTATGTGTGAATTTGATCCTGTCATTATGATGTTAGCTGGTTATTTTGCTCATTAGTTGATGCAGTTTCTTCCTAGCCTCGATGGTCTTTACAATTTGGCATGTTTTTGCAGTGGCTGGTACCAGTTGTTCCTTTCCATGTTTAGTGCTTCCTTCAGGAGCTCTTGTAGGGCAGGCCTGATGGTGACAAAATCTCTCAGCATTTACTTGTCTGTAAAGTATTTTATTTCTCCTTCACTTATGAAGCTTAGTTTGGCTGGATATGCAATTCTGGGCTGAAAATTCTTTTCTTTAAGAATGTTGAATATTGGCCCCCACTCTCTTCTGGCTTGTAGAGTTTCTGCTGAGAGATCAGCTGTTAGTCTGATGGGCTTCCCTTTGTGGGTAACCCGACCTTTCTCTCTGGCTGCCCTTAACATTTTGTCCTTCATTTCAACTTTGGTGAATCTGACAATTATGTGTCTTGGAGTTTCTCTTCTCGAGGAGTATCTTTGTGGCGTTCTCTGTATTTCCTGGATTTGAATGTTGGCCTGCCTTGCTAGATTGGAGAAGTTCTCCTGGATAATATCCTGCAGAGTGTTTTCCAACTTGGTTCCATTCTCCCCGTCAGTTTTAGGTACACCAATCAGATATAGATTTGGTCTTTTCACATAGTCCCATACTTCTTGGAGGCTTTGTTTGTTTCTTTTTATTCTTTTTTCTCTAAACTTCTCTTTTCATTTCATTTCATTCATTTGATCTTCCATCACTGATACCCTTTCTTCCAGTTGATTGAATCTGCTCCTGAGGCTTGTGCATTCATCATGTAATTCTCATGCCGTGGTTTTCAGCTCCTTCAGGTCCTTTAAGGACTTCTCTGCATTGGTTATTTTAGTTAGCTATTCATCTAATCTTTTTTCAAGGTTTTTAACTTCTTTGCCATGGGTTCGAACTTCCTCCTTTAGCTCGGAGTAGTTCGATCGTCTGAAGCCTTCTTCCCTCAACTCAACTCAAAGTCAACTCTCAACTCAAAGTCATTCTCCATCCAGCTTTGTTCTGTTGCTGGTGAGGAGCTGCATTCCTTTGGAGGAGGAGAGGTGCTCTGATTTTTAGAGTTTCCAGTTTTTCTGCTGTGATTTTCCCCATCTTTGTGGTTTTATCTACCTTTGGTCTTTGATGATGGTGACATACAGATGGGGTTTTGGTGTGGATGTCCTTTCTGTTTGTTAGTTTTCCTTCTAACAGTCAGGACCCTCAGCTGCAGGTCTGTTGGAGTTTTCTGAAGGTCTACTCCAGAACCCGTTTGCCTGGGTATCAGCAGCGGAGGCTGCAGAACAGCAGATATTGGTGAACAGCAAATGTTGCTGCCTGATCGTTCCTCTGGAAGTTTTGTTCCATAGGAGTACCCAGCCGTGTGAGGTGTCAGTCTGCCCCTACTGGGGCGTGCCTCCCAGTTAGGCTACTCAGGGGTCTGGGACCCACTTGAGGAGACAGTCTGTCCGTTCTCAGATCTCAAGCTGCGTGCTGGGAGAACCACTACTCTCTTCAAAGCTGTCAGACAGGGACATTTAAGTCTGCAGAGGTTTCTGCTGCCTTTTGTTTGGCTGTGCCCTGCCCCCAGAGGTGGAGTCTACAGAGGCAGGCAGGCCTCCTTGAGCTGCGGTGGGCTCCACCCAGTTCGAGCTTCCCAGCTGCTTTGTTTACCTACTTAAGCCTTGGCAATGGAGGGTGCCCCTCCCCCAGCCTTGCTGCTTCCTTGCAGTTTGATCTCAGACTGCTGTGCTAGCAATGAGCGAGGCTCCGTGGGCATAGGACCCTCCGAGCCAGGCACAGGATATAATCTCCTGGTGTGCCGTTTGCTAAGACCATTGGAAAAGCACAGTATTAGGATGGGAGTGACCCGATTTTCCAGGTGCCATCTGTCACCTCTTTCCTTGGCTAGGAAAGGGAATTCCCTGACCCCTTGTGCTTCCCGGGTGAGGAGATGCCTCGCCCTGCTTTGGCTCATGCTCAGTGCACTGCACCCACTGTCCTGCACCCACTGTCCAACAATCCCCAGTGCGATGAACCCGGTACCTCAGTTGGAAATGCAGAAATCACCCGTGTTCTGCGTCGCTCACACTGGCAGCTGTAGACTGGAGCTGTTCCTATTTGGCCATCTTGGCTCCACCCCAAATGGTGTCCTTATAAAAAGAAAAAGTTCGGACACAGAGGCAGATGCATAGAGGAAAGATGATATGAAGAGATATAAAGAGAAGATGGCCATCTACAAGCCAAAGAGAGAGGTGTGGAACAGATCCTTTCTCGCAGGCTCATGCCTGTAATCCAAGCACTTTGGGAGGCTGAGGCGGGCAGATCACTTGAGGCCAGGAGTTCAAGACAACCTGACCAAAACCTGTGAAATGTGGTGAAAACCAGTCTCTACTAAAAATATAAAAATTAGCTGGGCGTGGTCATGCACACCTGTAGTGCCAGCTACTCAGGAGACTGAGATGAGAGGATCACCTGATCCCAGAAGGTGGAGGTTGCAGTGAGCTGAGATCATGCCACTGCACTGCAGCCTGGGCAACAGAGTGAGACCCTGTCTCAAATAAATAAATCAGTGTGGGTTCTGCTGACCAGGGATTCCACTCAGGCCCCAGGACATTCTGACTTAGTGATAACAGTAGGGGTCACACAAATTTGTGAACTGGTAAATCAATAGGCAGGGCTGCTAGGAATCGATGCCTGAGGGCTTCTGGCTGAAGGATGAGGAAGGAGGAATGGAGAGGAAGCATAGCATCTGCCTTAGATACTGGTCCTCTGCCTGGCCAGTGACGAAGCAATCAGCCCTTCCCTTATATGGAGGCCCTAGTAACTAGTGGAAGAAAGTCAAGGTCTCAGACAAAGTGATAGCTCGTTAATATTTCACCAGATGTCAGCATCCCTTTCAATTAGCCGTTTGAAGTTTGCTATATTAAGACTACAAGGTCTGCTCTTCCCAGCTCTGCAAAATATTATAAGATCTCTTCTCCTTTAGCAGGATTCCAAATTCCTGCTAATGACAAGGTGTTTATCAGAATTGAGACTACCTTTGCAGAAATTATAACAGTGAGAAAATTATGGCAGTTGGGGAGATCTGATCTAGCCAACTCATTTCTGGCCTTTAGCCTTCAAGCTATACTTAATTATTACTGGGCTTGGGCCAAGCTAATTTTGGGAGACATTTAGTTTATAGTTTAAGTGAGAATAGCCCTTCCGCCAAACTTAACTGCCTTTGTAAAGCTAATGAGAGACCACCAGGCTAGGAGGATAGGGGAGCCTGAATTCTGCTAAGGTGTAGACATAAACAATTGCCAGCCATTACTCCAGAAGTCACAATGACACAGGATTTTTCTTGATCACTCTGCCAGTTGGAGAGCTCCTGCCAGCAATGCCCCTGCCCAGGCCTTGTTCAGGCCCAACCCTTTGATTGTCAGCATGACCTCATTTTTTTTGGACATGGGACTGGTGAAGGGCAGCTGCCCCATGCAACGGAAAGCAGTGGTGGTGCCAAGTTTGCCCCAGAGCTGCTGGCGAGAGTGGGGCAAGGAAATGACAGAGCTGTTAACATGCCACTGTCCACTAGGCAGCAGAAGCCGGGACTATAAGAGCTAATTAGCATGCTGTAACACCCCCTCTGGGGCTTTGGGGTCATGGACACCCCTGCCTAGGTGCCACTGCATTCCCCTTGTCTGGATGCCAGAGACCACCAGGGGAGTGGCTTGCAACATGCCTGGTCCAGTCGCAAGCACAGCACAGAGCCTGCTTCTGTGCCAGCACTTGGAACAACCGGCTAGGTCCACATTCACTCATGGGCGGGTGCTCTTCCTATCAGAGCCAGAATGTGCTGTGATTCCAAGGAAATGTAAGCCTTATACGCAGGAAAATATGCAGCTACACAATGAGAAAACAGAGCTCCAGGTGACTGGGCTATTTAAATAATTTTTTAAAAAAATTCATAGGCCGGGCGTGGTGGCTCACGCCTGTAATCCCAGCAGTTTGGGAGGCCGAGGCGGGCGGATCACGAGGTCAGGAGATCGAGACCATCCCGGCTAAAACGGTGAAACCCCGTCTCTACTAAAAATACAAAAAAATTAGCCGGGCGTAGTGGCGGGCGCCTGTAGTCCCAGCTACTTGGGAGGCTGAGGCAGGAGAATGGCGTGAACCCGGGAGGCGGAGCTTGCAGTGAGCCGAGATCCCGCCACTGCACTCCAGCCTGGGCGACAGAGTGAGACTCCGTCTCAAAAAAAAAAAAAAAAAAAAAAAAATTCATAAGACATTTTGGTTCCAGATACATTAAGTAATCTCTGTCTCTCTCTTTCCCCAAGATCAACAAGGAGAGAATAGATTTTGTGCTTATCTCCTACGTCTGCTTTACCTTTGTCCTAATCATAAATTGTTCCTCTATCTCAAATGCAACTTGTTCTCTGCTGCCTCTAATAGTGTCAATCCAGCTCAGAAGACATCTCCTCTGGAAAATGACTGATCACACCCCAAGTTGATCCCTGCTTACTCATCCATCAAATGTTACTGAGTGCTTTTTATGCCTGGCACGGTGCTAGGACCTGATAACAAAAAAAGATGAACGAGGCCTAGTTTTTACCCTCCAAGAGCTCACAGACTAGCAATGAGATAGATGCATAAATGGAAAATAGTACCATTACTGTGTGCTGTGAAAGAAAAATGTACATTTATCCAACAAACATCTAATGATTGCTTACTCTGTGCATGCCTTATGCTGGTGTGAAATACAAAAATGAATAAGACACCTTTCTATTTCTAAGGTGTGTCTAGTGAAGGAGACAGACAATTCAATGGTCCCAATTTAGGAGCATAGTAAGTAGCACCAGGTTCACATGGGATCCCGAAGCATGGCACCTGCCAGATGGTAGTTGTTGGGAAAGTTTCCCATAAATTTTATATAAAACAAGAAAAAGGCAGGGATGGATTCCAGGTAGAAAGAGCAACTTGTGTAAAGGCAGGATGGCTTGGGAGAGCACGCTGGCATTTTAGAGCAACCTGAAGCAGTGCAGTACGGCTGGTCCACAGAGGACCAAAAGGAGACATGAGGGAAAAATCTGGAGAGGTAGGCAGAGGCCAGACCACAGGCTCTGGAGAGGCATTGGTCATTTCAAGCAGGCAAGTGCCTCATCAGATTTGCATTTTAGAAAGATCATTCTAGTGGAAGTGGGTGGATCAGCACAAGTAGAGGCAGACTAGGAAAAGGACACTATTTAATAGTTTAATTCAAATTGGAAATGATGAGGGAGGAAATCTGGGCAATAGTATTGGGGATAGAGAGAAGGGATGGACTTAGGAGGCATAGAGGAGTTTTACGGGCTGAATTATGTCTCTCCTCAAAATTCATAAAGTCCTAACCCCCTGTATTTGGTGATAAGGCCTCCAAAGAAGTAATTAAGTTAAAATGAGGTCATCAGGATGGGCCCTAATCCAATATGACTGGTGTTCTTATAAGAAGAGGAGATTAGGGCTGGCACTATAATCCCAGCACTTTGGGGGGCCGAGGCGGGTGGATCACCTGAGGTCAGGAGTTCGAGACCAGCCTGGCCAACGTGGTGAAACCCTATCTCTACTAAAAATACAAAAAATTAGCTGGGCATGTTAGTGGGCACCTGTAATCCCAGCTACTTGGGAGGCTGAGGCAGGAGAATTGCTTGAACCTGGGAGGTGGAGGTTGCAGTGAGCCGAGATCGCGCCATTGCACTCCAGCCTGGGCGGCAAGAGTGAAACTCCGTCTCAAAAAAAAAGAAGAAGAGATCAGGACAAACACACACAGAGGGAAGGCCACGTGAAGACACAGGGAGAAGAAACCATCTACAAGCCAAGGAGAGAGGCCTCAGGAGAAACTAACTCCGCTGACACCTTGATCTCAGCCTTGCAGCCTCCAGAATTGTGAGAAAATACATTTCCATTGTTTCAACCACCAGTCTATGGTACTTTTTTATGGCAGCCTTAGTAGACTAACCCAAGGAGGAGGAATCAGGGATGTAGGGAGCCAGGCAGGCGGAATAAAGGGTGACTTTGAGGTTTCTGACTGTGGCAGCCTAGTGTGGGATGCTGTTGTGTTCCAAAAGATGTGACCTAGGGGGAGCAGCCGGGTTAGAGATGGGAGATGGTGCCTTCTAGACAGCCGATTGGAGATGTCCACTAAGCAGCTGGGTATGTGGGGTTGGGGCTTGGTCAAGGGAAGGGAGCTGAGGATGCAGATATTGTGATCTCCAGAGCAGTCGAAGCAGAGCAGTGGTCAAGGTTGCCCAGGGCACATGTGTGCTATGAGAAGAAAAGGCAGAGGACAGGACCACAGGGACCCCTATCACTTATGGGAGAGGCGAAGGAAAAGGGCCTGGGCACAAGACAGTGAGGGGCATTAGTGAGAGTCTCAGAGAACAGTGTCAGGGGAGCCAAGAGAGGCTTTCAAATGCTGGAGAGTTCAATGTTTCCAAGACTCTCTCTTTACACGTGCACGCGCGTGCACATGCGCACACACACACTTTTGGGCTGTTGCTTTGTAATGATTTCCCTCATTATTTTGTGTGTGATATTCTTCAAGTTTTGGAGTCAGAACCAGAGTACTGTCCATTTGCTTCTCCAGAGGCAGCAGAATGCTTTTCAGCTCCACATCCCTGCCAGGTAATGCCTGCCCTCTAACAGGTGGGCCACTTCAGCTACATTTTCCCTCTCACTCGGAGGTGTCTCTGCTGGGTTGTCTTGATTTTCCCTCCAGGGTCATCCTTAGCTGTCCCTTTAGTGATGATGCATGGCTAGAAGAGAGAAACTCCATGGCTCTGCCCCAGGGTGTTTGAGGTGGGGCTGCTTTTTTGTTTTTTTTTTAAGACAGCATCTTGCTTTGTTGCCCATCGTGGAGTATACTGGCACGATCATGGCTCACTGCAGCTTCAAGCCCCACTCAAGTGATCCTCCCACCCCAGCCTCCTGAGCAGCTGGGACTATATGCCCAGCTAATTTTTTGTTTGTTTTCCTGTTACTAGATGGATTCTTTTTTTTTTTTTTTAAATTTTGTAGAGACGAAGTCTCAGTATGCTGCTCAGGCTAGTTTCGAACTGCTAGGCTCAAGAATTCCTCCTACCAGCCAGGCGCAGTGGCTCATGCCTGTAATTCCAGTACTTGGGGAAGTCGAGGTGGGTGGATCACTTGAGGTTGGGAGTTCGAGACCAGCTTGGCCAATATGGAGAAACCCCGTCTCTACTAAAAATACAAAAATTAGCTGAGTGCGGTGGTGCACCTATAATCCCATCTACTTGGGATGCTGAGGCAGGAGAATCGCTTGAACCCAGGAGGCAGAGGTTACAGTTACAGAGCCAAGATTGTACCATTGCACTCCAGCCTGGACAACAGAGCGAGACTCAGTCTCAAAAAAAAAAAATTCCTCCTACCTTGGCCTCCCAAAATATTGGGATTATAAGCTTGAGCCACTGTGCCCAGCTGAAGCTGCTCTTCTTAAGGCTCATTGAGGGGTAGGGCAGAATCCCTGTGCCTTTGGTTGGAATTACAGAAACCACTGCTCCCACTGCCCTCAGCTTCCCCAGACCCGGGAAGTGACCATTCAGCACTGGCACTGCATAGATTCCAGGGCATCACCCTTTACTTATTCTGGGGAAGGGAAAGCACATAGACCCGCCTCTCATTTATCCCTCACTGCAACCCAGTGAGACACACATTGAAGTAAAGTGATGTTCTCAAAGCCACATGATTAATTAGGAACCCAGGAATTGAACCTAGCTGTTTGACTCTAAAGGTCTTTCCACTGTGACCTTGCCCTCTCCTGCTGCCTTATTTTCACCACTCAGTTCTCTCTGCTCCATCTTTACTCAATGGTTGCTCCACCTGCCCATACGCAAACACTAGGAGGATGCTGCTGAAGGCCTGGAGCACCTTCACTGCAAACATAGTCAGTCAGCAGCAGCAGTAAGCCAGGCAACCAGTCATGAAACTTTCCCATCCAAGGTACTTCTGGGGGCTGGAGGAAACAATAAGGAGAGAGAGAGAGAATAAGAGAGAGAGAGAGCAACGTTTAGGCTTTAACGAGAATCTTGCCTAGTTGGCAATCTGCTGGATGAAATGTCAGAGATTTTTGCTAACCCACTCACCTTTGACAGCAATAGCTTCTGAGTATTGGGATCTCCAGAGAGAGGGGCAGTTGAAGCAGAGCACATTCAGTGTCTTTTTGGAGTCTCAAAAAAATTGCAAGGTGGGAAGTGCTGGCCCTCTCCTGCTCCCACTGAAATGAAGCTGGAAGAGAATTGCACACCCAGCTGGGCATCTCAGGAGACCTAGGCAAGTTCAGTCTTGAGTGACAAACTCAGTGGTCTTGTCACTTCAGCTCATGGCCTTCCTGAGGTCCCCCAGCATGAGTCTCCTCCACGAGAGACCTGACCAATGGTGACCCAGCCTCTGTTTGAGCGTCATCTACCAGCAGAGATGGGGACTCCTGGCCCCAAGGCTCCCAGCATAGCCTGACACTTTGAGCTATTCCAGTCCTTTCTTATTTTGAGATTAAATCTCCCTCCCTACAGCTCCCTTCCACAGTCAGGAGGAAAGTCCTGCTGAATGCAGGCCCTGAAGCAAGGGCCAGGGAAGCTTTTCCTCGTCACCCTCCCAAAGTCAAGACTTGGAAAGGCAGCTCTGAGCCCCTGGCTTGGCTGGCTGGCCGGAGCAGGCAGCCACTGTGCCTGCAGGGAATTCTGCACAGCCAGTTTCCTCATACCTGAGCCGTCTACAGCTGCACGCACCACTCCCGGCCTCAACACACTATTTAAGGCCAATACACGGGAGCTGGTTGTGAGTCACCAAGGAAGGCAGCGGCAGCTCCACTCAGCCAGTACCCAGATACGCTGGGAACCTTCCCCAGCCATGGCTTCCCTGGGGCAGATCCTCTTCTGGAGGTAGTATATACTCTTCTCTCTATCCTTATGGGTGAAGGGAACAGCAGTGAGGTCTTTTGGGGATGCTGAGCACTGCTGGGCTGTCCCATAGGACCCCACCTGTAATTTTATCTGATCCAGCATTGGGCCAGCGGGAGCCTGGCCAGACAAGAGCCTAACTGGATTTGACTTAACATCCCACCTCAGCTGCTCAAGGCACCTGTTCAGGGTTAGGGAGGTTTTTGGTTGGTGGCCTGCCATGGAGGGCTGGCGCTTGCTGGGCAGCTTGGACTGAGGGGAGTACGTGCCAAGCTGGGCATTCCCCTGAGATGTCAAGGCTGTGAGCACCATGGGGACACTGAGCAGGCTGGTGTGGGTTGCATGGTGGGATGGCAGGGAATCCATGACTGCGACAGTGGAGGGGATGCAGGAGGACCCTTTATGCAGCCCCCAGGGGGACGGAGGAGAATGTGCTTTCATTCTCTGTGGGTGTGATTTCTTGCTACTCTTGAGCAATTCACACCAACACCCCTCCCCAGGCCCCCCCAGCTCAAAGGTTGGGTCCCTAGTTTTCCTAGGAGCTCCTTGGAGAGGAGAACTTGCTGCTGCTGCTGCTGCTGCTGCTGCTGCTGAACTCCCCAGAGAGGAAGAAGGAAGCAAGTTCCCTCCCCTACCTTTTGCTTCTCCCCTGAGCTACATTCTAGTTGCCTCTTTTTCCCTCAGAACAGCATTTACCCTCCTGGAAGGAAAGAGATGGAAAGTGCAGGGTTTTCTTGAAATGATTGATTCAGTGTCAGTCACAACTCAGGACAGTGTTTAGGGAGGCTGATACTTGTTGGTTCTAGAGGTTGTTTGAAGGACCAGTCCTCCAATTTGTTTCTTTTTCCCACAAAAGGAAGAAAAGAAGAGAGGGAAGGAGAGAGGAAAGGAATCCTCAGGTCAACAGTGAAAAGTTTGTGAAGAGACTACGAGAGTAATGTTACTTCCCAGAGGCAGCCTAGAAAGTTCTTTTCCTTGAAACAAAATATCAGCTCCCCTGACTCGACTCACGTTTATCTGAAATCACCTGCCGGGTAGCAGAGGTGAAGGACTCTGCAGGGCTGGTGGGGGTGGCTGCAGCGGCACTTCTGCCCCCACCCCTGTGCCTGGCTACAGCACTGTGCTCCAGGAGAAGCAGTGGGTGGCAGGGGCTTCCCTCTAGACCCTTCTGCCCTGAGAGGATGTCCCTAAGAAGCACCTATGTCAGAGGAGCTAGCATTTTGTGAGTGACTCCTTCCCTGCCCTGCACTAGGTGTCTTAGAGCAGCGTGTCCACCACTGCCTTGTGAAGACTCGTTATCACCTCAGAGAAGTTAAGGCCAGATGACTGTGAAACTGTGCATGAGGGGATCTTGCTCTGAAATCCCAAGCTCTCTCCCCCTGCCACCCTTGCCCCTGCTCCTGCCAGTCCCAGTTCTCCATGCCCACCATTCCTCCAGCCTTGATCCCAAGGACATGAAACACTCCTCCTGCAACAAGTGGCTCCATTGTTCAGAGGTCAGATGGGATGTGTGGGCTCTCTCGTAATGCTTTGCATCCAGTCTGACTGGTTTTGCTGGAGGATTAGCAGGAGGTGGGTGTTCAAAATTCGTATCCCCTACCCTTCAGAAACCCACTGGAATCAACAGAGACTCCTCTTGTTGGCTCCTGCATGCCTTGTTGGCTATTCATGCTCTGCAGTTTCAGAAGCAGCGACTGTCCATGAGGGTGGCAGATCCTTTGTGCAAGGGACCTCCAGGAAGAGGGCCAATGAGCAGCTTCAGTGGGGAGCAGGATCATGAAAGCTCATCTCAGGGATGCAGGTGGAGCCTGCCTGGGGTAACTCTTGACCCTAATAACCCTCTTCCTTTGTCATAATGGCCTTAATTCATAAAAATACCTCTCCTGGAGGTGATCATGACAGTGGTGATGTTGGAACGCTCATGAAAGGGCCTGCCATCCTCTGCAGACCCAGTGAGTTATTCTCCTAAGTATTCATAATTTCCAGAGAGCCTAATTCCTTCAGATCTCACTCTCAGCATGCATGCTGCTCAGGGATGGAATGCTGATGTGCAGATTTTACCGTGCCTGGCCTCTGTGCACATTTAGGAACTGTGTGACTAGAACCCTCCTCCCCTCTCCCCATCATGGCTGTTGACAGCAGCAGCATTCGCTCATGAAACATTTGCAGAATGCTTGCTAGGAGGACAGGGGTAGAAAACCCTTGCTCTGAGGGGGTTAAGTTCCAGTCAACAATATTAACTGAGCACTCACTGTGTCCTGAATATTGCACTAGACAATGGGGCAAAAGTGACTAAGATGCTGTCAAGGTCATAACCTAATGGAGGAGAAAGACTCCCACATAACAACTCTAACGCGCCACCCTTAAGTCCTCAGACAATAAGCACAGGTTGCAAGGGGAGCACTTCCCTCACCCAAGGCTTTTGGGGAGGGTTTCTGAGCCAGAGAATGGGTGGGCTGTGTCTTGAAAAATGAGTTCATATGACCCAGGTGAAGAAGGGTGGAAAAGGCTGTCTAGGTAGAGGAAACAGAATTAAATCAAATACAATAAAACTCATGAATGAGCATGGTGTGTTGGAAAGCTACACACTACTGTGTATTATCATCATAACATGAAGTTTGAGGCAGGAAATGCTGGGAGATGAGGCTGAGAGGTCACACCAGGTCACACTGGGCCTTCGATAGACTCAGAACTGGGATTTGTGGTGATGAGGAGCCCTTACAGGCACAGGCCATATTGGTGTCCAACTTTCAGCTTCCCTGAGCCTATAAAATCTGAGCCTTCAGAGCCTTCAGAGGGGGGTCAAGGTGGTTTTCGTCTCAGGTGGGCAGCAAGCCTGGAGGCCAGAAGAAGAGTTGGGAAACAGTTGTGGTCAGAGTATACAGGATGACAGGGACCTGGCATAGATGAGAGTGAGAGTAAAGAACTACAGGAGGAAAATGGATTCAGGAAACACTGGACTTAAAACTGGTGATATTTGATCAATGATTGGAGGGGCAGGTAGGATGCTGCAGAATAAGAGTAGGTGAGGCAAGGGGCAGATCCTGGAATGACTACCATGTTTCTGGATTGGGTGCAGTGAGTTGGGGACAAGGAAGAGAGAGGAGAGCTAGTTAATGTGTTGAGCTTGAGATTCCCCTGGGACCTTCAGATGGGGATGCTCCCTGGGCAGCAGAGGGCATGAGGCTAAAACTAGGAGAGGTCAGGCCTGGGGATAGACATCTAGTGTCAATAGCTCAAGGGCAAGGAATAGTCATAGGGGGTGGCTCCTACGGAGAGCATGTGGAGGGAGGGAAGCAAGGGGCCAGGACGGATGGCTGAAGAACACCAACATTCAAGGGTGGGCAGAGGAAGAGGGGGGTCAGGGAAAGAGCTGAGAATAAATGGCAAGACAGGTAGCAAGAGGCCAGGATAGAGATTAATGGATGTCAACAGAGCAGAGTTTCATGGAACACACAAGGCTAGTGATCCATAAACCTTTACCCTGTTTCATCTGAAATCACTAGTGACAATGGCATTGATAAAAACATGTCACAGGAAGGAAGCTACTGAGTAGAGAAGGAGCAGGGATCTTTCTACCATAGGAAGGTGGATGAAGTAGAGAATGAGGGATCCTGGGACAAGGAGGCTCAGGGAGTTTGCTTTGGAATTTTGGTTTCCCATTTCTCCTAAGTTTGCAAGCTGGTGCCTGGCTCAGACATCTCAGACCTTGAAGGTCAGAGAAAACAGTGCCTCGCAACACCATGGAAGCTTGTCTGGTAAGAAAATCTTGCTTGAGCCTGGGCTGAGGAGATCTCAGCACAGGCCGTATTTGTGTCCAACTTTCAGCTTCCCTGAGCCTATAAAATCTGAGCCTTCAGAACCTTCTGAGTCCATCCCGTGAACAGGACAGGAATCTGCAAAATGAGATAAATTGTACATTGGAAGAAAGACTTAAATAGGTGGCACCTGTGTTCCTGCTCCTATTGAGGGTAGATGATTTTCTGAGTGTTATGCTTTTCCCCCATCTCCACCTGTTGCAATGCTAGTCATTTCTTTCAATATTCAGCTCAAATGCCACCTCCACTTTGAAGTCTTACAGGATCTTTCTAGTTGCCATCAATTGCCCATCTTATGTTCATAGTCAGCATCAACAGATATGAATATCTGTTCCTGTGCCTGTTTCCCTCACCAGGGTTCGCTCCTTGAGGGTTGGGACTCTGTCATGCACCTTGTTGTAGGGAGGCAATGTAGCACTATGGCTGTGCATCTGGATTCAACTCCTTGTGCCACCATGAACATTTACCCTCCAAGAGCTTCAATTGCCCTATCTATGAAATGGGGCAGATAATAGTACCTAACTCCTAGGGCTGTATGAATGATATGTAATAATTATGTTCCTGGCACATCCTAAGAACTCCATAAATGTTAGCTATTGCTATACTCATTACTTGCAACTCCCTCTACAATCCATGGTTCTTGGTTGGCTCTCCATAAAAATTTGTTAACTTCAATTTCACGACTCCACTGGCACTTCTGATCCTGAAACAGATGTTGCAGTGAGGGTATACTTTGGATTAATTGCCCCAGGGATCTCTTAAATTCAGTTAGCTCTAAAAGAACTCTGGAGAATACTCATAGAGTTCTCCAGATTCTTATTCTACAAAAAAAAAAAAAATGATAATAATAAAGTCCACCACACCTTTTGTTGTCGTGAATCTGAGACACAATCCTTCTCTAAACCTGAGGATGCTAGGATTTAGACTTATTAAATGTCTGACTCTTTTAATGCCAGTATAGAGCATTAAAAGTTGGTGGTGAAGAGCTTCAGGGTGGGTGAGATGCATCTGGGAGGTCCTAGTGTGTACAAGCTCAGCGTCTAGATCTCTGATGAGGCACTGCTGACACCAAGAACAACAACCTCAGGGGCCAATTGGAGCGATGCGACTATGACCAAGCACGTGGTAATGCTTAACTAGCTAAACTGTCTCATAGTCCTAATCATCTCCATTTCACAGATGCAAATGTTGAGGCAAGTTACCTTGCTCAATATCTCCTAGGCAGCCAATGGCAGGAACCAACATGTTACTACCTAGTCCTCTATACCTACTTTTATTGAAAAATTACCTTTCTAATCAGCTGTGCTTATTCTCTTGCTAGTTAAGCAGAACCCTTCATCACTGGCAAAAACACACCTCCTCAGTGACTGTCATGGCAGAAGAATTCTTAGCTGGCCACGGGAAGAGCTGCTCCCAGAATTAGCTGCAGCCTGTGGATTGTTGGTCTGTGTTGCTTCAGGCAGCTGCTCTAGATGAATGAGTGCAGGAGTAAGGAGTTACTGAAACTCAGTAAGAATTATATGCTGGCCAGGCATGGTGGCTCACACCTGTAATCTCAGCACTTTGGAAGGCTGAGGCAGGCGGATCACTTGAGTCCAGGAGTTCAGGAGTTTGAGACAAGCCTGGGTAACATGGTGAAACCCCATCTCTACAAAAAATACAAAAATCAACAAGGTGTGGTGGTACATGCCTGTAGTCCCAGCTACTCGGGACTGAGGTGGGAGAATTGCTTGAGCCTGTGAGGTTAAGGTTGCAGTGAGCCATCATTGGTGTTACTGCACTCCAGCCTGGGTAATAGAGCGAGACCCCCCTCTCTCTCTCTCTCTCTCTATATATATATATAAAAATATATATATGACATGTATATATACATATACATATACATACATATACATACATACATATACATGTACATATACATATATACATATATATACATATACAGGACACGTATATATATACGTGTATATATACGCATATATATATGCTTTCAGAGCTTAAAAGTTCAGAAAGTCAGTACACCTCATTTTATCAATGGGATAATCAGAATAAAGTAGGCAGCTTGTCCAAGGGCCATACATTAAAAATGGTAGAACAGGGTTTTTTCTTTTTTCTTTTTTGTGAGACAGAGTCTCGCTCTGTTGCCCAGGCTGGAGTACAGTGGTGTGATCTCGGCTCACTGCAACTTTCACCTCCCATGTTCAAGTGATTCTCCTGCCTCAGCCTCCTGAGTAGCTGGGACTACAGGTGCATGCCACCACACCCAGCTAATTTTTTGTATTTTTAGTAGAGACGAGGTTTCACCGTGTTAGCCAGGATGGTCTCCATCTCCTGACCTCATGATCCACCCACCTCGGCCTCCCAAAGTGCTGGGATTACAGGCGTGAGCCACCGCAACTGGCCAAAACAGGGTTTTTTCAAGATCCTATATTGCCCAGGGACCCTAGCTAAGAACTATGTTGGACCCTAGCAGACCACATTTTACCCAAGCAGCAAGAATCCACAAATCTGAGAGACCAAGACTTCATACATACTTACTTTTGCCATATGAAAGTGTGGAAATAATGTGGAAACTGGAGTTAGTCTGATCTGTGGATGTATTCCAGCTCTCCACTTCCTAGCTGGGTGACCTCAAGGAAGTTACTTAATCTCTCTGTGTCTTCATTACCTTATCAGTAAATTGGGCATTAATAATAGTAGCACCTAGGTCACAGGGCTGTTATAAAGACTAAGTGAGTTAATAAAGTAAAGAGCTCAGAGCAGCGTCTTGTATATAGTTAGCACTTTATGTGTTAATTAGTCTCAAATTATTCCCTCCGATGTTTTTGCAGAAAAACAGAGACTTGCAGGGAGGGAGAGGAATGACAAGTCCAACAATAGCAGCTGGACTTAAGGACATTTTGTGTCTGGAATCTTTTGGGATTTCAATGGACTCAGACATCGTCTTTCTAGTCCTTGTTCTGTGAGGTGCGGGAAATCCTCTGCCACCTGAAGTGGTGAACTAGATGAACCCTAAGGCCTTCCCCATCCAAACTCGATGTTCAAAGTATGGTCTTCCAACCAGCAGCATCCACATCACCTGGGAACTATTAGAGATGCAAATTTTCATTCCCCCCATCCTGCAAAGAATCAGAAATTCTGGGGGCAGGGCCTGGTAATCTGTGGCGTAACAAGACCTCCAGGTGATTCTCTGTATTAGCAGCCGCTCTGTGCTCCCTGATTCCTCCAGAAAAGCACAAGGATTTAATCCAGATAGATATAAATTTCACCTGGGATCATTTATCATTCCACATTCTTCTTTAAGAAATGTGCTAAAGAGCCACAGATGGGTCTTGATGAAAACAAAGGAAAAGCCATGAAGTTTCTACAGGTAAGAAACCCAGGCTACATTTCTCTCTGTGTGCGCTTTTCACAATCCCAAACCATCTGCCTGCAATGCTTCTGATTTCCTATCACATCACTTCAGATGTGTTCCTGCTGCTGCCAGCACAGCGGTCATGGGAAAGAGGGCAGGCAGTTTTTCCTCTTTCTTTTTCTGCAATTTAAAATGAAAAATTTCATAGATAAAAACCATGAAAGATTTGAGAGACAGACAGTGCATCCATAAAATTTAGGAATTGTCTCTTGTAGCTCCCTGCCTCACCTCCTCATTGTGTTTTCTCAGCACCTCCACCCCCAGAATGGCCATTTCATACCTCTCTTCCCTCTTCAATCCTCTTACAACCCCCATCCCTTCTCCCCACCCCAGCCTCAGATGATTATCTTGCTCTACCCTTCACTGAGAAAAGAGAAACCAGCAGACAGGTACTCCTTCATCTTTTCACATCCAAAACTACCCGCTACCCTCACTGGGTGCCCTTTTTCTTTGCCTCCCCTCCTGGTACCAGAGGATTTGCTGAGCTCCTATCAAAGGTCAGCCCCTCTGTGCTCTGGATCCATCTCATCTCCCAGCTCGCAAACACCTCCTCCAGCAGACATCATCAATCTCTCCTCTGCACCTCTATTATCCCCATCAGCATGCAACCCGTGTATCAGGATTTTCTGTCTTAAAAGAAAACTCTCTCTCAGCCCCACAACCTCTCCAGCTACCCACCCCATCTCTCTTTTTTTCCTTTTCAGCACTTGTCGCTAGTGTTGTCTGGAGTGAGTGTTCATCCTGGTTTCGTGGCATTGTGAAAGGAGAGTGAGGTAGAGGTTTCAAGCACAGGCTGGAGCCAGGTTGTCTGGGTCCATCCAACTCTGCCACTTTCTAACTGTGAGACTTTGGGCCATCTAGTTATCCTCTCTGTGCCTGGATTCCTCATCTGTAAAATGGGGATAATATTAGAATCTACATCATAAGATTGTTATAAGAATTACATGAGCTAAGACATAAAGCGCTTAGCAGCATATTCTTATTTCCTTTTCAACTTACTCTAGATGGATTTTGTCCCCACTATACCAAGATACTGTTCCGGTCAGTGCCTCTAATCACCTCCACATTGCTGAGTCTAATGTTTACACCTCTGTTCTTATCTTGTCTTCACTTCAGCATTCAACACAGATGTCCTCACCACCTCCCTGAAGCTCTTTCTTCTCTTGGTTTCCATGACACTACACTCCCCTGATTTGCTGCTCTCCCCCTCACTCCTGACATCAAGCTGGTCTCTCAGCCTCCGTTTCTCTATACCCGGTTGCTGGTGGCAGCTTTTCTCCTCTGCTGCCCCAACTCGAAGCCACCAAGCTCTGTAGTCAGGTACAAGGACATAACCCTTTCATCCATTTCCTATATTTGATGATTGACCCTACTTTTGCCAAAATACCTAAGTGTTCAGGAACAGAATATAACAGTATGAGAACAATTATCCTTTAAAGTGGTGGGCAGAAGCTTCTTAAAGTCTTACGAGGCATGATAGGGTAAGTCATGTAATAGCAGGTACTGTGTGGGAGGGAATTTCTTTTCACATCCAGAGGAGCCCCAGGCATAAGCCCTTAAAGCTTGAGATAAGGTTTCCAGACAGGTCCTGGTGGAAAGCCCTGAGGCAGGAGAGAGTTAGATGAGGGAGGCAAGAAGCTGAGATTTGATTTCACTTCTGCTCATCCAAGGAAACTGCCTTCTAGCCTCTTCCTTCTTTCTTCCATTTGTTAAAGAGAGACCAAATATTAATGATTCTCTGCAGCCAAGAGAGAAGCAGCCAGATTTGATGGGAAAGTCATGGTGTCATTTTATTGGCCTTAGGCCAGGGGATCTTTGTCTAATGACCATAATGTAGGGTCATAGCAATTTAGCAAAACAAGCCAAGTTTTTAAGCTCCCCCTCACCCCATCCCACAGTGGTCACCTTCACCTTGGGGCCAGCTCTGTGGGTGCTTCCCCATAAAGGGGCTATATCTCTTGGGTACTTACTCATGCCAGGTCCTCCAGAAGGACAGTATGCAAGGAATATTAGGGGCAGGCTTGCAAATTGCTGCTGGCTCAGAACCTAGGAACAAGGCTGCATTTGGGAGTGGGATGCATGCAGGGAAAGGGGGAGATCAGGATTCCAGAATTTCCCCTACACAGAGGGATTCCCCCACAGAGCCCTGGAGAGAAAGCCATAATCCCGAGTTACTGTGCCTTTCTGGTCGGCAGCTCTGTGATTCTGCTGCACTGGGACTCCCTCCCGCAGGCCAGGCTTTGTCTAAAGGCCTGGACAGAGGAATTCTCTTGGGCTATGACAGTCTCATTCTCCATCAAGAGGCTGCTGAGGGGCTTTTGGGACAGTGACCTAAGCAAGCCCAGGAAGACATTTTCCCGTGGACACAGCTTTATAAGTTGGACCTTATTCCCTAAGTTAACCCTCAAGAGTATATTCTATATTGTAGTTGTGCATTTATGATAGGATTATTTTTCTACTATTTTCCTTTCCCATTATAAATGTATAGAATTGTCTGGGCAGGGTGGTTTATACTTATAATCCAAACACTTTGGGAGGCCAAGGGGGGCAGATCACTTCAGTCCAGGAATTCGAGACCAGATTAGGCAACATGCAGAAACCTTGTCTCTACCTGCTGCACCCCACCAAACAAAAAACAAACCAAAAAAATTAGCCTGGCGTAGTAGCTGGGATTACGCCTATAGTCCCAGCTACTCAGGAGGCTGACATGGGAGGTTGGAGGTTGCACTGAGCTGAGATCACACCACTGCACTCCAGCCTGGGTGACAAAGTGAGATCCTGCCTCAAAATAAATAGATGTGCAGAACATCTAAAACACTGGAATCCAACAGACATCTAGGGCCTTGCTGGAAAAGCTAACCATCATTTGTAAATAGTGTTGCTGTAAGATCCTGTACAGAACTTCAAATAACCAACTTAAACACAAACTTTGGAAAAGAGCCACTGGGTGGTGGGAATACCTGAAGATTTGGGGATCTATGTAGGCGGGCTACATCTGGGTAAGGAGGCAAAGAAGATATTCAAAGGGTAATGTTTACCTGTCCCTTAGGTCTTGGAGTCCACCTAGCTCAATGAGGAGGTCAGAGGAACTTAATACTGAAGTCCTGGCTGGAGGTCATCTTATCCTTGACACTACTCTGCAATCTTGGAAAGAATGGGGAGGGGGTGCACTGGGATTTTTCTCAGAATTCTGTTTTCCAGGCTGGAAGGCAGCAGTGAGATCATGGCTCATTGTAGCCTTGACCTCCCAGGCTCCAGTAACCTCCCAACTCAGCCTCCCAGGTAGCTGGGATTACAGGTACTCACCACCATGCCTAGCCACTTTATTTATTATAGAGACAGAGTCTCCCTATGTTGTCCAGGTTGGTCTCAAAAACTCCTGGGCTCAAGCAATCCTCCCACTTCAGCCTCCCAAATTACTGGAATTACAGGCATAAGCCACTGTGACTGGCCCATAGTTCTATCCTTATAAATGACTCTTTTCTTTTTTGTTTTTGCCCTTTTAAAGCCCAACTGTGAATAGTTTTTTACATAGTTATTAATACAATGTGTGTGCTTTTATGCTCTGCTTTTTCCATGAAAACTTTTTGCATTAAAACAAAATTTTAAAGCAATTTTACAGTTAAAAGAATCCCTGCAGGCTGGGCGTGGTGGCTCAAACCTGTAATCCTAGGACTTTGGGAGGCCGAGGTGGGCGGATCACAAGGTCAAGAGATGGAGACCATCTTGGCCAACATGGTGAAACCCCATCTCTACTAAAAATACAAAAATTAGCCAGGCGTGGTGGCACATGCCTGTAGTCCCAGCTACTGGGGAGGCTGAGGCAGGAGAATCGCTTGAACCCAGAAGGCAGAGGTTGCAGTGAGCCACGACTGCACCACTGTACTTCAGCCTGAGCAACAGAGCAAGACTCCATCTCAAAAAAAAAAAAAAAAAAAATTCCTTGTGGCCGGGCACAGTGGCCCACGCCTGTAATCCCAGCACTTTGGGAGGCTGAGGTGGGTGGATCGCTTGAGGTCAGGAGTTCGAGACCAGTCTGGCCAACATGGCGAAACCCCATCTCTACTAAAAATATAAAAATTTGCTGGACGTGGTGGTGGGCATCTGCAATCCCAGCTACTCGGGAGGCTGAGGCAGGAGAATTGCTTGAGCCTGTGAGGCAGAGTTTGCAGTGAGCAGAGATCGCGCCATTGCACTCCAACCTGGGAGACAGAGTGAGACTCAGTCTCAAAAAGAAAGAAAAAGAAAAATGGTAATTTCAAAGGATTTGACCTAATATATATTCTTCTAGGACATTCATTATCCATATTAGCATATTAAAGGATTTCAAAAATCCTATAGACTTAAGTCTGTTTAATTGTGATTCACCCAACATTATGAAAATGTAATCCCTTTAAAAATAATACTTGTTAATGTACATTAGGACACCTTCAAGAAACTAGGCACTGGGGTAATTACAAAAGAATAGAAGCCACGAGGAGACAAAACTATGTGAATGTGGGAGCCCAGGAGCAGCATCTAGGGCCTTCTCCCACCTTCCAAACTGGATGCAGATGCTGGCTGAGCAGATGCCCAGGAACCAAAGGGCAGGCTGGTATTTTTACTTTCCAGGAATGCCCTCCCATATTTGATATCCAAAGTCATATTTTTCAGGTCTTCCCCTTCTACAGCAGTGCTTTCTTGACTAACCTTGCCCCACATTGGCTTTTTTTGTAACTGACCTATGCTCTTGCCTCTCTCATAAAAGTATAGGGAGGATTCATGAGGTGATATGAATGGATCACCCCGTATTTCTCAAATGACAGGTATTAAATAAACGTGGGTATTGTTTTGACTGCCGTCTCATTGTTATAATTTTAATTACTTTATCTTTCAGGGTATTATTCTCATCTTAGTTTATAGGTGTTCCTTTCATTTGCTGACAACTACCAGGTGGGTGGTGCTGATGTGGATGCAGGAGGCGATGCAGCCCTGGGTTGCTTATGCCTCTACAGAGAATGTGGATGCTGAAGGCACACGTAGCCAGAATTTGAATTAATTTTTCTGCAGCCACTGGAGCCAAATGTCTAAGACAGGGAATGGAAATGTTGGATGGGGGTAGAATCAGAGTACAGTGAAACAATGGCCGGCCAGGACTAAATCCCCAGTGCTTCTGCCTTTTTTTCTTGTTTTACTCCACTGTCCCACTATCTGGAATCCTTCCCATGAGAGATCCTTTAACAGGCTTGTCTGTCATTCACATATAACACACAAGCCTTTAATAGGGCTGTCTGTCATTCACATGTTAGTATGACCAATTCTCTAGAGAGTGAGTAGGCATTTTGACATCACTGTGCAGATCTGATCTGGTTATCTAGCAGTTGTTAGATGTGAGTAGAAATAATCATGATACTTCAGGGAAGTGGAAGATGAGAGTTGAAAGGTAGGGTGGGGCTTCCCTATGATAGCACACGTTAATTTAATTAAAGTGGTTAACTGTAGCTGAGTAAGGTTGAAGTGACATTAAATGGGGCCCCAACAGTTTTGTGTCCCTGCAGTAGAAGGCAGTGCCCAGAGTGAGTGTACCTACAGGAGAAATTCTTGGACTTTCAGGGGCATTGGTACAAACACCCAGTTACCAGCAGGCATACAAACAAGCCTTTTGCTTTCTCATGATGGAAATGGAAGTACAGCCCTTGACTTAGACTCACTGAAGAAGCAAACGCTGGCAAACCTTGAACAAGCCATGCCATCTTTCAGATCCTTACCTCTCATTTTGTTACCAGTGGAGGGTATAAATATGTTACTGGTGGAGGGTGGCCAGGTTCTCGGAGTCTTGAACAAAGAATTGAAGAAAATGCACAAAGCAAGGAAAGAATGAAGCAACAAAAGCAGAGATGTATTGAAAATGAAATAATGCTCCACAGGGTGGGAGCAGGCCAAGCAAAGGGGCGCAAGAGCCCTGTTACAGAGTTTTCAGGGGCTTAAATACCCTCTAGAGGTTTCCATTGGTTACTTGGTGTACGCCCTATGTAAATGAAGAGGATGAAGTAAAGGTTCAAAGTCGTTTACTCAGTATACTCCCTAAGTAAATGGAGAGAATATTTACTATTATAGCTGAAGTGTTTCCATTTGACTTAGTTCTAGGAAGTCAGCATGAATGGGCCCTATGTTCCCTGTCTCCAGACCCTATTCTCCTGCCTCAAATTTGTCCTCTGTAAAAGTCAAAAATATCCTAATAATATATCCTGAGTTCTCTGAGAGCAATGAGAAGGGGGAGGGGTGTGAACATTGCTACTTCTCTTTAGGTGCATGATAAATCTGTTTTCTCATATTTCTACATTGATATTTTCTAGTAGACAAATTACTGGGTCAATGAAATGCTTGACTTTTATGGGCTTAGCGAATAAGTACTTACAGTTTCACTAATACTGACCCCAACATATTGTACTTATCTTAATAAACATGTTGTCTAAAAGTAAACGATGATTTTCTGAGGCAGAAAAATAGGTGAACTGCAAGAGAATCTTTTTAATATGGGTAGAGGCTCCTGCTAGCTTCACAATTTTCTACCCTTAAGGCAAATAAAGTTGTAAAGAAGTGAGCTGCAAGATGGTGGCTTTCATTAGCATTCCCCAAAGGTGTCAAACTGTGAAGGAAGTATTCTGTTTATCCGAAAATTCTAGGGGCTCCAGGTGCTGCTGGCTTGAGCTCTCTGGAACTGAGGCTGCTGTCTAATCATTGCCTGGGGTAGTTTGTGAGCCATGTATTGACTTATGAAGAACATGCTTGCTCACTTAAATGAAGAAAAACAAGTTATCTATAATTTATAGCATATATTCACTTGGGTACTAGCTCTTTCTATGAGAGCTCTTCTGAAAATGCAAACCACTAACCCAGGAAAGTATTTAAGTTACCAGCTTTATGGGAGCATTAAATGGAGAGATGCCTGTTTGCCCAACATCTAAAAGAGTTAGACTGTACTCTTAAAAAAAAAAAGGCAGAGTTTTCTTTTTTAACATATGTTTTCCTTGTTTGTTTTATAAGAATAATATTGGATTAGTGTGGAAAATTTGGAAAATACAAAAAAGCACAAAGGAAAAAAATATCTATCGGTCCTAACCTAGAGATAACCACTATTTATATGTCCTTCCAGTCTTTTTTTTCCGTCTCTCTCTCTCTCTCTCTCTATATATATATATATGTATTTAATACATAGTAAAATACTGTACATATTATTTTGGAAATGACTTTCTACTTATTGGTCTTATAAGTATTTCTCAAATAAATCTTCTTCTATAATATGATTTTTTAACAAATGCATAGTATTGCCGCTAATGATGAACCTTAATTCACTCACTAAGTTCCCTATTGTTGGACATTTAATTGCCTTCAATTATTTGCCAAAATTATTACATTTATTTTATTTTATTATTATCATCAAGACACAGTCTCACTTTGTTGCCTCACCTGGAGTGCAGTGGTACTATCATAGCTCACTGCAGCCTCAACTTCCCAGGATCAAGTGATCCTCCCACTTCACCCTTCCAAGTAGCTGGGACTATGGGTGCATGCCAATATGCCTGACTAAATTTTTTAAATGTTTGTAGAGGCAAGGCCTTCCTATGTTGCCCAAATTGGTCTCAAACCCCTGGGCTCAGGCAATCCTCCCTACTCATCCTCCTAAAGTGCTAGGATTACAGGTGTGAGCCACCGCACCCAATCCTATTACATTAATTTTAGTCAACACTATAGATAACCTTGGAAATGTATCCTGTTGATTCTGTAGAATAAATTCCTAGAAGTAGAATTACTGGATCAAAGTTGGCTGTGCATATCATAAGCCTTCTGATATATGTGGCCAAATTTTTCCCCTCTCCCCACACTAAAGTTGGTACCAACTTATGCTCCTACCAACCATTTATATGCTTTAAAGTAATAACTTTCACTAAAGCCTTTTTCCAGAACCAGCACTAACCCTGCCAACATATTGAAAAAGAAAATGACAAAATTTTAATTTAACATTACCATCTTCTTCAATATTTGAGGTTTTCTTTCTCGTTTCTTAGCCTCCCTTCTCTTTTTTCCCCACAGCTTAATTGAGGTATAATTGACAAAAATTCTATATATTTAAGGCATACAATGTGATGATTTGATGTACATATACATTGTGAAACGATTACCACAATCAGGTCAGTTAACACATATACTTTACCTCAGTTATTTGTGTGTGTTTGCAGTGAAGACACTTAAGACCTGCTCTGTTAGCAAATTTCAAGTGTTCAATACAATATTATTATTATTATTATTATTATTATTATTATTATTATTTTGAGACGGAGTCTTGCTCTCTCTCCAGGCTGGAGTACAGTGGTGTGATCTCTGCTCACTGCAACCTCTGTCTCCCAGGTTGAAACAATTCTCCTGTCTCAGCCTCCCTAGTAGCTGGTACTACAGGCGCCCTCCATCATGCCTGGCTGATTTTTGTATTTTTACTAGAGATAGGGTTTCACTATATTAGGCTGGTCTCGAACTCCTGACCTCAGGTGATCCACCCACCTCGGCCTCCCAAAGTGCTGGGATTATAGGCATGAGCCACCGTGCCCGGCCTACAAAACAATATTATTAACTACAGGCCCCATGCTGTATATTAGATCCCCAGAACTTATTACTCTTATACCTGAAAATTTGTACCCTTTGACTAACACCTCTCCATTTTCCCTAACCCCTATCCCCTGGCAACCATCATTCATCTCTCTGCTTCAATGAGTGTAACTTTTTAAGATTCCATATGTAAATGAGATGATATAGTATTTGTCTTTTTGTGGCTGATATATTTCACTTAGCATAATGACCTCCAGGTTCCATCTGTGTTACCACAAATGGCAGGATTTCCTGCCTCTCATAGGCTGAATAATATTTCATTGTAAATATGGGACACAATTTCTTTGTCAACTCATGTATTGATAGACACAGTTTGTTTCCATATGATGGCTCTTGTGAATAATGCTGCAATGAACGTGGGGGTACAGATATGCCTTCTAGACATTGATTACATTTCCTTTGGATATATACCCAGTAGTGAGATTGACAGATCATATGGTAGTTCCATTTTTAATTTTTTGAAGAACCTTCATACTGTTTTCCACAATAACTATACCAATTTACATTCCCACCAATAGTATACAAATGTTCCTTTTTCTCTGCATCCGCACCAACATTTTTATCACTTGTCTTTTTGATAAGGGCCATCCTAACAGGTGTGAGGTGATATCTCACTGTGGTTTTGATTTATAGTTCCCTGATGATTAGTGATGTTGACCACCTTTTCATTTGCCCGTTAGCCATTTACGTATCTTCTTTGAAAAAAATGTGTATTCAAGTCTTTGCCCATTTTTAAAACTTGGGTTATTTGGTTTCTTGCTATTGAGTTATATGAGTTCCTTATATATTTTGACATTAACTCCTTATCAGATATATGGTTTGCAAATATTTTCTTCTATTCTTTAGGTTGCCTGTTCATTTTGTTGATTGTTTTCTTCGCTGTGCAGAAGATTTCTAGTTTGAAGTATTCCACTTATTTATTTTTGCTATTTGCTTGTGTTTTTGGTGTCATATCCAAAAAGTCATTGCCAAAACCAACATCAAAGGGAGCTTTTTTCCTATATTTTCTTCTGGTAGTTTGAGTTTTGAGTCTTATATTTAGTCTTCAATACATTTTGAGTTAATGTTTGTGTGTGGTGTAAGATAAAGATCCAATTTCTTTCTTTTGCATGTGGACTCTGGTTTTCCCAGTACCATTTATTGCTGCTGCTGTTGGATGGAATGTTCTATGTCTATTAGGTCCATTTTGTCTGTAGAATTATTGAGGCCTACCATTTCTTTATGGATTTTCTGTCTAAACGATCTGTCCATTATTGAAAGTAGGATATTAAAGTCCCCTACTATTTTGGTTTTGCTGTCTTTTCTCCCTTCAGTTCTGTTAATATTTGCTTTATATATTTAGATGCTCCAAGTTGGATGCATAGATATATTTACAATTGTTATACCCTTTTGATGAATTGACCCCTTTGTCATTATCTTTGTTACTATCTTTGTCTTCACAACAAATTTTGACTGAAAGTCTACTTTGTCTGATATAAGCATAGCCATTGCTCTTCTCTTTTGGTTACCATTTGCGTGGAATATCTTTCCATTTCTTCACTTTCATTCTGTGTCCTAAGGGTAAAATGAATTTCTTGTAGACAGCATATTGTAGGATCTTTTTAAAAAATCTGTTCAATCATTCTGTCTTTTGACTGAAAAATGTAATCCATTTACATTTAAAGTAGTTATTGATAGGTAAGTACAGTCATCCCTAAGTATCTGTGGGGAATTGGTTCCAGGAACCACTCCCCCACCCCAAAATGCCTGATAAAAAAATCCACAGATGCTCAAGTTCCTTATATAAAATGGTGTAGTATTTGCATATAATTTATGCACATCTCCCATATACTTTGAATCATCTCTAGATTACTTAAAATACCTAATACAATGTAAATGCTATGTAAATAGTTGTTATGCTGTATTGTTATTCTTATTTCCATTGTTATTGCTGTGTTGTTATTTTGTTTTCTTCCTAATATATTAATATTTGATACATAGTTGGTTGAATCCACAGATGTAGAACCCATGAATACTAATGGCTAACTGTACTTACTATTTCATTTTGTTAATTGTTTTCTAAGTGGTCTGAAGTTTCTTTCCTTCTGTCTTTCTGTCTTCCTTTGTGATTTGATTACTTTTTTGTAGTGTTATTCTTTGATTCATTTCTCTTTATCTTTTGTCTACTAGAATTTTTTTTGAGTTATCCTGAGGCTTACGTAAAATACCTATAACAGTCTATTTTAAGCTAACAACTTAACTTCAATTGCACATGAAACTCTACAATCTTACCCCCAACACACACATCTTATGATATTAATGTCACACTTTACATTTTTAATAGTGTATACCCATTAAGAAATTATAGCTATAGTTATATTTAATACTGTTGTCTTTTAACTTTTATACTACAGTTTAATGTGATTCCTGTACCACAGTTACAGAACTAGAGTATTCTCAATTTGACTGTATATTTACTTTTTCCAGTGAATTTTATACTTTTATATGCTTTCATATTGTTACTTAGCATCCTTTAATTTCAACTTGAGAAACCTTCTTTAGCATCTCTCATAAGGCAGGTCTAGTAGTAATGAAATCTCTCAGCTTTTGTTTGTGAATATCTTCATCTGTCCTTCATTTCTGAAGGACAGTTTTGTTAGGTTTAGTATTTTGGGTTGACAGTTGTTTTCTTCCAGCACTTTGAATATATCATCCCATTTCTTCCTGGCCTGTAAGACTTCTGCTGAAAAATCCACCAGTAGCTTCACAAAGTTTCCCTTATATGTGACAAGCCTGTTTTTTCCTGCTGCTTTCAAAATTCTGTCTTTGTCTTTGGATTTTATTTTATTATAATGTGTCTTGGAGTAATATTCTTTGGGGACGCTGCTTAAAATCTTTTGAGCTCTGTAAATTTGGATGTGTATATATATATATCTATATATCTCCTAAGAATTGGGAAATTTTCAACTACTACATTTCCCTCCCACCCCACAGGGTCTTGCTTGGTTGCCCAAGCTGGAGAACAGGAGTTCAGTGGCATGATCATAGCTCACTACAGCCTCAAACTCTGGGTTCAAGAGATCCTTCCACCTTAGCCTCTGAAGTAGCTAGGACTACAGGTGTTTTTCACCATGCCCAGCTTATTTTTTATTTTATTTATTTATTTATTGAGATGGAGTTTCACTCTTGTTGCCCAAGCTAAAGTGCAATGGCGTGTATCAGCTCACCACACCTTCTGCCACCTGGGTTCAAGCGATTCTCCTGCCTCAGCCTCCCGAGTAGCTGGGATTACAGGCATGTGCCACCATGCCCGGCTAATTTTGTACTTTTAGTAGAGACAGGGTTTCTCCATGTTGGTCAGGCTGGTCTCAAACTCCCGACCTCAGGTGATCTGCCCACCTTGGCCTCCCAAAGTGCTGGGATTACAGCAACCAGTCTGTTTTTTATTTTTTATAGAAATAGTGTCTGGCTATCTGGCTATGTTGCCCAGGCTGGTCTCAAACTCCTGGCTGCAGGCAATCCTCCCACCTTGGCCTCCGAAAGTGCTGAGATTACAGGCATAGGCCACCACGCCTGGCCTATTACATCTTTAAATAGTATGTTTTCCCCTTTCTCTCTTGCTTCTCCTTCTAAGACTCCCATAATGGATATATTTGATCACTTGATGGTGGCCCAAAAGTCTTCTGTGCTTTCTTTACTATTTTTCATTGTTTTTCTTTTTGTTCCTCTAAATGACTGATTGCAAATGACCTGTATTTAAGTTCATTGATTTTTTTTCTTGTATGATCAAGTCTGCTGTTGAAGCCCTCTATCAAATGTTTCTGTTCTGTGATTGCATTCTTCAGCTCCAAAATTTCTGTTTAGTTCTTCTTTATGGTTTTTGTTTCTTTATTAAACTCTTCTTTTTTATGTACTGTTTTTCTGATTTTTGTTTAATGGTCTGTCTGTGTTCTTTTGTGCATCTCATTGAGCTTCTTTAAGATGATTATTTTAAATTCTTGTCAGGCAATTAATAGACTTTCATATTTTGGGTTGGTTGCTGAAATTTTACTAGTTTCTTTGGTGGTGTCACGTTTGCCTGATCCTTCTTAATGTGCATAGACTTGCATTAGTGTTTATATATTGTAAGGACCAAACATCTGTTTTAGACTTTATAGATTGGTTTTGGCAGGTAAGGACATTTGCCTGTCAGTTCCCTGGAGTGATGGTATTGCCTCCAGGATTGTAGTTAAGCAAGGTTGGAGTGGGGTTACATAACTGCTCCTGAGTCTGCAGCAGGGTCCACTGTTGGTGGGCCCATTACCAGTGGCTTGGGCAGATATGGATCCTGTCTGGAGGAGTCCTAGATTTTGGTCAGTAGGGCTGATACTGAACCAAAGGTCTGCCTCAGGATCTGCAGTTGGGTCTGTGGACAGTGGGCTTGTTATCAGGTGTGTGTATGGCTATGGCTCCTGCCAAGTCTCTGTGGGAGGATACCTGCTGAGTTAGTAAGCAGGAAATACTGGCTCTGGTCTGTGGCTAAAAGGGGCTGAAACCAAGTCACAGAGTTCCTTCAGCATCCACAATTGAGACCAAGGTTTTCAGGCCTACCTCTGCAGACATGGATGGGCATGGCTCCTGCCAGGTTCTTGGGTGGTTAGGACTGCTGAGGCCACAGCCTGAAAAATGCTGAAGGTAGGTCATAGGGCTGCTTCACAATCCTCAGTTGGACTGAGATTGGCAAGTCTGTCTTCGTGGGCACAGACAGCTATGTCTCCCATCAAGTCCTGAGTGAACAGGACTGTTCCATAAGCACAGCAGAGAGGGACTAGCACTGGGTCATAGGCTGATCTGCAGTCCAAAGATGGGAACAAGATCAATGGGCCTGTTACCTGAGGCACTTGTGTGTGGTGTGTGACTCCTCCTGGGCTCCTTAGCCGATGGTTCTGGTGGCAGGACCAAGACCAAATGGGGTTGTAGCTGAATCCACAGAGGATGAAGCTATTTCTGGATCTGTAGCTTGTGGTGGGTGAGTCTGCCACCAAGGCATGAGCCTACCTTGGTCTTGGGCTTCACTGGGGTTTTGCAACCTCCTACGTGGATTCCAAGGCTCCCACAAAGGCACTGGTATCCACCAGTGGTTGCCAAATTAACATTGCTGTGGGGGAATAGGAGTGGGGGATCTCCTATCCCATTTTACTGATGTCCCTCTTCTTAGCTGCCTTCCTCTTAATTTACCACCCAACTCTACTTCCAGTAAGGTAACTAATACATTCATTTACCTAGCTATCGATAACTAATGAGTGAAATGTTATACTAAATATTTTAATCAGGAACAAAAACAAAGAAATAACTTCCTTGTTCTAAAGTTTCATTTTATTATCAAGCTAAAGATGAGAGTTATTTTGGGGTGAAGAAAGTCCACCTCTGCAGGGCTTCAGATCGGGTAAAGCAGGTCATCTGTTCCTCTTGTTCCTGATGCTGACTTTTGCCAAGTCTCCCTTTCGTGGAACGACAGGGAAAAACAGTTAAATACTCACAGACTTTTCTTTCTCTACCCAACTTCTCATGAAAATCTTGGCACCTTTTGCTAAATCTCCACATTCTCCAACTCACAATTACGAGTTCAATGGAGTAAATCATGCAGAGAAAACTGAAAAGGAAATGAGAGAAAGGGCAGAGGATAGTGGACCTGCAGGTGCGAGACAAGAAAATAGGCAGCAGGGTAGGCACAGAGGGAGAAGAGACGAGGAAGTGAACTTCAGAGAGAGTTTTGAGGAAATTCTAGGAAAGGGAAAGTTTGGGGGAACTGATAAGAAGGGTAGAAGTTGGTAATGAGGGTCTTTTTAAGAGGAAGTTTTGCTATGCGTTATCCATGTAATGCCTTTGATATTTTTCTAGATATTCATTGGTTTCACCTAAACTTTTCCGCCAGGCTGATATTTTGTTTACCGTGACACTGCCAAAACCTAGACCACAGACATCTGGACTTTATATGGGTTATAATAACATTGTATCTCTGGAGTTAGAAAACTATTTTTTACTTATATATAATAATTAAGAGCAGATTTCTAAATGTGTGTTTATATTTAGTTAATTGTAATTGTTCACATAAAACGACCTAAAATTATTCGCATAAAACCTACCCAAAAGTATAATTTAAGGAGTCATTACCCTGAAATAAAAATACGAACTGCTTTCAATGGCCTGAAGGATCTTGGGGGAAAAAATGGGCTGCCATGCAGCTGGGCTGTGTCATGGACATATTTTGGTATAGTAGTAGAATATGTCCCAAAATCAGATGAGCTCAGTTTAGCATTTATCAGATGCCTAGGATGAGTCAGGCATGATGTCTGACACTTAGAGAAATAAATGTGATTGGTGAATTGATTCAGCATGACCAGTAGTTATAATCAAAGGAATAATTTCTTTTTATATCTGACCTTTTAAAGTGCACATATAGAAATACATGATGAAACTTCTGAAGCCTCTGATGAAAACCTGGTTTCACCTTCAATTGCCTGATATTGCCTCAGTCCCTTATTCCCCAAAAGTCTACTTCACACATGACTCTCACTGCTCAGTTCCCTCTCCCGGTTATTCCTATTGGTGAGGACTCCACATAGTTCTAGGACATCTGCCCTGCTGGAAGGGTACACATTCCTTGCTTCATAAAAGAGTGGTGACTCTCGCAGCTCTCTGTGTTCCCTCTCTCTGTCTCTGTCTGTCCGTCTCTCTCCTTCTCTCTCTCGCTCTCTGATCTGTTCTAGATCATATTGAATTTCTCAAGTATGATTTAAATTCTAATCCATGGTGTTCCCCACCTTACCCCATCAAGAACACATTACAAGCTCTTCAAGTTAAGCTTTGTATTTGTGTGTTAGAGAGGGGGAGGAGGATGTTTACATAGCACAGAAGAAAAAAAAATCCCCGAAGAAATATCTTCCCAAATCTTTTCCTACCCTGGGCCCTTTTAATACCCTTCATCTGAGTGAGGCAGCTAAGCATTATGGAAATAATTGTCAAAGTGAGTGAAGTGGGTAAGAATTATGGAAATGATTGTCAAAGATCCCCCCTTTTTTTAGTTTTTTTCTTTTCTTTTTTTCATTTTATAATTTCTTTTATTTTTTATTTTTTGTTTTGTTCTTTAAAGATTCCCTTTTTAAACTCTGCATAGTGATGTGGCACCTCACTTTGGTATGCAGCATCTATTTTATCTTGGAACCTCAGTTGAAACTTTAAATGTAACATCCTGTTACACAAAAATGAAAAGATATGGTCCCTGTTCTTGAGAAACTTAGAGGAGACTAAAGGAGACACAAATGTGTGACCAGATAATTTCAATACAATGTAACACATTTGTGTTAGAGCAATGTATCTGGTATAATGAGGACACAGAGACAGTTTCTGATGCATATGGCTAGTAGTTTCCCTGAAAAATTATCTGGAGGGAAGCTATACACTAAAGAAGGAGGAGTCTGTGTATCTCACAAATGCACTGACAGGATCCTGTATGTCATTGGGGACTTCATGCTATTGCTTTGTCCCCTAGTTCCTCAAGTGCCTGAAGGAACAATAATGAAATTATAGGTTCTTGGTAATACTGTTAAATTGGTAAAGTGGGTAGGAAAAAGCTCCTTTTTTTTTTTTTTTTTTTTTTTTGAGACAAGGTCTTGCTCTGTTACCCAGGCTGGAGTGCAGTGGCATGATCTAGCTCACTGCAACCTCTGCCTCCTGGGCTCAAGCAATCCTCACACCTCAGCCTCCCGAGTAGCTGGGACTGCAGGTGCGCACCACCACACCTAACTAATTTTTGTATTTTTTGTAGAGGCAGGGTTTCACCTTGTTGCTGAGGCAGGGTTTCACCTTGTTGCCCAGGCTGGTCTTGAACTCCTGGACTCAAGCAATCCACCTGCCTTGGCCTCCTAAAGTGCTGGGATTACAGGCATGAGCCACTGCTCCCGGCCAAAAAGCTCCTTTTTTAAAGGTTTGTAAAAGGGCCCAGAAATCTTAGCAGCCACCTGTAAAAATAGTAATCCCCTCTGAATCTGCCCTAAGGAATTCAAGAACAGGGTCAATTCTGGGGCCTGAATAACACTGTTTAATTTGATTTATGGAGACCAGGTATGTTGCCCAGGCTGGTCTCGAACTCCTGGCCTCAAGCAATCCTCCCGCCCCAGCCTCTCAAGGTGCTGGGATTCCAGATGTGAGCAACCACTGGCCTGGATAATTCAGATGTGTCTTCCTACAGTGCCCATGGCTTCATGGACATCAGTGAATGTACAGAGAATATCTGGACTTGAAGTGGAGAGGGAAAATAAGGGGCCCCATCCATTATACCTACCCTCTCATTCCCTGCATTCTATCTCTT
This sequence comes from Homo sapiens, assembly GCF_000001405.40. Classification (NCBI taxonomy): domain Eukaryota; kingdom Metazoa; phylum Chordata; class Mammalia; order Primates; family Hominidae; genus Homo; species Homo sapiens. The sequence continues at coordinate 117,186,600 of NC_000001.11, read as the reverse complement.
ATCCAATTATTTCTTTTCCTTCACAATAACTAGTTCATTTCACTTTCCAAGCCCCAGTTCCAACATAAAACACAACATTATAAAATCACAAAATACTTAAAAAGCATAAGAATGAACTTGCTTCTCTAATACTGCTGAGGCAGGCATGGAGGAAGCTGTAACCAGTTAAGGGCCTTGCCTGGTTTATGCTTCTGAGCCCCAGCATCTTGAAGACGCTTCATTTGGCTGTCTAAGCAGGTACAATCCACTTTATACACTAAGAAAATGCCTCCTTGGGGGTCCAACCACACCATAGCTACATGACTCAGATTTAATACGATTGTTCTAATTTCAGCTATATTACTTATTGTCTCTCCAACCATTGACATATTCCAGAAATTCGAATAGCTATGAAGCCAAACTATGCCTTTCAGATCTCTCATGCCTGGAAATAGCTCTCATGACCATTGTTGAACTACATTTCCAGTTTCTGGAAAAGATGGTTCCTATAACTAGGGACCATATTTCAGAACAGTGAAGCAGAATTTCATGCAAGGAATGTGTGAAACTAAAAGTATCTGAGACAGGTCTTAATCAATTAAAAAAGTTTATTTTGCCAAAGTTAAGGATGTGCCCATGACACAGCCTCCAGAGGTCTTGACGGTATGTGCCCAAGGTGGTTAGGGTACAGCTTGCTTTGATACATTTTAGGAAGACATAAGACATCAATCAGTACATGTAAGCTTTACATTGGTTCAACCTGGAAAGGTGGGACAACTTGAAGTGGGGGTTGGGGGGCTTCAAGGTCACAGGTAGATTTAAAAATTTTCTGACTCGCAAATGGTTGAAAGAGTTACTATCAATAGAAAGGAATTTCTAGGTTATGATAAGAGCTTGTGGAGACCAAGATTTTATCACGCAGATGAAGCCTCCAAGTAGGCTTCAGAGAGAATACATTGTAAGTGTTTCTTATCGGATAAAGCCTGTGTTGATTGTAATGCTGGTGGGCTTTTCTTGAATTCTAAAAGAGAGGAGGATATAATGGGGCATGTCTGACCCCCTCTGCTTCCTATCACGGCCTGAACTACTTTTGCTGATTAACTTTGGAATGCCCTTGGCCAAGAGGAGGGGTCCATTCAGGTGGTTGGGGGGCTCAGAATTTTATTTTTGGTTTACAAATGCCACTTTGGCACTGATCAGGACATCCCCAGCCTAGGTATATTTTGATTCTGATGGCAGCCCATGGAAACTTTTTCTGGTGGAATGTGGTTGGCTTCCATGAAGTAGTAGAAAAATTGCCTAGATGGCAAAGGACCAAGACCCTAGTCATTCCTGCCTCTTTTCCCATAGGGCCCTGGTTTCTGCTGCCACAACTTGGTCTTTCCTGGGTTTCTCAGGAAGAAACCTGAGACTTGAAGTGACCACTTGGAACTGTTGTATTTGACTGAAATATGAGAAAATGTCTCTGCCCTTGGTTTGGGTAAGATATGCCTAAAAGATGGAAGAAACTAAGAAACATTATAAATATAAAACTAACGGTGCTAGTTATTTATCCTAACTTCTTAAGTCTAAGTCAAGATCTGACTTAGCTGTGGCAGCATTAGAGGTACCAGCATTTGTTCCTTTTCTTACCTCTGGGTTAGCAAGAAGCAAAGCTAATTAGTTTCTAGACTAAGGGAAAACTGGCTGGGCATTGCTTCCAGGCCTAGGAGGATTCTCAGTCCCTAACAGAATCTGCCTCTAAGTGTCTCTGGATGAAACATTCTTCTCCTAACTCTATCCTTCACCCCTTTGGCCTTGAAACACAACACGCTTGGTATCCACAGTCACCCTGGCTCTTGCTGTGGTCCTTAGCCTCTGAGTAGCAGGAAAGGGAGCCAACATCTTTAGTGCCTTTGCTCCATGCCAGGCACTATCCTCCCAACGCTACATACACACATCATGAAGAAGGGCACCAAGTGAAGAAAGGAGCTTCCTCCCTGGACTTTAAATATTCTTCCCTGAAGCTCAGAAATATGCTGTAAGTATTAAAAAGATGGTAGTACTGCCCACTGACACCCCTACCAGCCAGCATAGAATTCAAAGTATAAAGAACACTGAACTATAAAAATACACACAAGGTAAAAAAAATTGCTTAAAGTCACTTCTTTCTAGTTTTCCTGATTATAAATTTCTAGATAAGTTCATTGAAGCTTAACTTTTCCCTCTGGTCACTTTTTGTGTGTGTGTTGGTCAGGGATGGCAGAGACAGGTTGCCACTCCTGCTTGGCTAATGCTGGAAGGACAAGCTCAGTCAGCCTCGCAGATAGCCCAGTGCTGCCCAGACTTCAGGTGACTCTGGACTGGCCTAACAAATGCCTTCCATATCTTAAGGTTCTTGATAGCTTGGACTGCTGCACAGCAAAGCTGGGGCAGGGGGAGTACCAGAAGGCAACAACCTCACTTGGTCTTGGTGCTGGGTAAAGAAAAAAATATATATTCCCTGAAACTGTGTATATATAAGACAGTCATCATGCAGATTTGAGGCCTGAATTCATAACATCTCCATTTCCCAAAACCTCTGAAACCAAGATTTCATTTTAAAGGGCTCCTACTTGGCAGTGAGTCCCCAGCTTGAATGGCCCCTTAGCTTTGTCTCTGGTGTTTGGTATGGCTCTGAAGACAGAAGCTTTTGGTCCCTGGAATGCATAGCCATTGCGCCCAGCACTCTCTTACTGATCTGGACTCATGTGCTGGTTTCATTTTTAGCCTCTGCAAATCTCCCTCATTTTTCTTGCTGGCAAAAATGAAGTACCCAAAAATGTGTGTGTGGTTTTGTCTTTTATTTTTTTCTTTTTATTCAGCATTTCAAGTATTTTTATCAAGGATTTTTTTAAAGGCTATTTAGTATGCACTATTCTGGAAATTTAACTCTTCATTCCCTACAATGTCCTTTCTCTTTTAGAGAAACACTTCTATTTTGCCCCTTGTTTGTGGAGAGAAATGTCCAAGAGGACTCAAGTTTAACAAGTATTCAAGCACAGCTATTATGAATCTCTAGGTCCCCTTCTTAGCCACAGCCAACCAGGTCTTCCATGTACAACCCTCCAAGGCATTTTGTTACAATTTATAGCATCAGCAAGATTTCTGATACCACAATTTTTTAAAAGACTGTTTAAAGAGAAAGATAAATGATCATTTCTCCCATAAATGGTTTCTCAAAAGTTAAGAATGTGTTAGTTTCTCTCAGTAGCACAGCATGGATATTTATTTATTCATTAATTCAACATATTTTAAAGACTATGTGCTAGACGCTCCAAGGGAAGCAGTCTGTAAGGTGGGGCATTTATTCAACAAGCATTTGGTAAGTTCCTTGCATGTTCCAAGAACTTGAAAAATAATAGGAACGAAGGCATGGAGGCAAGAAGCAGCCTGGCGTAGTCAGGGACCCAGAGTGGTTTAGAATGGATGGAGTGTGGAGGTGACGGGAGATGGGAGAAAGTAGTCACAGGTTTATATAAAATCTTCTTGAGCTTATATTTTTATTCAAACTTTCAGGTTTAGTATGCTTTCTTCGCTTTCTATGCTTAAATCAATACTTTATATTTTAATCTTATTCTTTTTCTTTAAAAAATGGTATCAGAATGTATAGAAGGCTTAGAAAATAAAACAGACATCTTGTGATTCATAAGAGCTCCGTAGCCCATCTCCAGGTCAGTGTCAGGCCCTGGGCTTCAGTGGGTCAGAATGGCAACCAAAGGTGGGGTAGGTACAGGACACAGCACATAGCATCAGGTTGGGAGTCTCTACCAGGGGAATGTTGAAATCTATAGAAGAAAACTAAGACTGGTGCCCTGGAAGTCAGGCTGGACCAGAGAGAAAAGACCAAGTAACAGAATCTGAAATCACGAGGCAGGCCCTGTGTTGAAGGCAGCTCCAGGGAGTAAGAAAACTACAGATTCCAGGCTGGAAGGCCTGGGAAGCTTCCTTTGTGTCTGCTACAGATGGTCAGGACCACAGAAGGGTTCTACATAAGGTTGCCTCCACCCTAGGACAGGGAGTGTCTCCCTGCCTTGGGTTTCAGAATGCCCCTTGACATAGGCAGGCAAGGGTTGTTATGGTACCAGAGCAGCCGCAGGGGCTGCAGCCGGGAAATTGCTCAGGCAAGCCAGGCCCTCAAGGGGTGGGTCTGGCAGCCTGATTTTCATACCTAAATTCTCACAAGCTCTACATAGCTACACCTACAGAACTGGGGCCCAGTCTAAAATATGAGAATGTAGGTCCCAGCAGGCGAGGATTTGCATTGGAACTCCTGGTAGATCTTTTGGAAGACTGAACAATACATCCTCTACTTACTTCTAGGATACAGTGGTCTGCTTTTCACTGGGAGGACTTTCTGCCATTATAAAATAAAGATAGTGGATGACAGAAGACTTGGAGTGTACAAATATGACATTGTACATAGAGAAATCAGACTGCCTAAGACAGGTGTATGGGCTTTCGTAGAGAGAAGCTCTGAGGGCAATAGACGTACTTGTTTCCAGCTTTATTAATGAATAAACAGTGCACTGATCCCAGGGCTAGGCTTTCCGAGAAGCAGCCAGCCCAAGTGCTTCTCTGAATCTCTTCAGTGACAGGCACAGGTTTCCTGAAGGCAAGAAAAGGAATGAAATTCAAAACAGTCACGGTGGCTTTAGGGTGTTGCAAAGGTAATCTAGATTACAGCTCACTCTCCCTGTCAGGCCATCCATCTGCCTGAGGCCCAGATCACGGTGACTGATGACCAGGGTGACTGATGACCACGCTGACTGATGACCACACTGACTGATGACCTCGCTGAAATGCACGTCCCTCACAGGGAGCCTGCCCTGTTCTTCCTCTCAGCTCTTTTGGGGCCTAGTTCCCCCTCCCAGCTCCTGTCTCAAACCTTAGTGCCACTCAAGCACTTCCTCCTCTTGTCTTCACACATGTTCAGCCTCCTGAGGTTCACCTGCCTTCCCACTCCCTTAAATCCATTTAAAAAAGAGAAGGGAGGGCACGTTCTGGGCTGGCCCTCAGGAAGGAGCCTGAGGCAGGTCAGAGCTGAGCTAGGCTCTGGATGGGCCTGCTTCTCATTACCTGGGAAGAGGTGGAAGGGTGTTCTAAGCAGAGAGCAACTGGGCAGTGAACAGTCTGATGAGAATACAGGGATTCCTAAAGGGAGAAGGGTTAGAAAAATAGCTCGGTGCATTTAAAGGTGGTCTTAAATTCTAGGATCAGTTTCAACTTTCCTTTTTCTTTTCCATGACCACCAGTCAAGAACAGTTTGAACTTTCATAAGCAATCAGGAGTTACTTAAATTTGGGAATAGTGAAAAGTAAAAATAAGCATTTACTTTTTTTTTTTTTTTGTAAAGACAGGGTCTCACTATGTTGCCCAGGCTAGTTTCCAACTCCTGGCCTCGAGCAATTCTCCCACCTTGGCCTCCCAAAGTGTTAGGACTACAGGCATGAACCACCACTCCTAGCCAAGAATTAACATTTATAGTTTTAAAATAACAGCTAATATTTACATTTTGTAAGGAAGAGTTTGTTTCTTTGGACCCTCACGATAGCCCTGTGGAAAAAGTCGTGTTGAATCTGGAGGCAGGTATAGGATGAATTGCAGTGTTGCCCAACTGTTCATGTCTCCTGCTCCTGTGGAGCCCCCATTAGGAAATGCCGGGTTCTCTGTAGAGTGGATAAGGGGAGGAATAGCAGCAGCTTCTTTTTGTTGCATCCATTCCAGAAATGATCAGGCTGTCCCTGAGCAGTGCTCCTGCCCTTATCTATGGCTGGGCTGGAGGAGGAGAGGTGAGCAGAAGTGGAGAGAGGCGGGGAGAGCAAGGGGATGCCAAGATTATGGTGGGGAGGAGTTGGTGAATGGACAGCAGCCAGGACAACAGCCAACCATGAAAAGAAGTGTTCATTAGCAGCCAGATCCCACCCAGGTGCTGTGAGCACCCCTGCAATCTCTCTTAACCTCCACTTTGGAAGACAGACAATTAGGCTGTTTTTGTTCACATGGCAGAGACTGCTTATGGGATACTCAGCTTTTCTAACAGTACAGGCCCTTTGTGGGAGGGTCATGAAAGGTTTGGAGTGTGTTTGTTATTCAGTACAATGGGATCAGTTATGCTGCTGAAGGAATCTTGTGGAAATGTTTTTTTCTCTGCAGTGAGAATAAGGAGGAGCAGGAAACACAGGTATGATTACGAAAAGGACTGGTAATCAACCTTACATTGCCTTTTGTCTCGCTCTGCTTGTACCAGTGAAAAATAGTGTGCACAAGGATGATGAAGAAATGCTAATACATGCTTATGGCAATCAGGGTGATGCTATAAATAGGACAGGCTTAAGAATAATATAGAATGGCTTTGCTGCAAACTCAAATACGGTTTAAGGAAAGGTGTCTATTTGTTAACAGTGTGAAATTTTCCACCTGATACTCATGCCCCCTCCAGTTTTCCTTCCAGAGTCCCAAATGAAAGACACTTCCTGGGGGGGAGAGAAATTTTTTTCAATCTATGTAAGATTGTATGTGCTGTCCTTCCATCAGTTACAACTGTACAAACACAAGCCTAGCCACTGATTCGAATCCCAAGATTTACAAGTCTTTTGATTAATATAAAATATGGGATAATGGTTAAGACCAACGATGATGGCATCTGAGACCTGAGTCTAATCCTGCTCTCTTTAATTTCCCAGGACTGAGTCCTCAGGGGAATTACTTAACATTAGGCCTCAGCTTCCTCATCTATAAAACAAAGATAATAGTATCTATCTCCGTAGGTCGTCATAGGGATTAGATTAGATCGATGAGGCAGTGTACTCAGATAAATATTAGCTATCATTCTTATATGATTAACAAAGGTTTTAGGAGGCATGTGCAGACAAAGCCAAGGCCAGAGCAAATCCCAGGGAATATCAAATTACAGAATCATGTAACTAATTATTTGAAAGGGCCTTTCAAAATTGTTTGAAGCTTTATCTGGTACTAGAAACTTTTCCCACCCCCTGTGTGTTTACCCAGGCCCTGCTTGCACATGCATTTGCAGGCCAGTCTCCGCGAGCTCTGTTGGAAAGTTTCTCCAAAGTATTTTGAGTCTAAATCTAATCTCCTAGAACTTTCACTCAGTGCCTCTGTTTCTTCCTCCAGAGTGATGGAGAACAGGCCAAACACCACCTTTCAAATACTGAAATGATATCACTATATTTAGTCTTCTTCAAATTAAACCACCCTAGTTCCCTCAACTATTTTTCAAAAAACATGATTTCCAGTCATATCACCGCCCTGATTTCCCTTCTTCTAAATCAGTGGTTCTCAGCTGGGGTGACACGTCTGGAAACATTTTTGGTCGACACAGCAAGGGTAGTGTCAGTACTGGTATCTGGAAGTTACAGGCCAGGAATGCTGCTAAACATGCTACAGTGCACAGGATGACCCCCAATAACAAAGAATTATCTAGCACAAATAGTTCGTAGTACGGAGTTTGAGAAACCCTGTTCTAAGTATGCATGTTAATCAGTGTTCTTTTTAAAGTGTGGGCCAAAAATGTGCATGGATGAGTGTCAGCTAACATTGCTATTGTACCGCCACTACATTGCTATTAAATTAGCCTGAGATTCCCGTGGTTTTGTAGCTAGCAGTGAATTAAAGCCTCCTTTCATGTGTTTCTGCTAACCCAGGGATGGAATACACAGGGCCCACGTGCTCACTTAGAAAACATTCATAAGGCTGGGTGTGGTGGCTCATGCCTATAATCCTAATACTCTAGAGGCCAAGGTGGGAGGATTGCTTGATGCCAGGAGTTTGAGACCAGCTTGGGCCACATAGTGAAACCCTGTCTCTACATGAAATAAAATTAGCTGAGCGTCGTGGCACATGTATGTAGTCCCAGCTACTCAAGAGGCTAAAGCGAGAGGATTGCTTGAGCCTAGGAGTTCAAGGCTACAGTGAGATATGACTGTGCAACTGCACTGCAGTCAGGGGAATAGAGCCGGGCCCTGTCTCTAAAAAAAAAAAAAAAAAAAAAACGAAAGAAAGAAAAGAAAACACTGAAGGCCAGGTGCGGTGCAGTGGCTCACGCCTGCAATCCCAGCACTTTGGGAGGCCGAGGTGGGCGGATCACTTGAGGTCAGGAATTTGAGACCAGACTGGCCAACATAGTGAAATCCCATCTCTACTAAAAATACAAAAAATTAGCCAGGCATGGTGGCACATGCCTGTAATCCCAGCTACTCAGGAGGCTAAGGCAGGAGAATTGCTTGAACTCAGGAGGTGGAGGTTGCAGTGAGCCAAGATCACGACACTGCACTCCAGCCTGGGTCACAGAGAGAGACTCCATCTCAAAAAAAAAAAAAAAGAAAAAAAAGAAAGAAAGAACAAAAACACTCAGCCAGGTGTGCCTGTAATCCCCACACTTTTGGAGACCAAAATGGGAGGATCACTTGAGGCTAGGAGTTTGAGACCAGCCTGGGCAACATAGTGAGAACTTGTCTCTACAAATTTTTTGTTTTTTAATTAGCTGGGTGGTGTGCACCTGTAGTCCCAGCTACTTGGGGGAGGTGTGGTGGAAGGATTGCTTGAGTGTGGGAGGCCAAGGCTGCAGTGACCCACCATCGCACCACTGCACTCCAGCATGGGCAACAAAATGAGGCTGTCGCCACCCCCAACCTACCCCGCCAAAAAAAAAAAAAAAAAGAAAAGAAAACACTCATTAGTGGTGGCACTCTTCCCTGTGAGCACAGAGGCAATCTTGCAGTCTTTTTCAACACAATATTCTAAGCCACCACTACCAGTCATTCAAATGATTGTTGGCATACAAGATGAAATCTTTCTGCCAGCCATATTACCCTAGTTTTACAGTGTTGGGACCCAGGTCATGATTTAATTCTGGGTCCTGTGCTTTGGAAGAATCCACTAAACTGTGCTGTGATTCTTGGGGGTAGCTAGAAAGAAAAGAGGATGCTTCAACCTGATACTCAACAGCAGCCAAGTCTCTTATATGCAATTCCCCAAAATTCCTTTCCCAAATACAAAGCCTGGCCATCTGCTGCCATGTTGATGGAGCAGGGGCTGCCCAGAAAGGATGTCCTGTCTCTTCCACACACACCCCTCAAGCCCCACATAATGACTCCTCCTCATTGCAAAGTTCTCCTCAAGCCTGCACTCACCATTCCTGATGCTTCTGCTCTCGGTTTCCTGGACCAAAGCCAGCCTTGACTTTACCAGTATAAAGAGATACAGGGAGAGGGGTAGAGGCCAGGAAACATACTCTACACCTTGAATTCTTCAGCAAAGCAAAAACTGGAGTAGACAACAATCTAAGCTTCTCAGAAACCTGAAACCTATGCTAATCAATATCTAGGAAATGGTTAGTTTTACCTTGAAGCCCAATGCTTTATTCCACATAGCATTTAAAATAATTCCTTTTCCCCTTTATAGGAAATACTTTTTCCCCATAAAGAAATTTCCTTTCCCGCTTTTAATCTTCTTTTTCCTTTTTTGTTTTTTTGGTTTTTTTGAAATGGAGTCTTGCTCTGTTGCCCAGGCTGGAGTGCAATGGCACGATCTCGGCTCACAGCAGCCTTCGCCTCCTGGGTTCAAACGATTATCCTGCCTCAGCCTCCCGAGTAGCTGGGACTACGCATGCACACCACCACGCTCGGCTAATTTTTGCATTTTTAGTAGAGACGGGCTTTCACCATGTTGGCCAGGCTGGTCTCAAATTCCTGACCTCAAGTGCTCTGCCCTCCTGGGCCTCCCAAAGTGCTGGGATTACAAGCATGAGCCACCACACTCAGCCTTAATCTCCTCTTTGGATAGGCTGAAGTAAATGTCTTTAATTTCAGCATTCTTTATAAACCTAGTCACCTCGTTGGTTTGTGAACAATGTAATATGTTTGCTGCAACTTGATTTACTCAAATATCCTCCTTGGTATATTCAAATAAATCACACATTTGCAAAACTAATCTAGTTTTCAGGGTTTTAAACATTTATCAATCACACGAGTGGAGCTAAACTAATGATCTATAAGGAATGTGGTATCTCCCAGTTCTGTTAGTATTTGAGAAGGAGGCAGAAACTCGAGAACATAGAAACCATTCATGTTTGAATAAAACAAAAAGCATTTTATGTTTTCCAGACTGAGCATTTTGAGCTTTCCACACTGTGTAGCAGATCCAGAAAGCTCTTGTTTTTAGAAAAGGTGCTCGAGGAGGTGACAGGAGCCTTCCAAACATGAGGCCTCCTGCCACTTTTTCTAGAAGTATAGCATGTAGTTAAGACCTCAAGTCTGTAAGTCATACACCCTCAAATTGAGACCTGACATTCCCACCTTCCAGCTGTGACAGCTTCATCTGTTACTTAAGCTAAGCCTCAGTTTCCCCACATGTAAAAAGGTAATGAGAGTAGTACTTACCTCATGGGGTTGCTGTAGGGTTGAATGAGAAACAATATAATGAGGCATTATGCCTGATAAGCATCGGCTCTTGTTATGCCATGCCATGGACCTCTGATAAATGAAAGGTTGTTTAAGAGATAGGTGTCTCTGGCCAGGCATGGTGGCTCACACCTGTAATCCCAGCACTTTGGGAGGCCGAGGCAGGTGGATCACCTGAGGTCAGGAGTTCAAGACCAGCCTGGCCAACATGGTGAAACCCTGTCTCTACTAAAAATAAAAAATTAGCCGGGCGTGGTGGCACGTGCCTGTAATCCCAGCTACTCGGGAAGCTGAGACGGGAGAATCGCTTGAACCTGGGAGGCGGAGGTTGCAGTGAACTGAGATCATGCCAGTGCACTCCAGCCTGGGCAACAGAGTGAAACTCCATCTCAAAAAAAAAAAAAAAGAGAGAGAGAGAGAGAGATAGGTATCTCTCTTCTGGTTTATTTTTTGGTGTGTGATACAGTAATACAGCCTGTCCGCTGCAGTATATGTTTCTATAGCATCAATGAGCTCATGTGTGGTTGCAAAACGGGAATGATGGCAGGACAACATGGACGTTGTGTTGGTTCACATGCCTTTTCTTTCAAAGCAAGGAGAGTTGAAATAGCAGAATAGAATGAGAACTTCAGTGGGAAAAGCTTAGCATGGCTTTCAGTTCTATTTTTATTTTATGAAAAAGAATTTTTTTGAATGAACATCTGCACACGGGGCTCCCTCTCCAGAGAAGTACATCCTACCCTTGCGTGTCCTAGGCTGCACATCCGCTTCACAGCGACCACGCCGGCTCACAGCACCCAGCAGCGGGAGTGTTTATTTTATTATATCTGTGCATTTTTTATATCCCCTGAAGTAGTTTCTGGCCCTACTGAGTGCCTGCCTTGTCTGTCTAAGTTATCTCCCGAGGTACTAGTTATTGTTTCTGTTAGTAGACTAATTACAAAGTCGCATAGGTTTCGAGCGCTCTGCCTTTAAGCCTATTTTCCCCCATAAGGCCTGTTACCTTTATTGTGAATGTGAGGCTTTTCAGGAATGTGCATATGTTTTAACAAAGGCCCAATTTCTTTCACATGCTGCAGAAGGCAGCAGCAGCTGAAGCAGGCATGTGAGGGAATCGAACCAGGCCCTCCTCAGGAATGGAGACAGAATTCCAGGCTGCAAAGCTGCTCCTTCACCTGGAAGGCTCTGGGTTCTGCAGCCTCTGAAAGCACCTTCCCAGCCCACAGCCCAGAGCACTAAAGTGCAATGCTTAGATCCTGACCCCCTGCACCCCCAGTGCAGCAGAAATAATACCTTTTCTGTGTGTTTCTGCCTTGGACAGAGAGTGTGTAACAGCATGGATCAGCTCAATATATTTCTGAATAAAGCCTTTTTCTTCACTTTCTTTGAAATTTGTTCATGGAAATGCACTTTGATTATCTCTGTTTCCCCTGGGTTTAAATTCTTCCTACCTCCCTAGATCTTGGCTCATTGTAATCTCCACCTCCCGGGCTCAAGCAATTCTCCTGCCCCAGCCTCCCGAGTAGCTGGGATTACAGGCACTTGCCACCACGCCCAGCTAATTTTTGTATCTTTAGTAGAGACAGGGTTTCACCATGTTGGCCGGGCTGGTCTTGAACTCCTGACCTCAGGTAATCCGCCCGCCTCGGCCTCCCAAAGTGCTGGGATTACAGCCGTGAGTCACCGCGCCTGGCCTGTTCATTTCTTTACTAAAGCCCTGATCACATTCTGCCTCAGATTATTACAAAGGTTTGTGTGTATGTCACGTCAGTTTAACTATAAGCTTCTTGAGGGCAGGGACCTTGTTTATATCATCTCTCCATTTCTTTCATATTGACTAGCACTATGTCTTTCACATAGTAAGTACTTAATAAATGTTTACTGAATGAGCAAGTCCTCCAAAAGCATTGATTTTTATTTGGGCCCTTTTGTAATGAGTGGGTACCAAAAGTACACTGTGAATCCCAATGCAGTGGTTAGAAGACATAGTTTTGCATTAAAAATTTCCTGCAGCATAGTTATTGGAAACCATTGAGGGGAAAGCAAAGATCAGAAAGCAATGTAAGAACCCCTGAAGTGAAATATTTTTTTCATCTTTCTAAAAAATTAATAAGCAATAGGCAAGAATTAATTTAGCTGCTCTGGTAGTTCCTGCTTCTCTTTCCAAGGCTCTGGAAGTTGAATTGTTTCCCAAGGGAATACTAGCTCAGAACAAACCTCACGGTGATTCCTGCCCTGATAGGGAATTTGGTGACAGATGGCAGGGTTGTTTTCACAGCGAGGGAAACGTGGGCCTGGTGTGATGGAGGGGCTCAGGAGCTTTGGCCGAAATGCACAACTTCCATTGTCCCCCCTCTTCTTGGCAAGGGCCCAGGTATCTGTTCAGTGTCGCTGTTCAGGTCCCCTCCCGTAAAAGTCACAGCTTTTAATAATAAACTTACAGCAATAGTTTATAAGTAAAATTTATTTATAGTAAAAAGTAGTGTATGAATAGCCCTTTCTGAATAATGCCACATTTATTATCTAATTTGATCCTGAAACAACCTTTTTGTATTAGTTTGCTAGTGCTGTTGTAACAAAGTACTGAAAACCAGGTGGCTTAGAAATGGAAATGTATTATCTCTCAGCTCTAGAGGCTGGAGGCCAGGATGGACATGTCTGCAGGATTTGTTACCTGTGAGAGCAGTGAAAGAGAATCCATTGCATCTCTCTCCCAGATTCTGGAGTTTTGCTGGCAACCTTTGGTGTTCCTTGAGTTGTAGATCTCTGCTTTCATCTTTACATGGTGTTGTGTGTGTGTGTGTGTGTGTGTGTTCATCTGTGTCCAAATTTCCCCTTTTTATAAGGACACCAGCCATATTGGATTAGGAATTAACCACTACCCTACTCTGGTATGACCTTAACTAACTACATCTGCAATTGTGTCCGGAATTTATTCCTTCTGGTGGGTTCATGGTCTTGCTGACTTCAAGAATGAAGCCGCTGACCTCGCGGTGAGTGTTACAGCTCTTAAAGGTGGCGCGTCCGGAGTTGTTTGTTCCGGAGTTGTTTGCTCCTCCCTGTGGGTTCTGGTCTCTCTGACTTCAGGAATGAAGCTGCGGTCCTTCACGGTAAGTGTTACAGCTCATAAAGGTAGTGCAGACCCAAAGAGGGAGCAGCAGCAAGATTTACTGTGAAGAGCGAAAGAACAAAGCTTCCACAGCATGGAAGGGGACCGGAGGAGTTTGCCGCTGCTGTCTGGGGTGCCCAGCTTTTATTCCCTTATTTGGCCTCACCCACATCCTGCTGATTGGTCCATTTTACAGAGTGCTGATCCGTGCGTTTACAATCCTTTAGCTAAATACAGAGTGCTGATTGGTGCATTTTTACAGAGTGCTGATTGGTGCATTTACAATCCTTCAGACAGAAAAGTTTTCCAAGTCCCCCACTCGACCTAGGAAGTCCAGCTGGCTTCACCTCTCACAATGACCCCATTAGTAAGTAAAGGCACACTCTGAGGTACTTGGGGTTAGGACTTCAACATGTGAATGTGGGGGGGGACACATGCAGCCTTTATAATAGGTAAAGCAGGAATTACTCTGTTTCCCATTTTACAAAAAAATAAGCCTCAGAGCGATGAAGTATTTTATCCAAAGTAAATGAAAACCCTAGGCCACACACAAGTCGGCTGCCTGTGTCAGTAGTCAAAGACAGCAGATGGTGCCTCTCGCTATGACTTTATCTAGCTGTTCTCACTCTCTTGGACCAGTAAGAACTGAGGCTACACTGAGGTGTGGGAAAAGAGGAGCAGTGGCCAAATATGGTCTCCCTTGGAATCAATTTAGCAGATGCCCTATTATTTAAAGCTTCGCTTGCTGCCTTGTGGCTGCACCTTATGAGGGCTTGGCCGGCAGGGGAACTGTTGTTTCTGTCTGGTGGGCCCATTCCTGAGCCATAGGAGGCTGGGAACAATGAGCCTATTCAGGGCAGAAAGTGCAAAGCCCCGCGTTTCTTTTTTCTCTCTATAGCATCGTTCTTTGCCTCCCTGTGCCTTTCTTTTGTCCTGCCTATTGAGTAACATCAGCGTGGGTGTTGGGAGCGTGTGAATTGGCAGCCGTGTGAGCGGGCGGCTGAGGACGTCTGACCGATGATGTATGCGCCAGGACAGGCAGCAACGGGCGAGCTTCCCAGGAACCACTTTGACCTATGCCTTCTGCTCTGCCTGAGTCACTCTCACGAGCTAAAGCAGGTGACCCCTCATGGAGTGCTTGTTCCCCTTGGCAAAGAAAAGGGACACGCCCCATCGGTGAGCTCCTACCCTTGGTACACTTGGAGGGAGTTGAGTACAGATTTAAGAGACAAATTCTAATCTCTGCTCTGCCACTTGCCAACTGTGTGACTTTAGGGAAGATGCTTAATCTCCCTGTGTCACTTCCCCATCTATAAAATGGAGACAATAAAATTTGTTCTCCTCCTAAGGTTACTAAATGGATAATTGATATAAGTTATACATGCTGCTTGGTTGGAACAACATGTCTGCCATATAATTCTAGCACTTAGTACATGTAAGCAATACTTCCTTATTTGTTTATTTAGTTTCCCGGGTGTCATTTGTTAATCTGTTCATTAAAAATTGGTGAGGATCCACCAGTTAGAATGCTGATAATTAAAAAGTCAGGAAACAACACATGCAGGCGAGGCTGTGGAGAAATAGGAACGCTTTTACGCTGTTGGTAGGAGTGTAAATTAGTTCAACCATTGTGGAAGACAGTGTGGTGATTCCTTAAGGATCTAGAACCAGAAGTACCATTTGACCCAGCAATCCCATTACTGGGTATATACCCAAAGGATTATAAATCATTCTACTATAGAGATACATGCACACATGTGGTTATTGCAGCACTATTTACAATACCAAAGACTTGGAACCAACCCAAATGTCCATCAATGATAGGCTGGATAAAGAAAATGTGGCACGTATACACCATAGAATACTATGCAGCCATAAAAAAGAATGAGTTCATGTCCTTTGCAGGAACATGGATGAAGCTGGAAACCATCATTCTCAGCAAACTAACACAGGAACAGAAAACCAAACACCACATGTTCTCACTCATAAGTGGGAGTTGAACAATGAGAACACATGGATACAGGAAGGGGAACATCACACACTGGGGCCTGTCAGGGGGGCTGGGGGCAAGGGGAGGGAGGGCATTAGGACAAATAATGCATGCAGGTCTTAAAACCTAGATGACGGGTTGATAGGTGCAGCAAACCACCATGACACATGTGTACCTATGTAACGAACCTGCACGTTCTGCACATGTATCCCAGAACTTAAAGTAAAATAAAATAAAAAATAATTGGTGAGGATTATATCAAAACACAGTGGTTGTATTTAGATGATGGGATTACAGGTGATTTATTTGTCTCATTTTTGCTTGTTTATATTTTCTAAACTTTCTGTAGTAAATATGTTTTTGTTTTTGTTTTTTTAATAAAAGAAAACAGACTCCCACTGATGACTTACGGAGTGCAGTAGATGAGGTGTGAGTGGGTACAAAGTGAAGAAGATGTGACCATTGTCCTTAATGGAGTTTAAAGTCTATGGAAGGAGATAAGACAGGGAGACAAATGACACAAGAGAGTGGACAGTGATGCTCAGGGAAGGCTGGGAACAGGACCAGTCCTTCTCAAGTGGCACCTGGCATTAAAGAAATGTTTTCATCATTCTTGCCCCAACAGTCTCCATATATGGTCTTCCCTGATCTGGAAATAGGACAGTAAATGGCACAGTCAGAGGCAAGGGTCACTCTTTTCATTGATCCCAGAGCCCCAGGGGGATGGGGATGGAATTGCTGAAATTCCTTTCTAAGGTACCCGTTTCTAGGAACAAGCTTATGTGGAAGAAAAAGTTGAGATGCTTTATGTAACTCATCTTATCCACAACAGATTTGTACCCCAGTTGCAAAGCAGCACATCAAGAGGAATGGAGAACTAATTTTCTGTTTCTCTCTCTCTTCCCGTAGCATAATTAGCATCATCATTATTCTGGCTGGAGCAATTGCACTCATCATTGGCTTTGGTATTTCAGGTATGTGATTTCTTGCATTACTACAATCTATTCACCCCTCACCATTAAACTCCTAATCACTCAGTGCGTTAGCATGGAAAGAGCCCAGAGCTTTGACCCAGAAAACCTCAGAGTATAGCATTCATTCTTCTACTTCTTGTGCTTTCTCTACATTAGTCAGTTAAGTCCTCGACTTCAGTGTCCTCATTTTTTATTATTTATTTATTTATTTTGAGACAGGGTCTGGCTCTGTTGCCCAGGTTGGAGTGCAGTGGCATGATCTCAGCTTACTGCAACCTCCACCTCCTGGGTTCAAGCCATCCTCTCACCTCAGCCTCCCAAGTAGCTAGGACTACAGGCATGTGCACCACCATGCCAGGCTAATTTTTTTATTTTTAGTAGAGATGGGGTTTCACCATGTTGCTCAGGCTGGTCTCAAACTCCTGAGCTCAAGCAATCCACCTGCCTCGGCCTCCCAAAGTGCTGGGATTGCCGGCCTGAGCCACCGTGCCCAGGCTAGTTTCCTCATTTTTGAGTGGGGAGATACTGTCAACATCACCAGTTAGTTGAGATAATCAAATGAGATGTTTATCAGTAGTCTATCTATCAGTCAGTGCTGAAGATGTCATTCTGGGATCATAGGTGAAGTGCTGCCTCTGAGCCATTCTGTCAGCGGTTGGCCTGGGTAGATGATTTCTTTGCAACGAAGCTTCAGCTGAAGTGTTAAAGAATATCAAGTCTTTGTACACAGGGGTCTTAGGTAAAGAGACAACTGGTCATGACTACTGTACCATGTAGGAAACAGATACCGCTGTAGCACAGATGGTTAGTTTCTGAACGTATCTAGCCAATGTCAGTTGCAGAAGAGTCTCTTCACTTTCCTCTTCTGCATAGGCCACTGCTCTGAAGCATCTTTTATGGATGCTGCTTTAATTTTGACACTGAATGAGTTAAGGCTGGCAGTTTTCTTCTCTGAGGCAAATTGTCTGCTCTTTTTTTCATAAACCACCTGACTCAGTCCAACACATTCATTTTAACTCAGTCTGTGACCAAAGCTCCGTAACTTTATTTTCTATATTCCAGTGGCCTTTCTGCCATGCTTCTCCAGTGTAGACATGCTGGCACTCAATACTGTCACAAAGTCGAAGCTAAGAAAACTTGCTAGAGTTGTGTTTGCTAGAAAAGACATTCATCCCTTCCCCACTTTCTTTGTCATCAATCATATATTTTTTAGGCCAGTTGTGGTGGTTCACGCCTATAATCCCAGCACTATGGGAGGCTGAGGTGGGAGTACTGCTTAAGGCCAGGGTTCAAGACCAACCTGGGCAACAAAAAGAGACCCTGTCTCTACATTAAAAATAAAAAAAGTAAATAACATGTGTATTTTATCTTCCATTCATTTTTTTCTATTGGGGTATTTGTCTTTCTCTTTTTGATTTGTAGGTAATTCCTTCTTTATCATGGATGCAAACTAGTTACAGGTATCACCAAATCTCTTCTACTCTACACTTTGCTTTTTTACTCTCTTAATGATGTTTTTCAATGAGCAGAAGTTCTTAATTTTAATTTTTATTGATCCTTTTCTTTATACTTGGAGCTTTTTGTAACCTGTTTAAGAAATCTTTGCCTATTCCAAGGTCGTGAAGATGTTCTTCTAGATTATCTTGTAGAAGCTTTATTGTTTTGTCTTTCACATTTATATCTGCAAACCATCTCAAGTTAATTTTATATGTAGTACAAGAGAGGGGTCAAGATTCATTTTTTCCTTATGGTATCCAATAAACCCAGCACCACTACTGAACACACTGTCCTTCCCCCACTTCCCTTCAGTACCGTCATGGTCGTAAATCACGTATCCAAATGTGTGGGGATCTGTTTCTGAATTCACTAGCCTGTTTCATTCTAATACTAATTTCCTATGTTAATTTATTTCTTTTCCTGTTCATAATCTTGGTTGTTTTCTCTCAACCAAGTTTCTGAAATCACTAGCCTGTTTCATTGTAATATTGATTTCCTATGTTTCTGTTTCTGATCTGTTTCTGAATTCACTAGCCTGTTTCGTTCTAATATTGATTTCCTATGTTAATTTATTTCTTTTCCTGTTCATAATTTCGGTTTTTTTTCTCTCTTTCTTTCTCTCTAGTCTTCTCTCTTTCTCTTTTTCTTTCTTCTGCTCTCTCTTTCTCTCTCTCTCATATACTAAAATAGATTTATAAGGTATTGTTAGCTTTATAGTAGTTTTGAAAGAACCAGCTTTTAGCTTATTTATATTTTCTCTGATCTGTATTCCTATTTTACTAATTTTGGCTTTTATCTTTATTAATATTCCTCTTCCTGCTTTACTTGGCCATCTTTCAATTCTTTTTCTACTGTCTCAAAATAAAGCAGCTCACAAGGAGTGTGAGTGCTTAAAAAAGCAGCTCACAAGGAGTATGTCCAAAAGGCCAATAAATAGCTTTTAGTAGATACTGCCATTCAATTTTCCAAAGTGATGAGTCAATCTACTCTTCACCAGCAATGCATGAGAGATCAAGCTCTCCACACCCTCACCAATACTGGGTGTTGTGGAATTTTGTGGTTTTAATTTCTGTTTCCTGGTGACAGAGACTGAGTACATTTTCATATGCAAAACATAATGTGGAACTACAGAAGAGCACAAAAGAGTAAGTTCTGTATGATTCTATGCATATGAAGTTCAAAAACAGGCAAATGGATCTCTGCTGGTCAAAGGTAGAATAATGGTTCTTATTACCTTTGGGGACAAGTAAGCAGGTAGCAGTGAGGAGGGGCATGAGGGCACTGCTGGGAGGGCAGTAAGGTTCTATTTCTTGGTGTGATGATGGTTACATGGAATAAAGTTATAATCATTCTTCAAGCTGTACAGTTATGATGTGTGGATTTTTATGTTTGTATACTTCAGTACAGACATACAAAAACATTTGTAAATGTATATATAAAAACATAAAATGCATATAATGTCATGTATGTATATATACATTTTATGTTTACATACATATATATTCTTTTTTTTTTTTTTGAGACAGTCTTGCTCTGTCGCTCAGGCTGGAGTACAGTGGCATAATCTCGGCTCACTGCAGCCTCTGCCTCCCAGCTTCAGGTTATTCTTCTGCCTCAGTCTCCTGAGTAGCTGGGATTACAGACGTGCACCACCACACCTGGCTAATTTTTTGTACTTTTAGTAGAGATGGGATTTTGCCCTGTTAGCCAGACTGGTCTCGAACTCCTGACCTCAAGTGATCCACCCACCTCGACCTCCCACAGTGCTGGGATTACAGGTGTGAGCCACTGCTCTCTGATTTACATATATATTCTTTATAAGGAAATAAAATATAGACTGATAAACCAAATATTTTGGAATAACTTTTAAAGATAGTAATGCTAAAGTACATTTTGGTACCTTCCTCACTAAGGCTTAACTCTTTTTTTCTTTTTCTTTCTTTTTTTTTTTTTTTGAGACAGAGTAGCTGGGATTACAGGCGCGCACCACCACACCTGGCTAATTTTTTTGTATTTTTAGTAGGGACAGGGTTTCACCATGTGTAGCCAGGATGGTCTAGATCTCCTGACCTTGTGATCCACCCGCCTCGGCCTTCCAAAGTGCTGGGATTACAGGTGTGAGCCACCGCGCCAGGCCACTAAGGCTTAACTGTTAATTATAATTTACCCTATTCCTGATCTTATACATCACCTTCAACTAAAACCCTAGTATTTATTTGTCACTCTAAATCTTGATGACTAAACTTTCTTGGACCTAAGGCTCACTGGCTTTGCATCAGAACTCTTAAGAGAGTTGTTTATCTTTTGGTTGTTAGTGGTGTTGACTCTCCTAGCAAGAATTTTCACAATATCATAACTTCCCTGTGTTAGTCAGGAGGTTTGCTACTTATATCTTTTCCTGTTGCATAGCGACAGCCACCTCAAGAACTGTACTCAGCTCCTTGAATGCACAGGGTGCTCCGTAAGTGCTTTTTGAATGGACAGTTGGATGGATGCATGGAGGTGTGAATAGATGGAAGTAACAGTCTGCTCAATCCAGTAATGTACCATCAAAAATTTAAAACTCTACTACTGCCAATAAAAAGGTGTTCTGCCTCCTTCCCATTTCACAGGGTGACAGCTGGTTATTTGGATAAAATGGGCAGTTTGTTAGTTTAATACTGTTTAGTTGGATTTTTTCAATTGCCTCTATTAAAAGGACTATAACCTTTATCAGAGATCGTATTATCACATTTTAAATGAATTCAATAAAATATTAGCTGGTTTAATATATAAGACATTGAAATTAAGCAAATAGCGTTAAGCAGATGATGATATGTATTAGGCCGTTCTTGCACTGCTATAAAGAAATTCCTGAGACTGGGTAATTTATAAAGAAAAGAAGTTTAATTGGCTCACGATTCTGCAGGCTTTACAGGAAGCATGGTGCTGGAATCTGCCTGGCTTCTGGTGAAGCCTCAGGGAGCTTTCAGTCATGATGGACGGCGAGGGGAAACAGTCATGTCATATGTCGAAAGCAGGAGCAAGAGGGAGAGAGAGTGGTGGGGAGGTGCCACATAAGTTTAAACGACCAGATCTCATGTGAACTCAGGGCCTGAGAGCTCACTTATCACCAAGGGGATGACCCAAGCCATTTATAAGGGATCTGCCCCAATGACCCACACACCTCCCACCAGGCACCTCCTCCAATATAATATAATTGGGGATTATATTTCAACATGAGATTTGGGTGAAGACAAATATCTAAACTTTATCATGATGATATCTTTTGAATCCTTTCTTCATGCACTTCACTGTACTAAATAACTTTGCATGCATGATTTGCCTTACTACACACAACAAATAGGAGGTAGATGTTATTACTATGATGAGATGAGAAATGTGTGGAAGGACACACAACAGTCAGCAAGTGAGCATGGCTGTATTTCAAGCCTTGGGAATTTGTTTCCCGAACCTACACTCCTACCCATCACCCCATACCAATGACAACGTTCACACAGAGTTGTAGTGGAGAAGGGTGTTTTATGGTTTGCCTTGCAGGCATGATTCCTGAGACCACAGCTTTTGAAAACATAAAACTTTTCCCCAATACAGAAAGAAATTCTATTTCTTTGTAACTCTCCTGATGCTGTATATGCCACCTTCTCATAGCCATCCTCCTCCTTACAAATTCTAAATAAAAACCCCAGAAAACATAAAATGCATTTGCGGTGGACCATTTGAAAGAGAGGTTGAGGGGTTCCAATCAGCCCCTGGTTAAAGGACAACCCTTGTGGATAAGCCTTCGAGAAGGAAGGAGACGTGATGGAAAGGCCCCTAACCATACCCAGCCCAGTCCCTGCGCTATCACGCACCCTCTGACTTTGAACAGCTCTGTATAATGGAAGAATCTCAGAATCAGAGCCATTCCAATCTCAGCGCTCACACTAACTGTATATCCTTTGGGATACAACTTAAATGTTTCCTCATTGGTAAAATAGGCAGGGTCATTGTGAGAATTAAAGGAGAGTCCACTCACACACCTGTGTGTGATAAACAGCTGCCATTGTTATTTATATTGATGCCATCAATGCTTTTAGTAAAAATCTGCTATTATTAACGCATTCATATAGCACCTCCTAGGAACTGCACAATTTCCTGGTCAACCAGGAAAGGCCTCCTTTGAAGCCACAGGATGCTGCCTCCTAATAATTGTTACAAACAAAACCTGGAACTGTAACATGTGTCCCGTATCGCCCCCGCAACCCCACCCCCCTGCCAGAACTGGGAAGCTGTTGAAAGACCAAAGAATGACTTAGACAAGTCCAGTTTGGTGAGTAAATGAGTTTATTAGGACTTACATACAGGGCACTCCTGGGTGGCAGCAAGACAGCCCTAGAGATCTGTGCCATCTCCCATATCTAAGCTGCTTTTAAGCTGGTTTTCTGGCTCTTTGCCTGCTGTGTGTTTGCAATGAGACTGTTTTTCTTGGTGTGTTCTCAGATACTCTCTGGGATGTTTAGGTTCTCAGGGACATCTGCTCCTCAGCTGGGCACCAAGGCCTTGGCTTACCACCCAGCTGTTGGGGTTCAAGCAGCAGACATACACCCCTAAATAACCTGGTGAGTGACCTATCACACTACAGTAATGCTCCAGCTTCAGACATTGGATAAACCGACTAGGTGTGTGCTGATAACACCAAAATGGAAACATTGCACAGTTTATTTAGAAAATATTTGATCTGTCCAAAAAAACCTTCGAGTCATCTGAGAAAATAAACAGCTGTGGGCCTTTCTTACACTTATTTTGTGGTTTTTAGTTGTTTTGATTTTTAAGTGAAGTAGGGATATCTTCTTATTGGGTTGGCACTCTACATGTCTCAATCTGGCCCTGGGTATCAGCAAAATATGGTAGAAAGGGCATAGGCTCAGGGCCAGACCAGGTTGTGTTTGACCCTGACTCTACTAACAGCTAGATCCAAGGC
This sequence comes from Homo sapiens, assembly GCF_000001405.40. Classification (NCBI taxonomy): domain Eukaryota; kingdom Metazoa; phylum Chordata; class Mammalia; order Primates; family Hominidae; genus Homo; species Homo sapiens. The sequence goes on along the minus strand of NC_000001.11, from coordinate 117,163,646 downwards.
ATTCGGCAAGCCATTTAACCTCATGGAGTCTCTATCCTCATCCATAAATGGGTATAATGGTCATTCTTACTCTCTCATGGCTTAAAATGAGTCTCTGTAAGCAAACATTTAGTGAAATGTTGTTTTCCTTACCTCCTGGGGCTCTGATCTGCAATCTTTCCAAATGATTGTAGTTAATAATGGTTATTAATATCAATACTGATTTAAGGTTTAGCATGTGGCAATTCAGGTACAATATTTAGCACTTTACCTGCATTGTATCATTAAGTCCTTTCAGGAACCCTCTAAGGGAGCATCCCCATTTTACAGATTTTAAAAAATGGTGAAATAAAGGGTTAGAAAACTTGACCAAGGTCACATATCCAATAAGTGGCAGAGCTGGGACTTCAACCCAGGCAGCCTGTACCTGTGCCATGTTCTCAAACACCATGTTCTGCTGCTTTCCTACATTGTTCCCGTATCTGGCCTTGCCCAGTGTCCTTTTAAATTTCTTCTCACGGAAGCAACTGTTCTCCCCACCCCACCGTCTTCTTTGGCAAGAGTGACACTCACAGGTTTGACCCCAAGGTTAAGCTTTGCATTTCGACCTTGTAAGCCATGTACTGTGGTGCCCATCTGGACAGCTGAGTTTTAGCAGATGCTGGTGACCATCTGCTGAAGACATCTAGCATGCTCTCTATGCTACTGGAATGTACGAACCTGTCTTTCTGAGTCATTTCAAAGGACAGCTCATTTTCCAGGTTTTATCCAGCGCTGTGGGCTGCCCCAGCATCATAGTTTCTGTAAAGAATCCTTGTCTTGTGTTACCTATACCCCCACTTCAAGATATTCCTACTCCTACAACGGAGCGCTGATTGAATAGTACTCCCACTGTGTGAACCCAGAGCTGCTCAGGTTTCGTCTTGCCCCTGCTTTAACAGCCCCACTTTCCTCATGCAGACAGGAGCTGTGGTAGTTAATTAGCCCTCACAAGCTGGATAATTAATTTTCAGTAAGTGGCTCAGTCTTCCAATTTTAAAGGGGTTTAATGAAATCTTAGAGGTAAATGAAATGCTTAAAATCTGTGCCCATTTAATAGAATTCTCTATCAATAGGTACCTGCCTCTAGCCCATCTCCATGGGGTCCTTTTGTCCTTTGACTCAACAAGTCACACAAGAATCTCTGGTGGAGTGAGTCTCTGTCTCCAAAAAATAAAAAAAAAAGAATCTCTGGTGGTCAGTAGGCCTGGAGAGTCATAGGAGGCCAGATGGCATAATCCTCCTTGAGCCTATGTTTGTTTGCAAGTCTGAATAGTTTCTTTTCTTGTGAGAAGTAATATTTACATGTGGTTGCTTGCAAATTAAATTTTGTCACTTTTAACAATCATTTATTCACTTAACAAACAAGTATTTTATTGACTGCTTTCTGGGTGCAAAGCAATGGCTAGGTCCCTGTGGTTTTTTTAAGTTCTCACTGGCTCTTATTTCTCTTCTTTATTTGACATTGGGGTGGAGGGGATTTAATCAACATTACACTCATTCCATCTGCCACATCATTAATGCAACCTTAAATGACTAGAACCTGCAGCAGGTCCCTAGGGCATTCCACAGCTGCCTACTTTTAATCATTAACTTCTCTGGGAGATATTTCAACGGATTCCCTAACTGTGAGCTCAAGGCCAACATATTAAAATTAATTCAGTAATACAGTTGCTGAACTAAGGTATGTCATTACCATTTCATTCTCTCCATAAACTGTGCTAATCATGTATTTTTTCTGAGAAGTAATCTTTCAATTCAACTTTAATGGCACTTTATCAACAACCATCAAATTTACCTTTGCTGTAACATAGTTGTATTTGATTCATGATTTTATTGTGAACCTCTCAGTATTTTTATTGCCTTCCTTTTCATTGGATCACATTTCCCCAAAGTTTAGATGTGGTAATCCTGCCAAACGTCCCTTACTCCTACAATAATTTTAGCCTATCTCAAACAATGCTTTGATTTCTACTGATTTCCATTTATTTATTCATTTATTCATAAACTCAGCAAACATTATTTTTCTCTGCAGAAACATAGCTCTAGGCACTACAGGACTTACAGATAGGATTAAGACAGTTTCTGCTCTTGAAAAGCTCACAAACTAGTTCCAGAGATAGATTAGAGACCAGGTAGAGGGAGACAGCTGCTATAATAAAGGCCAAAAAGACAAAAAGTTACAGGAAAGTAAAGAGAGAATCTACTAATTTTTCCTTTGGTGAATTAAAAGAGGATTTCATGGGAGGGCTGCCATCTGAACGGACTTTGAATATAAGTAGAATTTGCATAACTGGTGTTAAAGAAGTGTGAGCTATGAATTAATAGGTACAAGATGAACAGCAGTGTGAAGGCGCATAGTGTAATTGTGTAACCCATGCTAGCCTGGGATGCCTTGGATATCATTCTCTAAGTAACAATACTTGCAAAGCAAACTGAATCTTTAAATCAATGTTCAAGAAAATACCAATGCAGGGAATGGAGGTGTGTTGTGTTCTTATTACACAGCAAAAACTTCATTTTGTCCTCTTTCATAATTCGTCTCCCAGATCTCCCACAGGAATGGCCATGCATGGCAGCTGCTTCCAAAGTGTCTTTTCTCACGCTCTCAAGCCTCCAAAACATCCTTCCAAACCAGGCTATGTACTTGTTTTTGTCTCCTCTTCCTCCTTTTCTAGCTATAATTTTTCTTCCATCAGTAGCCTTCTGTTCTTTCTGCTGCAAATCCATCTAGATTAGCTTCTCCAGTTCTCTTCCTCATTCATTACCCTCATTTACTTTGTAGAGGTCTAGGAGTCAATGAGATAATTCCAACCCCTAATAGGCTGGAAGAGGAGAAGAGCCAAGGATATCCTTATGTTGATAATGTTTACCTCTCACATTAAAACAACAACAACAACAACAACAAACACGTCTGCTTTGTTTGTATGTTTTTTATTTAAGGCAGAAAATCAACAAATAATTTGATACAGACAGACAGAATGGACTATGAAAGGATGTAGTTGGAGAGAAGGCTGCAAAGACAGCAATAAGGGCTAATATGTATGGAGCATTTACTATGTAGCAGGCAGTGTTTAGCTTTGAAGTCCAGGCTGGAAAATCTGAAATCCATTCCACAGCTCTTAGGAACCATTAAAGATGAGTGATTAGAAAACAGATATGTTCAAATTGTACTGTAAGAAGGTCTACCTGTAGGATTAATGCATGTAAAATGGATTGGATGGAGGCGAAGATGAAAGGTAGAAATACCAATAAAGAAGCTGATAAGTCCAGTTAGGAAGTGCTCAGGACCCGTTATGTTGGGCTTTTTTGGCTGTAAGAAAGAGAGACTTGTGCAGGCCACTTTAATATCAGGTGTTGTTTAAAGGATGTGCAGAGATTAGGACAGGAACTAGACCTGAACACCCCAGGATCCAAGACAGCTCTGGGGATGAAAGACTCTTTCCATTTTTCTCTCCCATGGTCTCTCCCCCATACTTCTTTGTGTCTCCTCCACTCTCCTCTTGGGCTCCAAGGCCATCTGCCCTTAGTTTCATATCCAAGCCACAGAAAGAGCCTCTCAAGAAGATTCAGTTAATTAAATCACCCCAATAGGTGTCCTCAGTCAGCAGCCCCCAGTGTACAATGAACAGCTGATTGATCCTTCCTTGACTGGGTAGGCTGTAGGCTGGCCAAGTGAGGAGGAAGCAGTTGGATACAGCTGGCACATAATTAATATTTCTACTGGTGGTATGTCAGTAGAGGAGAGGGTGGCTTTCATTTTAAACCAAAAATCAACTGAATTAAATACAGTTCTTCATTATGCTATAGCTAGCACTGTAAACTTGATCAAATCAGTTATTTTCTCACTGCCTTAGTTTCTATGTCATTCAAACAGAAATAAAAGTTACAGCACTTTAGAATTCAGCATTTTTCAGAATGACTAGGCCACATTTAGTTAACATGAGATTTCACTTCTGTGCTACTTCTGGTTAACTGAGAATAACAATACCTTATATGTGTAATTACAGTTTGCAAATCAGGTTAATATCCATTTGATTTGATCCTCACAAGAAACCTTTAAAGTAGGTGATATAGTTTGGCTCTGTGTCCCCACCCAAATCTCATCTTAAATTATACTCCCATAATTCCCATGTGTTGTGGGAGGGACCTGGTGGGAGATCATTTGAATCATGGGGGTGGTTCCCCCCATACTGTTCTCATGGTAGTAAATAAGTCTCACAAGATCTTATGGTTTTATCAGGGGTTTCTGCTTTTGCATCTTTCTCATTTTCTCTTGCCACTGCCATGTAAGAAGTGCCTTTCACCTCCCGCCATGACTCTGAGGCCTCCCCAGCCATGTGAAACTGTTAAGTTCAATTAAACCTCTTTTTCTTCCAAGTCTCGGGTATTTCTTTATCAGCACTGTGAAAATGGACTAATACAGTAAATTGGTACCAGTAGAGTGGGGCACTGCTGAAAAGATACCCAAAAATGTGGAAGCAACTTTGGAACTGGGTAACAGGCAGAGGTTGGAACAGTTTGGAGAGCTCAGAAGAAGACAGGAAAATGTGGGAAATTTTGAAACTTCCTAGAGACTTGTTGAATGGCTTTGACCAAAAGCCTTATAGTGATATGGACAATAAGGTCCAGACTGAAGTGGTCTCAGATGGAGATGAGGAACCTGCTGAGAACTGGAGTAAAGGTGACTCTTGTTATGTTTTAACAAAGAGACTGATGATGTTTTGCCCCTGCCCTCGAGATTTGTGGAACTTTGAACTTGAGAGAGATGATTTGGGGTATCTGGTGGAAGAAATTTCTAAGCAGCAAAGCATTCAAGAGGTAACTTCGGTGCTGTTAAAGGTATTCAGTTTTATAAGGGAAGCAGAGCATAAAAGTTTGGAAAATTTGCAGCCTGACAATGTGAAAGAAAAGAAAAACCCATTTTCTGAGGAGAAATTCAAGCTGGCTGCAGAAATTTGCATAAGTAATGAGGAGCTGAATGTTAATCCCTAAGACAATGGGGAAAATGTCTGCAGGGTATGTCAGAGGTCTTCATGGCTGCCCCTCCCATCACAGGCCTGGGGTCCTAGGAGAAAATAGTTTTGTGGGCCGGGCCCAGGGTCCCCATGCTGTGTGCAGCCTAGGGACTTGGTTTCCTGTATCCCAGCTGCTCCAGCTGTGCCCAAAAGGGTCTTGGGCCATGGCTTCAGAGGGTGCAAACCCCAAGTCTCGGCAGCTTCTATGTGGTGTTGAGCCTGTGAGTGCACAGAAGTCAAGAATTGGGGTTTGCGAACCTCCACCTAGATTTCAGAAGATGTCTGGAAATGCCTGGATGCCCAGGCAGAAGATTGCTGCAGGAGTGGGGCTCTCATGGAGAACTTCTGCTAGGGCAGTGCAGAAGGAAAATATGGAGTCGGAGCCCCAACACAAAGTCCCCCTGGTGCACCACTTAGTGGAGCTGTGAGAAAACAGCCACTGTCCTCCAGACCACAGAATGGTAGATCCACTGACAGCTTGCACTGTTCTTCTGGAAAAGCAACAGACACTCAATGCCAGCCTATGAAAGCAGCTGGGAGGGAGGCTGCACCCTGCAAAGCCACAGGGGTGGAGCTGCCCAAGACCATGGAAACCCACCTCTTGCATCAGCATGACCTGGATGTGAGACCTGGAGTCAAAGGAGATCATTTGGAGCTTTAAAATTTTGGACTTGCATAGGCCCTGTAACTACTTTGTTTTGGCCAATTTCTCCCATTTGGAATGACTGTATTTACCCAATACCTGTACCCCCATTGTATCTAGGAAGTAACTAGCTTGATTTTGATTTTACAGGATTATAGGTGAAAGGGACTTGCCTTGCCTCAGATGTGACTTTGGACTGTGGACTTTTGAGTTAATGCTGAAATGAATTAAGACTTTGGGGGACTGTTGGGAAGGCATGATTGGTTTTGAAATGTGAGAACGTGAGATTTGGAGGGGCCAGGGATGGAATGATATGGTTTGGCTGTGTCCCCACCCAAATCTCATCTTGAATTATACTCTCATAATTCCCATGTGTTGTGGGAGGGACCCAGTGGGAGATCATTTGAATCATGGGGGCAGTTTCCCTATACTGTTCTTGTGGTAGTGAGTAAGTCTAATGAGATCTGGTGGGTTTATCAGGGGTTTCTGCTTTTGCATCTTTCTCATTTTTCTCTTGCCACCACCATGTAAGAAGTGCCTTTTGCCTCCCTCCATGATTCTGAGGCCTCCCCAGCCATGTGGAACTGTAAGTCCAATTAAACCTCTTTTTCTTTCCAGTCTCAGGTGTGTCTTTATCAGCAGCATGAAAATGGACTAATATAGTAGGTAAGACAGACATTGTTACCTCCAATTTTCTAAGATCCAAGGAGGTTACATGACTTACTGAAGGTTACATGGCTATTAAGTGACAAAGCCAAGACTTGAATTTTCATCTTCAAACCCCAAGTCCAATGTGTTCTCAAGGTTTGGGTTACTTGGTCTTACATAAGCCATTATATATGACAGATCTGCTATATATATATATATATATATATCAAAATGATTGTCTTCCTGCTCTTTCTCTTCTTGTCTTCTTATTGCCTCTCATGTTCTTCTGTATTTTTAATTTATCACAGAAGTCTCTGTCTGGCTTTCAGCAATGAAGGGTTTGGTTGTAGAAGTTCCAAGGCTTCCCTTAGCATTGATCTTTGCTTCCTGAACTGCAGGGAGACACTCCATCACAGTCACTACTGTCGCCTCAGCTGGGAACATTGGGGAGGATGGAATCCTGAGCTGCACTTTTGAACCTGACATCAAACTTTCTGATATCGTGATACAATGGCTGAAGGAAGGTGTTTTAGGCTTGGTCCATGAGTTCAAAGAAGGCAAAGATGAGCTGTCGGAGCAGGATGAAATGTTCAGAGGCCGGACAGCAGTGTTTGCTGATCAAGTGATAGTTGGCAATGCCTCTTTGCGGCTGAAAAACGTGCAACTCACAGATGCTGGCACCTACAAATGTTATATCATCACTTCTAAAGGCAAGGGGAATGCTAACCTTGAGTATAAAACTGGAGGTGAGTTACTTTTGGAGAGAGATTTTTTAAAGCACCAAAAGTATTTGAGGCTAAAGATTATGAGTTGCTTATGAAATATGTTGTGACCAATATCAGACAATGATGCTCCCAATTCTGCTAACAGCTGTTTTTGCCATTTTATGGCCAAGACTCACACCAACCCCAAAAGTAGCCAACTATAAGAGAGGCCTTAAAAATCTTTTGTTCTGGGTTCTCTCTGCTTCAGAATTTCCAGGTGTGTTCTCTATTCAACAAAATAAATGTAGCCTCTTTTGTGGTAGCCCCTGGTACAGCTAATAAGAGCAGCCTAGCCTGGGACATTTCCACGCTAAGTAGACCCAAGCGCAATCCTGAAATCAGTATCTTCAGAGACTCATGACAGTGAGTGCATTTTAGAAGTTCAAAGGGAACTAACCAAAACGAAAACAACATTGTCCTATAAACTCATTAATTCCCCTTCCCCTGCAACAATGAAATCCACCCTTTGTTGCCAACCCAATTTAACATATGTTTTCTGAATTTATATACAAGGGACTCAGGTACTGTGAGAGTATAAAGATGATTAAACAGATTTCCCCTACCCTTACAGAGCTCATAATATAGATCTCACAGAGTTAGGGGTCAGGACAGAGATAATAAAAGTCTGTAAATGATAATAATTAGTAAAGTGTATCAAATGCTTTAAGAGAAATATAAATGGAGTGATTGAGAAGAAGAGAGAGATCCCGTTCAAATGCATAGGAGGGAAGGGATGGGAAAGCCCCCTGGAGAAGCTGGCATTTGAGGGGAGCCTTGAAGGATAGGCAGAAACCGGGCCTTTCCAGCCTAAACTAGTATGCACAGGTCTTTCTTGCACACCTCATAACATGCATATGCAATGATTCGAAGCTCAGATCTAGAATCAGACCTGTGTAAGTACAGTGGCCTGGGCAAAGCAATCTCTCTGAGCCTCAGTTTCTTCATCTTAAAATGGGGTCATGTCAAAGGGATACTGGAGCCAACTGAAAGAGCTTCCAATGGCAAAGCTGGAACAATTTAAGCAACAAAATAAGTAACATAGTATTGAATTATAACTCAAAGGTATAGAATAAATACATATGACTTCATACTTATTTAAATAAATGAGGGATATGAAACAAATTCCCCTTACAGATGAATTCCAAATAATTTATTTAGATCTCTTCCCTCCAAAAAGTGGAGCTTGAAACCTTCCCTATCCCACTCAGGGTATATTGGACTTAGTGAAGTCCAGCTTCCAAAGAAATCCGGCAAACACTGCTTTAGCCAGGTGATCCAGGTTAACATCATTAATAAGTCATGTTAACAGCATGTACCTTCTGATATAATGTGATGGGAAGGGCACTTTACCTCCTGTGCTCTTCCTCTCTAAAACCTGTAACCTCAGTCTAATCAGGAGAAAACATCAGATGAATTCTAACAGAGGGGCAACCTACAGAATACCTAACCAGTACTCCTCAGAACTGTCAAGGTCATGGAAAATACCTAACCGGTACTCCTCAAAATACCTAACCAGTACTCCTCAAAACTGTCAACGTCATGGAATATACAGAAAATTGGGAAAACATGACAGACTAGAAGAAACTCAAGCAACATGATGACTAAAAGCATGGTGGTGTTCTGGAAGGAATCTTGGAACAGAAAAAGAACATCAGTGGAAAAACTGTTGAAATACAAATCAAATCTGGAATTTAGTTGATAGTAATATACCATTGGCGGTTTCTCCGTTTTTTCTTTTTTTTCTTTTCTTTCTTTTTTTTTTTTTTTTTTTTGAGATGGAGTTTCACTCTTGTTGCCCAGGCTGGAGTACAACAGCACGATCTCGGCTCACAGCAACCTGCGCCTCCCAGGTTCAAGTGATTCTCCTGCCTCAGCCTCCCAAGTAGCTGGGATTACAGGCATGCACCTCCACAGCCGGCTAATTTTGTATTTTTAGTAGAGACTGGGTTTCTTCATGTTGGTCAGGCTGGTCTCAAGCTCCCGACCTCAGGTGATCTGCCCACCTCAGCCTCCCAAAGTGCTTGGATTACAGGCGTGTGCCACTGCGCCTGGCCTCCAGTTTCTCAGTTTTGACTAATGCACATTGGTTAAGATGTTGACATTAGAGGAAACTGGGTGAGGCCTATGCCAGAACTCTATACCTTCTATGCAACTTTTCTGTACACGTGAAATTATTTCAAAATTAAAAGTTGATTTTTTTTTAATGGGGATGATAGTATTCACAGGAGTGTTGTGAGGATCAAATGAAATAAGGTCTGGAATACAGTACTGGCACAGAATATACCCTCAATGAATGGTGGTTCATTGTCATGTAAACTTAGTTTCCCACATCATCGCCCAAGAGCGTGTTCCCTGCCTGCTCCGAGCATGAGTCTTGTCTCCCCTGCTAGAGAACAGACTCCTTAAGGGTTAGGCAAGGGCTTTCCTTTTACTACTTACTCAGCACCAGCTCAGTCCCAGGTAAAGGAAGACGCCAAATAAATTAATAAATTATATTTTACCCCAATAAAAAGTCCAGGCTTAAACATTTTCCCACAACTGTCTCTCTGCCTGGATATGGGGGGAAGCTAAGTCTTAATTTCAAAATGCAGTTAACTCTCCTGCGAGGAGAATTACCTTGGAGGAAAACAAATGTCTGTTTCTATCCCTGGATACCAGAGCTGGACAATCTCTACCCAAGCAAACTCCAAATCCCTGTGATGACAAAGCTTGTGAATGGAATTTCTGTGGGTGATAGATGAATGCTGTTTGTTTCTTCTTTCTCCTTCTCCCTACCCACCCTAACTTTATCCTCCAGGGAGAAAAATACATAAAATCCAGAAGCTTCACAGATCCCTAGGAAAATGCCTAATTCCCTAAGGGATAGGCTTTTTTATGACCACTGAAGTTCCTCTTACTTGGAGAAAATTTTCTATTGTAACCATAATATACCTAGAATTTAGGTCCTTGGGGTTTGTGATTGGCCAAAGGGTTGTGATGTATAGCAATACTATGAGCAAATAATTATTCGCACCTATAATACAATGGGCTATACACAGGTGGACCTCTGAGGAAGTACTGAGTGGCTTCAATGATAAAAAAAAAAAAAAAAAAATGACTGCATTTTTAAGGCCTAGCGCTTCAAAGGCTATATTGTCTTACGTGTCTGACTTTGGCATCTGCCCTTTCTGACTTTTGACCCTGCAGCCTTCAGCATGCCGGAAGTGAATGTGGACTATAATGCCAGCTCAGAGACCTTGCGGTGTGAGGCTCCCCGATGGTTCCCCCAGCCCACAGTGGTCTGGGCATCCCAAGTTGACCAGGGAGCCAACTTCTCGGAAGTCTCCAATACCAGCTTTGAGCTGAACTCTGAGAATGTGACCATGAAGGTTGTGTCTGTGCTCTACAATGTTACGATCAACAACACATACTCCTGTATGATTGAAAATGACATTGCCAAAGCAACAGGGGATATCAAAGTGACAGGTGGGTTCCTGCATGCTTTTGTATGGATTTACTGGGGAAAGAGTAAAATCTAAATTAAAATTTAACTTCATTAATAGATATATACCAAGGCACAAAAATCTCTAGAGTCCTCTTCACTAAGAATTTGATCACTCAATTCCAGTTGAGATTGTATTACATAAGAGAAAGCCCAACACAAAACAATATGTATGGCATATAGGTCAAAGATGGCAATTAGGTTTCATCTTGTATGCTTTCTCATTGACTGGTTGTCTGGAGAACAGTGTTTAGGATTCTGAGGCTCTGTGTAACTCAGTAGGACTACCTTGCTACAGCAGTGAGGAAGTGATAATTACTTGACATCTTTGATATGTTCAGCTGGACTTCAAGCCCTCCAAAACTTAGGCTAGAAACCAAGGTTTGCTTCCACCCTGCCTTTGAGAAGGCTGTGAATCTGAAGACTAAAAGTCTGGAGTCTGACTTAGTTTTATTCATCCCTCATGAGACTGACTCATGATCCCACTAATATTGGCTCAAGATTAATCTGAAACCCCTAGATGGAACTGGTCTCCCAGCACCCTAGCTGAGAGCTGGCTGAGAAGACCCAGCACCCTAGTCTCCCTGCAGTGCTTTAGTGCATACAAAACCTTAGGTTGAGCTAGTATCAAGAAAATGCATAGACTGAATTCTGACTTTTAAGACCATCCTTCCTGGGGCGAAATTGGATTCAAACTGTAGTGAAAGGAGTACGTCAGGAGGCTGCCATTTAAATCAAGCCTAGCACTGGGCACAAAATACCTTACACATTATAAGTACCCTATAAATGTTTGCCGAATCTAACTGAATAAATCATATTCTTATGATTTTTTAATTTGAAATTATACATATGAACCCAAAATTATCTACAACTCAGATATATCAATTTAAAAAATAAATTACACTCACACACACAAAAGTAACCTATGGAATGGGAGAAAATATTTGTAAATCATTTTAAGGGGTTTCAATCCAGAATATATTAAGAACTCCTACAACTCAACAACAACAAAAATCAAATAACCTCATTTTAAAATGGGCAAAGTACTTGAAGAGACATTCAACCCAAGATGATATAAAAATAGCTAAAAAGCAAATGAAAAGATGCTCAACATCACTAATCATTGGAGAAATGCAAGTCAAAACCACAATGAGATATCACCTAATGCCCATTAGGGTGGCTACTCTAAAAACAAAATAAGGCAAAAACAGAAAATAACATGTTGGTGAGGATGCGGAAAAATTGGAACCCTCATGCACTGTTGGTGGGACTGTAAAATGGTGCAACTTCTATAGAAAATAGTATAAAGTGTCATCAAAACAATTAAAAAAAAGAACTACTGAGATATGGAGCCAGCCGGACTTCGTGGGTCGAGTGGGGACTTGGAGAACTTTTCTGTCTAGCTAGAGGATTGCAAATGCACCAATCAGCACTCTGTCTAGCTAAAGGATTGTAAATGCACCAATCAGCACTCTGTAAAAATGAACCAATCAGCACTCTGTAAAATGGACCAATCAGCGCTCTGTAAAATGGACCAATAGGCAGGAAGTGGGCGGGGCCAAATAAGGGAATAAAAGCTGGCCACTGGAGCCAGCAGCAGCAACCCGGTAGGGCTGCTGTCTGTGATGTGCAGGGTTTGGTGTTTTGCTGTTCACAATAAATCTTGCTGCTGCTCACTCTTTGGGTCCACACTAGCTTTAAGAGCTGTGACTCTCACTGCGAAGGTCTGCAGCTTCATTCCTGAAGTCAGTGAGACCACAAACCCACTGGGAGGAACAAACAACTCCAGATGCACCATATCTGAACATCTGAAGGAACAAACTCCGGACACACCATCTTTAAGAATTGTAACACTCTCCAAAAAAAAAAAAAAAGAACTGTAACACTCAGGTTGGGCATGGTGGCTCACACTTACACTATCATATGATCTAACAGTCCTGCTTCTGGGTATGCCTTCAAAAGAATTCAGAGTCTGAATGAGATATTTGAACACCCATGGTCACAGTAGCACTATTCACCAAAGTCAAGAGATAGAATCAACCCAAAATGTCCATTAGTAGATGAGTAGATAAACAAAATATGGTATACACATACAATAGAATACCATTCAGGCTCAAAAAGGAAGGAAATCCTATCATATGCTATGACATGAATGAACTTTCAGGACATTATCTATGTGAAATAAGCCAGTCACAAAAAGACAAATACTATATGATTTAAACAAAGCATCTAAAGCAGTCAAATGCACAGAAACAGAAAGTAGAATGGTGGTTAGCAGAGGGCAGGGTGGAAGAGTTGAAGGAGAAAGGTTTTTGTTTAATGAGTATAGAGTTTCAGATTTGCAAAATGAAAAAGTTCTAATGATTTGTTTTATAACAACGTGGATATACTTAACACTACTGAACTGTACACTTAAAAATGCTTAAGATGGTAAATTTTGTTGTTTTTACTGCAATTTTTAAAAAGTATCTAACTAAAAAATTACATATGAGAGCGAGAGCTCTTGCACCATCTTGAGGAACAAATTGGCAACTATCCTGGTTAGGATTATTAGTTGCCTGTAACAGAAAACCAATATAAATAAATCTAGTCTGAAAGGGAAGTGTAGGAAGTGTACTAGAATGTTGTGGAACCAAAGACAGGAAGTTCAGTTGACTTCAGGATCAACTGGAACCAGGAACTTAAATCCCATTGAGATTCTTTTTCTCTCATTTCTACTTAATTCTCTCTTTACTCTCTTGTTTTAGTCCATATGGCAAGACGTGATTGCCAAGCATTCCTATATTTAAAAATCTCTTACTCAAGAGAGTGGTGAGACTGAACCTCAATTCATCAGTCTCATTCTACATTCCCAAGAAGGACTTTGACTCCACTTGGGTCAGCTGCCCATACCTAGGCCAATGAGGCAGTATCTGATGAAAGGCCTTCCCAGAAGAGAAGGAGGGACTGAAGTATTGGTCATTTAAAACAATGGGTGCTGACAACAGTATCTCAGTCCAGTTCCCAGTAAAAAGCTCCAAGCTGTGTAAATAATGTCTTCTAGTAGCAAGGGCCACAACTGAACAAGACATAGACATTGAGCACACCTTTTATTCAATTAACAGATCTGTCTTCTTTACATGTTTGTTGGATACATCAAAACAAGTGTTCGAAGTGTCAGGCTAGGATGAAATACAACTTTTGGTAGCTCAAAATTAAGAAAATAGCAGAATTTCTTATTGTTGTAGACAAAGTAGGTGCTCCATGCATGTTTTTAAACAAGTAGGGCCATGGGATTTACATATTGTGTTCTCTGCCTATACTGCTAATTTAGGTCATTCATTTAACAAATATCTATTGTGTGCCAAGTATGTTCAGAGTACTTTTTTAAGCCCCCTGAGATACTGAAATGAATAGCATAAGTATCAAAAGAGAAGTTAATCACAGTGTAGATTTAGTACCTATGGGAAAGAGTTGTTAATTATGACTGAAGTGGATCCATAGATAAGGCAGAGTTCCGGCTGGGTTTTGAAGAAGAAAAAAAATGGTTTGGATAAAATGGGAAGACCTGAAGTCAGGAGCTTACAGTAATGGTCTGGGGGAGAAATTATGAGAGTATTAACTGGAGCAGGGGCAATGGGAAAGAAAAGGGGGAAGAATCAAAAGTTGCATAAACAAAATAATGTACAGTCCTTGGTGATGCAAATGTGAAAGTCAAGAGAAATCACAAGTCAAAGTGGGTTTGATATTTCTACCCAGGATACTTAGGAGGTTGGTGATGCTACCAGAAAAAAAAAAAAAACCCACCCCAAAACATAGGAGCAATATGTGTGGGGAGTAGATAAGGGTTTTAGAGATGTCGAGTTTGAAATGCCCATAGTGTACCCAGGTAGAGATGCCCAGTGCTTAGCACAATAGCCAGCATGTGATAGGTTTTGGGGAGAACACTACACCCTTACTCCATATATTTCCTTTTATGAGAAGGGATCCCCACCAGTGTCATCTTTTTAGCCTCTCTCTTCCTCCCTCTTTCACTCTTCCTGAGAGAACAAGGAATTAATTTATCTGATTGATGAGTATATTAGGAGCAGCTGGACATAAGTAGCTCAGCTCCTCCTTTTTCTTTTTGTTTTTGCTAACTCTCAGGAAGCCCGTGTACATTCTGCTGTGCTCCTGCAGGCCGTCAGTTGTTCAGGGGTAGAATCTGCTCCTGCAGGAGACTTGCACCAGTCTGGTTCTGTCTGACAGTGGGGAGTCTCGGCTGTAGCCCACTTGCCTAACTACAAAGCCTCATTCTCTATTAACATATTTTCAGCACTAAAGGTGATATTTTGATCTTCCAGTTGCCTTATTTTTTTGTCCTTCTCTTTAATTGGTTCAGAGCTAAGCTGGGGAAGAGGCTGTTATTTATTGGACTTCTTTGAACCCCAATAGTAGGTACTCAGAAATATTTACTGAATAATTATGTTTTTAAATGACATATCTAGCAGCAACTGGAAATCTAGATGTGGAACTCAAGACAGAGTTCAAACTAAGGAGGTAGACTTGGAAATGACTAGCATGAAAGTGATATTTATTAGGCTTGAGTGATGTTGGCTTTATTGTCGTTTTTACAGCCAGTACTTATGGAGTGCTTATTATAGGCCAGACACTGTTCTAAGTGCTTTGCATGCACTAACTCATTAATCCTCATAAGAACCCTATGAAGTAGGTTATTAGTATTCTAGCCCTATTTATAGATGAAGAAACTGGAGCACATACATTGAGTAACTTGCCTAAAGTCACACAGCTGGTAAGTGACAGAGCTGAAATGAAATAAAAGAGATAGGATTGTCTAGGGAGGAAATTGAGCAAAAGAAGTATGATTTCATTTCTTTACATCTACCATTCTCTGCTTCAGAATGAGAATAATACTTCCTAGACACTTTATAGTGGTATGATGAAAGCTAATGTAATGACGTGGATCCTGTAAAGATCACTGCCTGGAGGGAAAATGCGTCTCAAGCCAAGAACTGGCCATGGCTGTTTGTTTAGCCTATTCTTTATTTGGTAACCCATAACAATCTCTTATTGGTATAGTTTTTCATTCGGCTGAGTGTTCACTGGAGTGGACCACAGAATGGAATTTTCTTTGAAGAAAGAGAAAGCTCTACTTTTAAGCCAGTTACGGAGAGGTGGGCAAAGGGGTAAAAAATTGCCTGAATTAGGAACAACTTGTTCTGTTTTTCAGGTACTTTTCTTTGCTAACCAGTCATGTGAAGAAGACATCCAGCTTCTCCTGTATGACCCTAAACTTTTTCTCTCACTTCACAGAATCGGAGATCAAAAGGCGGAGTCACCTACAGCTGCTAAACTCAAAGGCTTCTCTGTGTGTCTCTTCTTTCTTTGCCATCAGCTGGGCACTTCTGCCTCTCAGCCCTTACCTGATGCTAAAATAATGTGCCTCGGCCACAAAAAAGCATGCAAAGTCATTGTTACAACAGGTGAGATTAATCACAAATAGTGTGGGATATTGGTTCTGTGGGTGCTTGTGCTCCTAATGAGAGTCGGATAGCCTTCAGCATCAGCCACAGAAAGAAACATTTAATGACACCAGGGCTGTGACATTATTTCCACTAGTACTGGGAAAGGTAATCATTTGTTAGGTCAGCAAACAGCATAGACTTCATTGACAGACCCATAGGAAAAATAACATACAATTCAAGTATTTATGTAAATTCAAATACCTTTTAAGTTACTCAGTCATCAATGAAGGCAAAATAACTTATTGAAGAGAAAGAGATATTTAGCCCTGAGTAATTACCCTGGATTCCACTGTTATTTATAAAGCATATCATCATTCACATAAAACCCCTCCCTGCCCTTCCAGCCGGCCCCTGTGGACAGTTGGCAGATGACTCACCAACTAGCCCTCCTGCTGAGATTTCCTTCTCACTTCAGTCCTCTGGCTCCAATTATTGTTAGGATATTTCCTTTTGAATATTCTTCTGCATATGAAATGTGTATAAAGCTGAGATCATGAAGTTCCAGTCGATACTCCCATATTACTCAGTGGCATCCCCACCAAGCCTCCAGGGTTACAGCCTCAGAGCTATTTTTGTCTCCCCTCTGTCCCGCATGTCAATTTCTTATCAACCCCTACCTATCACATTTTCCCCTGTGTTGCCTCTCAGATTGACCCTAATCCAGCCTTCATCATCTCACACCCCGACTGGTTTTGAAACACTGTACCTGCTCCTTCCTTTCCCTGTTTTAGCTGATAGGAAACACGGTGCCAGAATCGAAGTATTCTGAAACACGATTTCATCATAGCCTTCCTTTGCTCCAGAGCCTAAAGTGACTCTCTGGGCATAACTATATCGAAGTCAAAGTCACAGAAGCATACCTACCCACCATTACTACCTACCACTACTGCTGCCTACCACTACCTGCTAACTACCATTACTTTCTGGTCTTGCTCCCTCCCTCACTGTCTTTTCCTGGAAATCTTCTCTACTCTGTGGCAATTTATACCCACTACTTCCTTTATCCATTTTAGGAAAATGCTTCCTAGCTTATATCCCACCTCCCCAAGAGTCTTTGTATTTTATATCCTCTTGGCATGCATGTATGATTTATGTCTTACACTCTCCAGGGTACATGTATTCCTTGCCTACATTGCTAAGTCCTCAGAGGCAGGTAAAGATCTGTTGATCTGCTTCTTTTCATTCTTTCTCTTGTTCTCCAAGATTTCACTATAGTGCAGTGAACAAAGGAGATTCTTTGTAAGGAAACCCGCCAGTTTTCATCATTTCCAATCCTCCACAGTTGTCAGCAGAGATTTCCCTAAGGAAACTGTCCCTTGGGAATCTCACTAGTAGAGTGAAAAGCACTTTTTTCTTTCCTTGATTCCCCACAACACTGCAAATGAGTGTTTAATAACCTGCAACTAAATAATATGTCCTATATAACATAGCTGACTCATCTTTACCTTGTATTCCCTTAGAGTAATAATTTACAGCTTTAAAAAAATATCCACGACATACATCTAATGGATAATGTTCACATGCAGCACACGTAGGCTTATATACAATTACCCAGTTAGCTGCAGTCCACCTCTTTCTCCCTGGCACCATAGAGGAATAACCATAAATCAAGTAGATTTTTTAAAGTAAATGAGTAAGGCTGGGCATGGTGGCTCACACCTGTAACCCCAGCACTTTGAGAGGCCAAGATGGGAGGACTGCTTGAGCCCAGGAGTTTAAAACCAACCTGGGCAATATGGTGAGACCCCCATCTCTACAAAAAAATTTAAAAATTAGCCAGGTGTGGAGGTCCACCTGTGGTCCCAGCTACTCAGGAGGCTGAGGTGGAAGGATTGCATGAGCCCAGGAGGTTTAGGCTGCAGTGAGCCAATGTTTGCACCACTGCACTCCAGCCTGGGCAACAGAGTGAGACCCTGTCTCAAAAAAATAATGATAAAAGTAAATGAATAGAACATTATTTGAGACACACATTATAATGGGTAATGGCATTTTAGGCCACACACACTCCCTGGTTAGGAATTGAGGCAGAAACCACCTTTCCACCTCTATTCAGGAGCCTGCCCAGACTCCTCTCAGTTCTCATTTACTATAAGGACCCATCTCTTCTCTTCCTTGAGACTGCCACTGGGATGATACCCCGTTAAGGAGAGATTCAAGCCATCTCTTTTTCCCCAGCAACCCATGGGACCATGTGGCCTCAATAGAACAACATCAAAATACTGAAAAATAAGCCCCTTTCTAAACAAGAGATACACCACGCAGTGGCAGGGAAGCTCTCAGTTCTCAATAATTGTTTTGTGAATGGCTATAATGGTATCTTATTGCTGTTATTTCCACAATCCCAGGGATCTACAGAACTATTTCACCACCAGATATGACCTAGTTTTATATTTCTGGGAGGAAATGAATTCATATCTAGAAGTCTGGAGTGAGCAAACAAGAGCAAGAAACAAAAAGAAGCCAAAAGCAGAAGGCTCCAATATGAACAAGATAAATCTATCTTCAAAGACATATTAGAAGTTGGGAAAATAATTCATGTGAACTAGACAAGTGTGTTAAGAGTGATAAGTAAAATGCACGTGGAGACAAGTGCATCCCCAGATCTCAGGGACCTCCCCCTGCCTGTCACCTGGGGAGTGAGAGGACAGGATAGTGCATGTTCTTTGTCTCTGAATTTTTAGTTATATGTGCTGTAATGTTGCTCTGAGGAAGCCCCTGGAAAGTCTATCCCAACATATCCACATCTTATATTCCACAAATTAAGCTGTAGTATGTACCCTAAGACGCTGCTAATTGACTGCCACTTCGCAACTCAGGGGCGGCTGCATTTTAGTAATGGGTCAAATGATTCACTTTTTATGATGCTTCCAAAGGTGCCTTGGCTTCTCTTCCCAACTGACAAATGCCAAAGTTGAGAAAAATGATCATAATTTTAGCATAAACAGAGCAGTCGGCGACACCGATTTTATAAATAAACTGAGCACCTTCTTTTTAAACAAACAAATGCGGGTTTATTTCTCAGATGATGTTCATCCGTGAATGGTCCAGGGAAGGACCTTTCACCTTGTCTATATGGCATTATGTCATCACAAGCTCTGAGGCTTCTCCTTTCCATCCTGCGTGGACAGCTAAGACCTCAGTTTTCAATAGCATCTAGAGCAGTGGGACTCAGCTGGGGTGATTTCGCCCCCCATCTCCGGGGGAATGTCTGAAGACAATTTTGGTTACCTCAATGAGGGAGTGGAGGAGGATACAGTGCTACTACCAACTAGTGGATAGAGGCCAGGGATGCTGCTCAACCTCCTACCATGTACAGGACGTCTCCCCATTACAACTACCCAATCCGAAGTGTCAACTGTGTCAGGGCTAAGAAACCCTGGTTTTGAGTAGAAAAGGGCCTGGAAAGAGGGGAGCCAACAAATCTGTCTGCTTCCTCACATTAGTCATTGGCAAATAAGCATTCTGTCTCTTTGGCTGCTGCCTCAGCACAGAGAGCCAGAACTCTATCGGGCACCAGGATAACATCTCTCAGTGAACAGAGTTGACAAGGCCTATGGGAAATGCCTGATGGGATTATCTTCAGCTTGTTGAGCTTCTAAGTTTCTTTCCCTTCATTCTACCCTGCAAGCCAAGTTCTGTAAGAGAAATGCCTGAGTTCTAGCTCAGGTTTTCTTACTCTGAATTTAGATCTCCAGACCCTGCCTGGCCACAATTCAAATTAAGGCAACAAACATATACCTTCCATGAAGCACACACAGACTTTTGAAAGCAAGGACAATGACTGCTTGAATTGAGGCCTTGAGGAATGAAGCTTTGAAGGAAAAGAATACTTTGTTTCCAGCCCCCTTCCCACACTCTTCATGTGTTAACCACTGCCTTCCTGGACCTTGGAGCCACGGTGACTGTATTACATGTTGTTATAGAAAACTGATTTTAGAGTTCTGATCGTTCAAGAGAATGATTAAATATACATTTCCTACACCATTGTCTGCCTGGTTTGTCAAAAAAAGTGAGTGAAGGGAAGATGGACTAAAAAGCCATAGAGCAGGTTCTAAAGATTAGTACCTAACACTTAACAGGCCTTCAATAAATGTTTGTTGAGTGAATGGGTAAATGAATGGGAGGAAAGATAAGACTGTGAGTATGGGCTGAGTGGCTGGGTCTAGTTTCTTAGTGAAATTCCACTGGGCTTATACCAGCTTGGCACATTTCCATCTTGGGAGATACCAGTAGCAATGGGCTTCAGGCAGATACATGTAGGAGAGTACATACAGGTGGACAAACTAATTGCTATATTGTCAAGAAATCTGACTTTCACTACTGAGAAATTATTAAATTCTCAAACATTAGAGCTGTAAAAAACTCAAAGTCATCTTTTCTAGTCCTTTAATTTTTCAGATAAAGACCCAGAGACTCAGGGTAAAAGAAATGTAACTGGCTATGCTCAGATTTTATAACATTATAAAAGCCACACTGGTAATTGATAGAGAGATGTAATCTACAGAAAATTTAATTGCCAAATGGAAAATTCCCAGAGGATTTTTAGACCAACTTTGCCCTGTTGCATTCCCAGTTTGGTCCCAATATAGGCCTTCTGCAAGAAGAGATCAATGCCGAACCGAACTGTGAAAGCATGAACAATCCCGGCCCAGATTAATTATTTGGCTTTGTCCGTGAGCACACAGTAGGTACATTAGACAACAGATGTGTCATATCACCCCGACTGCAAGGACCAGATTTTGAGGTACACCATAGACATCTGGGGATGTTCAAACCGATGTGCCAAAGGAGAAAACATTTCAGAAGTGTCGACACATTTGAGGGAACAGACAAGTCAAACTTCAAGGTGAAGTATGGGCTGTCAGCTATCTCCAGGTTGTAAATACACAATGACCTCAATCTGTGCATTGTTAACTGGGGGAGAGAAGTGTGCAGGGGTTATTATTACATAATAAGGATTCTGCCCTGTGGCGTATGTCATGTGCTTTGGTTCTGTTGATGAAACTTGTAATTCCCAGTCTGCTTCCAGCTGGTGAAGTCTCCACACATCCATCAGGCTGCTCTAATTCCCACTATATTACTATGTGTTTGAACTGTTTGCTCCTTCGAACCTTGGCTTATTTCATCTTTCATGGAATCATTCCCAGGAGTTTCAATATGGGAGTCATCAATGAAAATAAACAGAGTCACAGAAACAGATGCCTTGTCCATGAGCACACAGTAGATACCTTAGATAACAGATGTTATCACATCAGCCCAACTGCAAGGACCAGATTATGAGGTACACCACAGACATCTGGGGATGCTCAAACCTAAGTGCCAAAAGCTAAAACATTCCAGAAGTATGGATACATTTGCTGTCTCCCATCTTTCTTTAAATTTTGCCCATAATCAAGGTCCCTCCAAAATTCTTCTTTCCTCATGAAGCTATCTATCACTTCATGGTCCAACGCACCGTTATGTTACTCTTTTCTTTAGTCTACACATGCATTTTTTTCATTGCTGTGCACTTGGACTCACTTGAAGATGATAACAAAATAAGGATGGGACCCAGGCAGCCCTTGGAAGTTTGCTCTGTGAAAGAGGATCAAGTAGATATTCCCTGGCAGGCTTGTTTACTGATGGTGTCTGCTGGGCCAATGCAATTAATTTGCAGCCTGGAAACAGCAGGTCTGTAGTTCTCACTCCAGGAGCCCCTGTCTACTGGAAGATTGGCTCCCTTGATGATGGCATTGCCTTGACTCTTCTCAAAGTCATAACTTTGACCTTCAGCTTTATCTTATCTCATCAATTCAAATTGCCTGGCCTAAGAAGTATTCTTAGTAGTTTCAATTGAAAGATCTCTTACCCCAAACTCTAAAAGTTACTTTAAATAAGAACTTTATGGACACTTTGGTCTTATATCCTTTCCTTAGAACAAACCAAAAGCTATGTTCAGTTCATCTAGCCTATGAGCTGCTCATGGTAGACTGGAACCACTTCCTTTCTCTCTAGTTTTCTAATTTGCAGTTTCCAAACTTTATTTGTAACCATTCGTGTATCATTATAGGGAGAACTATTTAGGTTTTGACAGATTAAATCTGAGAATCTTATAGTATTTAATATGACTTTGAAGAGATGGATCAGGTAGCCATGTATAACTCAAGTGGTGAGTCCAGGTCTTATACCTCAGGTAGGTAAGACTGGATGAGAGACAGGGTGATAGCATAAAGATGGCAGTTTCTAGTGAGAGGCAGCAGGTACTCCCGAAACAGCCAAGTCTCAGCCTGCTAAATGAGGCTGTATGAGAAAAATGATAATTGTCTTCAATTCCTCTCACCTTCCCTTTTATCTGTTTTTCCTTATGGTTCAATCAACCCTCCTCTAGGTCTTGTGTACTCTCCATCTCTCTACTATTACTTCCATCAAAACTCCCGCCAGCACTGCCCCCAACAAAAATGCTCCCTGGCATTCAGCGATACATGAGAAGGTAGTTTATCAACTATAATTTGCATTAGCTTAATGCACTGCCCTCCCATATAAGCAAAGCCTTACTTTATTGAAATAAACCTACTAAGAGTGAAGAATAAGGTATCACAAAAATATCAAACTCATGAGAGATACTTGGGGTATCATACTGTAGACTGACAATTCTCAGTCTGGAGGCTCAGGGGTGCTTTATAGCAATACAGATATTAACGCCTCCATGCCCCATTGCTGAGTTAAGAATCACTGGGAGGCCAGGTGTGGTGGCTTATGCCTGTAATCCCAGTGCTTTGGGATGCCAAGCCAGGAGGATCACTTGAGGCCAGGAGTTCAAGACCAGACTGGGCAACATAACAAGACCCTGTCCTTACAAAAAAAATTTTTTTTAATTAACCAAGTGTGGTGGCATGCACCTGTAGTCCCAGCTACTCAGGAGGCTAAGGCGGCAGGATATTTTAAACCCAGGAGTTCAAGGCTGCAGTGAGCTAGGATCATGCTGCTGCACTCCAGCCTAGGTGACAGGGTGAGACCCTATCTCTTAAAAAAAAATTCACCATGTAACATGAGACATGTTTGAAGAGAACACATCACCTATATAAACATGTAACTATTGTGGAAATCTGAGGTCTACTGATGCAAATAACCACCTTTATAAAAGGGAAGGAAATGGAGTGCCTCTTATGGGTCAAGCTAGGTATTTCTCTCATCCAATCCTTATCCCATAAGGTGGTATCATTTTGACCCTAGCACCATCACCATCACCATTTTATAGAGGAGAAAATATGTTCTGAGAGGTTACGTAACTCACCCAGGATCACATAGCCAACAGGTTAACCAGAATTCAAACCCAAATCTATCATCACAACCCACACTATTTCTGAAAGAGTATAAGAATGTGCAAAATTGCTACATAAGGTTTAAAACATTGTATGAATATTGACAATCATATTCTTATTTGTATCGAAATATGAGGATTTGTTGGGAGGTTCAGCTTCATAAGATCTTCAGCCATCTGTGAGGAGGATGGTTCCTCTCCCTGGAGGAGACAGCAATGACTGCTCAATTACGCTTAGGCCTTCTCTGATGCACAAACGGACTGGCAGTGACAGTGCAAGCCTCTTCCTAGCTCACTGTGAGGACACTGCCTTGTGCTCACGCATCTCCTTGGAGCTATCCTTCAAGGCTTCACATGTAGTCTGTAATCTGATGAGGCAGAAATCCCTTTACCAGATGATGCAAAATGTTTCCTGAGACCAGATTATGTGTTCCTTGTTGTTGGCCTCAAGTATACCTGGAAAGAACAGATTTAATTATTAAATCCTCCTGAGTCTACTAATGTTGAGAATAGATTACATATGGTTCTAGCCTCTTTGCCATGACCCACCACACTGCTTTTATATAGTCAAATCTATCAATAATTTCTATTTTGGTTTCTATCTTTATATTTAAGTACTTCCCTTAGTACTTAGGCCTTCTGTAGCCCTCAATTATACAAAAAATTAATCTTTACATTTTAATGCTTCCATGTTTTATTTTTAACATTTAAATATTTAATCCAATCTGAAATTAATTTTTTGTATATTCTGAGAAGAATTAAGTATTATTTTTTCAAGTGATTTTATAATACCATTTGTTAATTTATCCTTACCCTCACTGACTTTTTAAAATATTTTATTATATGTATTTTTCTTACATATACTTGTATCTGTTTCTGAACTTTTGATAACCTTTGAGACCTACAGTTTTAGCCAGCATATACAGAAAGGAAAATGCTATGTGCACATACATTCACCCAGCCATTCCCTGGAGATGGGTAAGAAAGAACAAAATAGAGGAAAAAATTAGAAATTATTAGTGAATAATCAAAAAGGATTTCTCAGTTTAATAAATAAACACTTGTAAGAAGTCTTCCTGGTGTAAATTAGGGTATTACCATTCTCCTTTAATGAACAAGGAGCAAACGGGTAGATACAATCTGGATAAAGATACACAAGTGTCAGGGAATTCTTGTGTCCATTAAACTTCTCTCCCCACCTCATCCATTTATGAGCCAGAGTATTCTACTTACCTACTTTCAGGGTCAAGCCTGAGCATACTCTGAACAGAGTTCCTGCTTGGGCAAAATTTATATTAGCAGTGCCTGTCTAAATAGTACCTACTTCATCTAGTAACTGTGACAATTAAATGAGATAATTCATAAAAAGCAGTTATTACATTGCCTGCCTGTATTAGTCTGCTAGGGCTACCATCACAAAATATCACAGATTGGGTGGCTTAAACAATAGACATTTATTTCTCACAGTTCTGGAGCCTGGAAGTCTAGGATCAAGTGTCAGCAGATTTGGCTTCTCCTGAGGCCTCTCTGTCTTGTAGACAGCTGCCTTCTTGCTGTGTACTCACAGCATTTTCTCTGTGTGTGTGCACTCCTGATGTCGCTCCCTTTTCTTTTTCTTTTTTTCCACTGAGGCATTTTATTTGTAAGTATGTATCACATCCTTAGAAAAAGAATCCCAGGATTTTCCCTCCTGTATGTTTTTGTCTTACTTCTTTGTGGTCCATGATGCCAGCTTAGATTGTCAGTACAATGACACCAAACTGGCGAGATGGGAGCAGATTTGTCTGCCATTTTTCTAGATCTTTGAGTTGCACATCAAATCTGGGCCTGATCACTCCATACTTGTTTAACCTGCCTGTGAGGTTCACAGCAGTTTTCCCAGCTCTGTGATCATCAGCGATTTCAAATTTGCCAATGTAACCATGCTTCATCAACACAGTTAGAAACCAGATGATGACTTTGGAGCATAGCCTAATAAGAACCTGGCATTTGCCTCCTTTTCCAGTGTTGATGTTCTTGAGAGCATCAGCCAGGGCGTTCATGCATTCCATTATGGCAGCATGTAGAGATGGCGGAAGGAGGATGGGAAGGGAGGGCACATGGAGTTCCCCTTTTGAGGACACCCACCATACTGGATTTGGGCCCACCCAAATGACCTCATTTGACCCTAATTGCCTTTTTAAAGGCTGTATCTTCAAATAGAGTCATGTTCTGAGGTATCCTGGAGGTCAGGAATTTAACATATAAATCTGGGGTGGGGCGGGGGCACAGTTCCATCCATAACATGGGCATATATGAAGGAACTAATAAAAATTAGCTATTATTAAGTACGTGTGGTGGTCAGAGCGAATGAACATCAAGGAACCACAAAAGAAAAAACATGAACTTTGCTTTTTTCCCTCCATTTGACCAAGAATAGATGTTTAATGCTTGAACAGCTGCGGCACAACAGAAAGTCTTGTCCAAATAGCTACTGATAGCAAACCAGGCCAGAGGACACTTAAAAACTAGAGCACAATGGCTCAGCAGGTAGATGCTGTTAAGGGAACAGAATTGGCTAATGGCCTCCCCAAACCACAGGTTACTATTTTAAATGTTACAAAAGACCATAGATCATGAAAAGATAAAAAATAAACCAGTGTGGGTCCAATCTTCAAAGGAGGAGAATTGAGTGATAAAGGGGCAGTTTGTCTCCATGTGACTAAACTAAATTGCTGAGTGCTAGGGATGTTTTTAGGCTAGAGGTAGATTACAATCTTTTCTGTCCTGGGGCTCTCAGGATAGAAACCGGTGTGTGTGTGTGTGTGTGTGTGTGTGTGTGTGTTTTCTTTCCTTCACCCTTAACTTTTTGTAGTCCTTGAAGACTGAAAACACCTGTGTGCTGGCCAGTCAGGCAAAAGGGATACAGACACATTTACTTCTAGAGCTACGTAGTGTAAACATAAAAGAGGGCTTTTCTGGGGAAACACAATCAGATTTCAAGGAGCAGGGTAATCTCTGGGCCCTTATAGCACTTAGGCTGGGTATAGCTGTACTGGACTCATCAGGTTCAAGTGTTCCAGTAGAGAGTGACCCTTCCCCACAGTAATGGTCTATATTATATTTGCAGGAAAAGTAGGCAACCATGATGCTATGCAAGCCCTCAGTTGAAGAAATAGCCCTGTTGGAAATTGGAACCCCCAATGCTCAGGAGCTGTTATTAGGTTGTTCTTCCAAGGACTTCCAGGGCCTTTCAGATGTATATCTGCTCAGATAAAGAAAAGGAATAATCCCACCTCCCGAACAGCCATTGTAGGAGGGTCAGGCAATCCTCCCTACATACAAATGTCATTGAACTATTGATCAGCTGAAACTGCAACACAAAGGGTGACCACATGGGTGTGGCCACATGTGCATGTTGCCAGCTCCCTGCCAGGTATGGGAAGAAGAGGCCTGCAGGACTCTGCCCAGATTTGCATTATCGCTCAGGTGAACAATTGCCCCAGACTCTCAACTAGTCTTCCTGCCTTCATACTTCCAATTAGTGATCCAAGAACTACCCCCTACCCCCCACCCCACCCCCCACCCTTTTTTTTTCTTTGAGACGGAGTTTTGCTCTTGTTGCCCAGGCTGGAGTGCAATGGCGCGATCTCGGCTCACCGCAACCTCCGCCTCCCAGGTTCAAGCGATTCTCCTGCCTCAGCCTCCCAAGTAGCTGGGATTACAGGTGTCCACTGCCATGCCTGGCTAATTTTTTGTATATTTAGTAGAGGCGGGGGTTTCACCATGTTGGCCAGGCTGGTCTCAAACTCCTGACCTCAGGTGATCTGCCTGCTTCAGCCTCTCAAAGTGCTGGGATTACAGGCATGAGCCACCACCCCTGCCCGAGAACCACCCCTTTAAGGGATAATACAAAAATACAAGTAATTTGCTTCAGGAAGAGGAGAGCAAGCATTCATTACGCCTGCAGGTTCAAAACAGAAGAGTGATCAAGTTGAGAAATAAACAATTCTTTCCCAGGTCAATGTGTCATGGTGCGGTGGTTTGATCCAATAATTCTGGCAAAGTCCTATGCATGTTCTTGAGAGAAGGTGGGAAGATTGTCTTGATTGGAGCTGGGAAGACAGAGAGAAAATGGCCACTCACCTAGTGGGTTAAATAAGCCAAGAATCCTTTAGGACTGAAAATAGGTGATTCTCAGCTTTCTTTAATTAATGTGCAAAAGAACTTGGGTATGTACATAAGCTAAAAATTATTGACGATTTTTAATTTATGGAGAAAATAATTACTCCTAAATCCACCTCCCTAATAATGATCAAAATGTGTATGCTTTAGTCCTCATCCGTTTGCATACATATTTTGAAAAGCTGTGATCATAGCCTTTGTCTTGAATAAATGTATATTATTACATACCCAAATATTTGCTAATTTAGAAAACAATGGATTTACCAATTCCATCCATTTCACTTGAGAAATTTTCCATCTGGAGTACATCTTTCATTAGACAATAGTTCCTGCTGTTGAGGGCTGAAGTTGCAGCCTGGGTTATACCTCACACTTTTATACAAAAGGAAAGGTGTAGAATATGGTAAGGAGTGGTAGATTTTAAATGATGGACGCTAGATACAGGAGAAATGCCTGGACTCAAGAAAACAAAAAAAAAAAGAACATCTTACTTTCATGGCACATCCTGGCTTATATTAAAATCACCCTTAAAATGGGGCTAATAATGCCTACTTTAAAGGGCTTTTTGAGGAATAAATGATGGGAAATTGCACTGTAAACTGCAAGAAAAACAAAAAAAAAACAAAAACAAACAAAAAACATGATACATATGTAAGGTAGAACTGTTAGTATCACTCATGAGTCTGTTTCTCTTGCTAAACTCCAAATTCCTGAAAAACCATTCCCTTACTTTTCATCTTTGTACCATCCCCACTCTCCCCGACTTCCCACCTCCTACCGCACCTCCTGCAGAGTAAGACAGAGGCAGAAACAGCTCTTTTGGAGCTGAGAGAAACAACCAACCAATTTTTTCTAGGACTGTCAGGGATATTTCACCCAGAGTTTTACATGGCTAATGCGATCTAGGAGCTATTTTCAATATTTTATAAAAGTCTAACCTGAAATTATGCTGTTGTCATCAGTAAAGCTTTACAAACCAAATAAAACATCAAAGTTTTCTTTTTCCCCCCTTTTTCTTGTTTTTTCCTTCCTTTCGAATGGGGTTATATAAAGCAACTATGCATTTTATTGAAAAATCAATTATTACTTTAATAAATATTGTGAGATGCCCTGTCATAGTTTCAGAGGACAAAGAATGAATAAGATAAATCATAATCCTTGCTTTTAAGGAACTCATAGTGCAGTGAAAACAGACAAGTTTAATGTACACGTATAATATTGTATGACAAGGACAATAATAAGAACAATTACAATAAAGGAAATATATATGAGAGTCTTAACGCAGACTTTAGTGGGGTTAGGTGATCATGAAAGGCTTCCTGGAGGGAGTGAAACTTTAAAAGACCCCTGGGAGTTATCTAGGCAAAGGCTGTGTGTGAAGGACAAAGTGGGAGGCCAGACAATATGTTCCCTGCAGAGGGAGAAATATATGCAAATATCTAGAAGTGAAAGAAAACATGTTACCAAGAAACTGTGGTTCCATAGGACCCCAGTATAGAACTGGAGTACAGGAATGGGTAGAGAGAGGGTGTGGGGAAGTATGGCATTTTCCCCTTTTTTTTTTTTGAGACAGAGTCTCGCTCTGTCGCCCAGGCTGGAGTGCAGTGGTGCGATCTCAGCTCACTGCAACCTCCACCTCCCAGGTTCAAGCGATTCTCTCACCTCAGCCTCCTGAGTAGCTGGGATTACAGGCACCAGCTACCACGCTCACTTAATTTTTGTATTTTTAGTAGAGATGGAATTTCGCCATGTTGGCCAGGCTGGTCTCAAACTCCTGACCTTGTGATCCACCTGCCTCAGCCTCCCAAAGTGCTGGGATTACAGGCATGAGCCACCGTGCCCAGCCTTTCCCCAACTATCATTTGGAAAAATTTCACACCTAGAAAACATTTGAAAAAATAAATGCAAAGAACATTTATGTTTGCTTCACCTAGATAATACACACACGTACACACACATATGTACACACACACACACACACACACACACACACACAGAGAGAAATGAATTGGCAAAAAGGTTAACATCTGGTGATTAGTTGGTGGTAGAGATTTCTTTTTTTCTTTTTTCTTTTTCTTTTTTCTTTCTTTCTTTCTTTTTTTTTTTTTTTTGAGAAGGAGTTTCACTCTTGTTGCCCAGGCTGGAGTGCAATGGCACGAACTTGGCTCACTGCAAACTCCACCTCCTGGGTTCAAGCGATTCTCTTGCCTCAGTCACCCGAGTAGCTGGGATTACAGGTGCATGCCACCACACCTGGCTGATTTTTGTGTTATCAGTAGAGACAGGGTTTCACCATGTTGTCCAGGCTGGTCTCATACTCCTGACCTCAGGTGACCCACCCACCTCAGCCTCCCAAAATGGTGGGATTACAGGCAAGAGCCACCGCACCCGGCCAGTGGTAGAGATTTCTAACACTCCTCAGATACTTCCTTCCCACTAATCTGCAAATGTAAATCTTTCTATACTTTCATCTATTTTATACATTTTTCCCTCCTTAGGAAACTTTGGAGATTGATAGTTCATTAAAAAGTTCCATTGTTATGTGCACACACTCTAAGAATATCTAGTGTAGATAAACCAGTGTTAGTCAGCCTTTCATGACCAACCCCCTAAGGAACAATTTTAGACTCTTTTTTTTCCTAATCACCCCTCAGGAAACTTTAATCTATCTATCTATCATCTATCTATCTAGCTGTCTGTCTGTCTATCTATCTACCTATCTATCTATCTATCTATCTATCTATCTCTGGTTTTGTACTACATATATATCTGTGCTTTGTACACTAAAAGAGAAAGAGCTGGGGATAGTGGTGTGCACCTGTAGTCCCAGCTACTTGGGAGGCTGAGGCAGGAGAATTGCTTGAGCCCAGGAGTTCAAGGCTGCAGTGAGCTATAATTGTGCCACTGCACTCCAGCCTGAGTGACACAGTAACCTCCCATCTAAAATAAAAAATGTTTTTTAAAAGTAGGATTTTTTTTAACAATCCAAGAACCAAGTTCTGTCCATTTAGGGGCAATATTGCTCCCACTTAGAATGTCTGAGATAAACAGATCTAACATAAAGAAGGAATAAATCAGAATATAATAGAATGAACTCCTATTACAATTAGTTTTTAGAAAGAATATTAATATAGTAATAACATATACACGTAAGATAAGTTGTAAATTTTCTAATGGAAAACTGCTTGATTTTGCTGTGAACCTAAAACTGCTCTAAAAATAGTCTATACCTTAAAAGCTATAAAAATAAAAATATATCATATATATTATCATTTCAACATGCAATTCATATAAAACATTATTAACGAGATATTTTACATTCTTTTTTTCCATAATGAATCTTCCAAAACCAGTGTGCATTTTCCACTTACAGCATTGTCTTAATTTGGACCAAACACATTTGAAGTCCTCATATTGGACAACACAGGTCTAGAGCAATGGCAGTACCAAAGGTGGCTTGGAGGGACTTTACCCACCTAGACTCTTCCTACCTCACAATCTCTATCAGCATTGCTCCAGGCCACACTAGATGCATATATCAAAAAGTGCTTTACTCTGCAAATGCAGCTTCCAAACAAGTCTCTGAGCCTTTTTTCCACCCAGAGTGTTGCTTCTCAGCTCCTCAAACACAGAGATTCACCCGGCCCTCCCCAGTCCAGTGCTCCAGACAGTACTGTTCCAAAGATTTTCTTGACGGGATTCTGCCTAAAAGAGGGGCACGGAACACTGAAGAATAGAAGGGCTTTTATTACTTCAGAATTTCCTGAAGACATCATATACTCCTCATTAATAATAGGAGAAGGAGCTTTCAGGTCCTGAACACTGTGCAAAAAAGTGAAAAATTTACTAAAATGCAGTGCAGATTTAAATGCCATCTAGAAAATAGGTACTTAAGAAAAAAATAGTTGCTGTCAATATAGAAATAAATACCTAGGCTTTGCCCTAGTTGGTGGGGATTATTTATATTTCCTTGCATCTAGGAACATTTTTTTTTTTAATATTTCCTAGCAACATTCCTGGAACTAATGTATAGACCTCTCTGTATGCCATGATATATTATAACCTACTCATCCTCTAAATATTATTATCACGACATGGGCACACTTTAGCTCAGAAAAGTTAGTTGTCATTTGAATTAGAAAAGGCACTACATTAAATCATAGTCTGCCCTTATATATTCATCATTTTCAGGTTTTATCACTCAGAGAAGTGAGGAAAAAATGGCATTTATTTGCTTACCATTTTCAACAGCTCTTCCAAAAGAAGGGAAAGAAAGATAAAAAGTGGACGGACTATAAAATAAAAACAGACACAGTCTCACAGAATTCTGCAGAGAAAACTGCATGGCATGAGGTGGAATGCACGTTTAAGTTTAATTTATAGTCACAAAATTATTATTGCCTAACTCCCCCGTGAGTCCTTTGGAACAAAGGAGGAAACATTAAATATTTAAAAATTAGGGCTGGGCATGGTGGCTCAGGCCTGTAATCCCAGCACTTTGGGAGGTTGAGGCAGGTGGATCACCTGAGGTCAGGAATTCGAGAGCAGCCTGACCAACATGGCAAAACCCTGTCTCTACTAAAAACGCAAAAATTAGCCAGGTGTGGTGGTGTGCGCCTGTAGTTCCAGCTACTTGGGAGGCTGAGACAAGAGAATTGCTTGAACTCGGCAGAGGTTGCAGTGAGCCAAGATTGCGCCACTGCACTCCAGCCTGGGCAACAGTGCGAGACTCCATCTCTAAATAAATACATAAATAAATTTAAATAACATTGGTAAAATGTTATATGGCATATATAATCTTATGTGGCATTTTTTAAATTAAGAGGTCTTCATGGAAAATTCAAAATATTTTCCATCTTTACATCAAAACCTTTATAAATTAAGTATCTAATATTTTAATATAATTTAATAATATGACATGATATCTGGTATTTCCTTTGAAAACCTCCAGCAGAGAAAACAACATAAAAGTTGGGGAAGTATATTAAACAAGAGTGACAGAATGCTGTAACTGGTGATGTTGAGTGAGGGGTACTTAGGGGTTATTTATACTTTTCCCTATGCTTGTATATATCATATATCTGAAGTTTCCCAAATAAAAAAGTTTAAAAATTATTGATGATAAATTTTAAAATATGTGGGTATTTTTAATTAAAAAAATTATTAACTGGTTGTCTCTGACTCGAGGCCTGGCACGGGAGATTTACTATTTACTTATATTCTTGTAAATTGTTTGCATGTTTTTATCAGATACATTATTTACTCAAGAAAAAGTATATGTATATATGTATGTATACACACACATACCATACACACACACACACACACACACACACCAGTATTTTGGTACTGTACTTACTGCCTGAGGATACGGGTTATGCATTTAACTTCTCAGTTGCTTGCCCTTAGGTAAGTTGGGTAAGTTACTTCTGAGCATTCTTATGGAAGAATAACATTTAAATGAGGTAATGCATTTGAAAATATCCAGCACAGTGTCTGGCATAATACTGGCGTTCACTTAGTGCTGGTTTAAATTATATTAAATATGTGGAGAAACTAGATTTAATATAGGAGGCAGGCCTACCCCTAATATTTGAGTGGCCATGAGCAAGAGGACAAACAGGGGCATCCAGCCCATGGCCTGTTCTCATCTTTCTCCATCCTACCAGAGGCCCTTGCATATGTGTGTGGACACTCCAACAGGCTTGATCAAGTTCCACCATCCCCAAAAGCTGTCCTTTCACCACTCCTGAGGCCTAAGTGTGTGCACACTTACCCTGCAGTCTACAACTGCATGGGCCTGGGAGTGGGCTTCTGGCTATTTGTCAAAGAATTTTGGGCTTGTAGGTGGCTGGAACCTAGTCTGAAGGAGGTGAGGGTGGGGTGGTGAGGGGAGAGATGTACTCTTGGAATTCCTTGGCCCATGGGAAGAGGTGTGGCTGGAGAAGGGCCAGGATGGGTTCTTTCAAAGCAAAGGGTCCAGGCAAGTGCCACAGGCATCTGAATCGAAAAGCAGTACTGATTCAAGACAAAGTATTATATTGAACCACTCAATGGAGTGGGAGTCAGAAGACATGGATTCTTGCCCTAATTCTGCCAGTAATGTCATACGTGACCTTAAATCAGTGTCTTTACCTTGCTGCACCTCAATTTTCTCATATATTCATTTAATAAATATTTATTGAGCTCCAACTATGAGCGAGACATCCAACTAGACACTGAGGATATACAGAAAACTCAACAGATTGCCCTCATTGACTTAGCATTCTGACAGAGAGCAAGATAACTGGGGCAAACATATTCCAAACGAAGGGCCCCTTCTAAACCAAAACTTTCCATTCAAAATCAATCTTTAAAGTTGTCATGTTTAATAAGTACTAGTAATGAAAGAATCCTAAAAGGAAAAAAGTGTTAAATTATAATGCAATATTATCAAGAGCCTTTTATGATCAATTCTCTAACACAGCAGCATGAGCACTGTACTAATTTTAATCACAAGCATTATTGCCAAATG